>NC_000019.10:57924245-58265930 GCF_000001405.40 Homo sapiens | reverse complement strand
GCTCACCCTCCCATTGGCTCTTATCCTGCTTAAATGTGCAGTAATAGTATGCACTATGGCTCATGCCTGTAATCCCAGGACTTTGGGAGGCCAAGGCTGGAGATCACTTGGGCCCAGGAGTTCAAGACCAGCCTGGGCAACATGGTGAGACCTCGTCTCTAAAAAAATAAATTTAGCCAGGCTTCATGTCACATGCCTATGGTCCCAGCTACTTAGGAGGCAAGGACAGGAGGATCAGTTGATCCAGGCTGAGGCTGCAGTGAGCCATGACTGCGCCACTGCACTCCAGCCTGGGTGACAGAGCAACAGCCTGTGTCAAAAAATAAAAATAAATGCGGCCGGGTGTGGCGGCTCATGCCTGTAATCCCAGCACTTTGGGAGGCCGAGGTGGGCGGATCATGAGGTCAGGAGATCAAGACCATCCTGGCTAACATGGTGAAACCTTGTCTCTACTAAAAGTACAAAAAATTAGACAGACGTGGTGACGGGTGCCTGTAGTCCCAGCTACTCAGCAGGTTGAGGCAGGAGAGTGGCGTGAACCCAGGAGGTGGAGCTTGCAGTGAGCAGAGATCATACCACTGCACTCCAGCCTGGGCAACAGAGTGAGACTGTCTTAAATAAATAAATAAATAAATAAATAAATAAATATGCAGACATGGCCTCTTCTAGTCTCCCCACTACTGTCAATTTACATTTTTTTCTTTTAGGAAACATGTTGCTGAGTGGACCAATTTAAATTATGTGCTTGTAACCTTCTGTGAACATACTACTTGGGCTCCTGTTTTCACATCCCCTGATAAGTATTTTCCATATTAACATGCTGCCAGTTCTGATTACAATCAAACCAACTGAGCAACAAAGTTAAAGCACAACCGAATCCCTGAAATATTCAGAGTCCAATATTTTGTTGTTTTTGGAGACACAGTGTTGCTCTGGTGCCTAGGCTGGAGTGCAGTGGTGTGATCTCAGCTCACTGCAGGTGAGACCATCCCCCCCACCCCCAGGCTCAAGTAATACTCCTGCCTCAGCCTCCTGAGTAGCTGGGACTACAGGTGTGCAGCTCCATGCCCAGCTAATTCTATTTTTTGTAGAGATGGGGTCTCAACATGTTGCCCAGACTGGTCTCAATCTACTGGGCTCAAGTGATCTGCCTGGCCGCTCGGTCTCCCAAAGTGCTGGGATTACAGGCATGAGCCATTACAGCCAGCTCAGGGTTTTTTGTTTGTTTGTTTGTTTTTTTGAGACACAGTCTTGCCCTGTTGCCCAAGCTAGAGTGCAGTGGCATGATCTCAGCTAACTGCAACCTCTGCCTCCCAGGTTCAAGCAATTCTCATGCCTCAGCCTCCCAAGTAGCTGGATTACACATGTGTGCCACCACACCCGGCTAATTTTTGTATTTTTAGTAGAAATGGGGTTTTGCCATGTTGGCCAGGCTGGTCTTGAATGCCTGTCCTCAAGTGATCCACCCACCTCAGCCTCCCAAAGTGCTGGGATTACAGGCATGAGCCACCAAGCCTCACCAGAGTCCTTTTTTTTTTTTTTTTTTGAGATGAAGTTTCCCTCTTGTTGCCCAGGCTGGAGCACAATGGCTTGATCTTGGTTCACTGCAACCTCTGCCTCCCAGGTCAAGATTCTCCTGCCTCAGCCTCCCGAGTAGCTGGGATTACCACCACCACACCTGGCTAATTTTCGTATATTTCGTCGAGACGGGGTTTCTCCATGTTGGTGAGGTGGGTCTCGAACTCCTGACATCAGGTGATCCGCCTGCCTTTGCCTCCCGAAATGCTGGGATTACAGGCATGAGCCATTGTGCCTGGCCTGTATTTTTTTTTTTTTTTGAGACAGTCTTGCTCTGTTGCCCAGGCTGGAGTGCAGTAGTGTGATCTCAGCTCACTGCAAGCTACGCCTCCCATGTTCGCGCCATTCTCCTGCCTCAGCCTCCTGAGTAGCTGGGACTACAGGAGCCCGCCACCATGCCTAGCTAATTTTTTTGTATTTTTAGTAGAGACAGGGTTTCACCATATTAGCCAGGATGGTCTCAATCTCCTGACCTCGTGATCCACCCACCTTGGCCTACCTAAGTGCTGGGATTACAGGTGTGAGGCACCGTGCCCGGCCCCTGGCCTGTATTTTTAATAGAGACAGTTTTGCCATGTTTGCCAGGCTGGTCTCAAACTTCTGACTTCAGGTGATCCACCCACCTCAGCCTTCCAAAGTGCTGGGATTACAGGCATGAGCCACCATGCCCACTCACCTGTGTGATTTTAGAAACTGCAGACTCCTGGATTTTACTGCCAGAGATTTTTATTTAGTTGGCTAGAGTGAGCTTGGTAATACACAGTTTCAGTGCACACTCCAGGCAATTCTGATGCACATGGTCATGAAGCCCCACTCTGAGAGTCATGTTTTGGCCACCTGATTTCTAGTAAACAAGGTCTGGCAGGGAAATTTCCCATCTTGGTTATTATTTATTTAGAGTGTCTCAATCTCTCACAAGGCAGCGGTGTGATGGCATGATCACAGCTCACTGCAACCACCGCCTCCCAAGCTCAAGTGATCCTCCCACCTCAGCCTCCTGAGTAGCTAGGACTACAGGTATGCGCCACCATGCTAGGCTAATTTTTGTATTTTTTGTAAAGACAGGATTTTGCCATGTTACCCAGGCTGGTTTCAAACTCCTGGGCTCAAGTGATCCACCTGCCTCGGCCTCGCAAACTGCTGGGATTACAAGTGTTGGCAACTGCACCCGGCTCCATCTTGGTTATTCATAGAGTTTCTTGCCCATGAGCTTTCTCATGTTGAATAAGGAAAGTATCATAACTGGAAGCTTTTCCACATTTGTTAACATTCACAGGGCTTCTCTCCAGTATGAATTCTCTGCTGCCTAGTAAGTTGACACCGTTGGCTAAAGGCTTTCTCGCAATGGTCACATTCATAGGGTTTGCCTCCAGTGTGTGTCCTCTCGTGTTTACTAAGGGTTGAGCGATCATTGAAGGCTTTCCCACAATCAATGCATTCGTAGGGCTTTTCTCCAGGATATGTCCTCTGATGTTCAATGAGTCACAACCGCTGGCTTAATACACGTCACACTGATAGCTCTTCCCACCGACATGCGTCCTCTGGTGCATGATGAGGGGAGACCTCTGGATGAAAGCTTTCCCACAATGACTGCACTCCTAAGGTTTCTCTCCAGTATGTGTCCGCCGATGCACTACAAGTTGAGATTGCTGCCGGAAGGATTTCCCACAGTCACTACATTCATAGGGTTTCTCTCCAGAATGAATTCTGTGATGGGAAAGAAGGTTAGAGCTCCCTGAAAAGGCTTTCCCACACTGACTACACTCAAAAGGTTTCTCACCAGTGTGAGTTCTCTGATGCATCACAAGGTAGGAGCTCCTTGCAAAGGCTTTATTGCACTGATTGCATTTGTACGGCTTCTCCCCAGTGTGAATTTGCAGATGCCTGATGAGCTGAGTGCTTCGATTGAAGGCTTTTCCACACTCGTTACATTCATAGGGCTTTTCTCCAGTGTGAGTTCTTTTATGTGCAACTAACTGATAGCTTTGGCTGAAGGACTTTCCACAGTGAGTGCAATCGTACGGTTTCTCTCCAGTATGAATTCTCTGATGTATGACGAGGTTAGAGTTCCATCTGAAGGATTTCCCACATTCAATACACTGATACGGTTTTTCTCCAGTGTGAATTCGCTGATGCGTAATAAGTTTGGAACTCTGGGAGAAGGATTTCCCACACAGGTTGCACTCATAGGGCTTCTCTCCAGTGTGTGTCCTCTGATGTACAACAAGGTCATACTTCTGGCTGAAAGATTTCCCACACTGAGTACATTTGAAGGGTTTTTCTCCAGTGTGCGTTCTTTTATGTGTAACTAACTCATAGCTTTGGCTGAAGGACTTTCCACAGTGAGTGCACTCATACGGTTTCTCTCCAGTATGAATTCTCTGATGTACAATGAGGTTAGAGTTCCACCTGAAGGATTTTCTGCATTCAATACACTGATACGGTTTTTCTCCAGTGTGAATTCGCTGATGTGTAATAAGTTTGGATCTCTGGGTGAAGGATTTCCCACACAGGTCACACTCATAGGGCTTCTCTCCAGTGTGTGTCCTCTGATGTATGACAAGGTCATAGCTCTGGCTAAAAGATTTCCCACACTGAGTACATTCGAAGGGCTTTTCTCCAGTGTGTGTTCTCTGGTGTATGAGCTTACAACAGCTGAAAGATTTTCCACACTGATTACACACAGATGGCTTCTCTGTAGTCTGAATGATGTTACAGTCAGAAAAAGATGAGGCCATGGGGAAGGCAGCACAGCGTTCCTCACATCTGAAGGGGGTCTCTCCAGGGCCACTTCTTTCTGTTTGTACAAGGCACAGACTCTCAGAACAGGTTTCCCTGCACTCATCACACTCATACTGACTTTTCCCAAAATGCACTGGCTTCTGTTCATTCAGAGACACACTGTGACTGAAGAGGTTTCCATAATCCTTACAGTCATCACTTTTCTTCACTGAAAAAGTTCTACCATGAAAACAAAGGGAGGAACCATAGTTGAGAGAGTCACCACTGACAATATATTCATAAGGGTTTTTCTTTCCTGTTTCAACGTTTCCAAGTTTACTCAAGTAAATACTCTGACAGAAAGCTCTAGCACACTGATGACTCTCACAGTGCTTCCCATCTGCTCCATTTTTCTCATGATTAATGAAAGCTGAATTTTGTTTCAACTCTTTAACTTGTGAGTTGGGCTTAGGGAAACCTGTACTTGTAGGTAATGTTGTAGGTAGAAGGCTTAAAGTAGAAGGTAGAGAATAACCTCCCCCAAGTTCAAGCTCACAATGTTCCCTTTGAGCAAACAGTCTCTCTGAGGTGAGTACCATGAACCTCAAGGAGTTCTCCTGGTGTTCCCTTAACTGGTTGCTCTGATCTTGCACTTTTCCTAATACCAAAGAGGGTGGCTCCTCCGGTCCACTCCTGTACACTTCCACGTGGTGGGATAGTTCTTCCCTAGCTCGATCTTTTTCAGAATTCAACCTATTCTCCTCAAGGGTAGCTTTCCAGTCTGAAAGAAATCCAAAATGCCTAAGTTACTGGAGAAGCATCAGAGGGGGAGGGGGAGGGGGAGATGAAGGAGACAACTGTTTAATGGAAGTGTCTCTGGTTTGTTTCCAAACTACAAACTGTAATCCGTATGCAGGCTGTGAAAGGGAGGGATGGATCAGCAAACATGGTATCAGTGGTAAAGTGCAAAATACAAGCAAACATAATAAAGAAGTGACTAAGTAACACTAGTCCCCAAATAGAGGGCAGAAGAATAAGAATAAGCAGGGAGGGGCCAGGTGCAGTGGCTCACACCTGTAATCCCAGAACTTTGGGAGGCTGAGGCAGGTGGATCACCTGAGGTCAGGAGTTAGAGACCAGCTTGGTCAACATGGTAAAACCTCATCTCTAATAAAAATAAAAAAAAAATTAGCCAGGTGTGGTGGTGGGCGCCTGTAGTCTAAGCTCCTCGGGAGGCCGAGGCAGGAGAATCGCTTGAGCCTGGGAGGTGGAGGTTGCAGTGAACCAAGATCGGGCCACTGCATTCCAGTCTGGGTGAGAGAGTGAGACCCTGTCTCAAAAAAGAGAATAAGCAGGGAGGTGAAGATAAAAAGAGAAATCCACAGAATGAACTGGGTCTGCAGGATATAAAGCCATTAACCATTGCAAAAAGTATGTATGTTCTAAGCCCCTGGACTCTGTGAATGTGAACTTTTGGGAAAAAGGAACTGTCCAGATGTGATTAGAATTTTATTATTATTATTTACTTAGTTTTCTACAGTCAGGATCTTGCTCTGTTGAACAGACCGGATAACAGCACAATCATGGCTCACTGCAGCCTCAAACTCCTGGGCTCTTGTGATCCTCCCCGACTGGCCTCCCAAAGTGCTGGGATTACAGCCAAGCCAATGTACCCTTCTGTGATTAGTATTTTTATTTTATTTTGTTTTGTTTATTTTTGAGACAGAGCCTGGCTCTGTTGCCCAGGCTGAAGTGAAGTGGCATTATCTTGGCTAACTGCAACTCCACCTCCCAGGTTCAAGTGATCCTCCTGCCTCAGCCTCCTGAGTAGCTGGGATTACAGGTGCCTGCTACCACACCCTGCTAAAAATTTTTAAATGGGGATTTTTTTTCTGTACTATCCAGGGGGGCTCTAAATGTAATCACAAGTGTTCCTATAGGAGAAAGGCAGAGGGAGATTTGAAACACAGAGGAGGTGATGAGAAGACACAGCAGAAGATATCTGAAGACTGGAAAGAATGCTGCAACCAACAGGAGAAGGAAAAGACAGAAATGTGTTTTCCATTTGGAGCATCCAGAGGGAGCACAACCATATCAACACCTTGATTTTGATCCAGTGACATTGATTTTGGACTTGTGGCCTCCAGAACTTTTAGAGAATAAATTTGCATTGTTTTAAGCCAACAGGTTGGTGGAAATTTTTTACAGCAGCCACAGGAAGCAAACACAGACTCCTAACTGGTGCTTAGTCCTAGAATATCAGTTTCTGTTCCACTTCTGGATCTCATAATTGCATCTCAGACATCAACACTGACTTCATATTCTTAATGCACCAATTCTACCATTTCTTCAGGCTGCAAACAGAGAAAAACTTATTTAAGCATTCCAGAATTGACCCAATAGAAGACTCTCCAGAAAAGACTGCATGGTCTCTGAAGCAGCATGATCAGCATGACTGGCTGCATCTGGGCTCCACCGTTTGCCACTTCAGACAGGTCCTTAGCCTCTTAGAGGTTCATTTTCCTTGCTGTAGCCCGGAGTAAGAATGTTTAGCCTACAAGATTTATTTTGAGGCATCAATGAATCACTATGTGAGCCTCACACAGTGTCTGGCACTGATATTACAAAATATGGTTGATCTTGCCATCCTTGTTATTGTCCTGGTGGGGATTCCTCTCTGTTGAAGATACGGAGCCTCTAAAAATGAGTGGCAGAGGCTCCCAGCTCAGGATCCTTGTCCAGGTCCTAAAGATCCTCCACTCTGCTTGTCACTCTGTTCATTATGTTTGCATGGCCACCACGGTCAACACTACTGCGGCCTACCTCAAGTTCTCATGCCTCACTCTCTGAGCTCATGAGGACACAAGGATCCTTTGGCAACACATTAACTACACTCTGTGGCCATCCCTTGACTTCTGAGAGGATGTTTCCCTCCTCTCAATCAAAAGCTCTCTTCCCTCCTGGGCAAGATCCTTGCATGCACCCAGCACCCTCACACCTGGTGCCCTCACACCCAGCACTCTCACACGTGGTGCCCTCACACCCAGCACCCTCACACCCAGCACCCTCACACCTGGTGCCCTCACACCCAGCACCCTCACACCTGGTGCCCTCACACCCAGCACCCTCACACCTGGTGCCCTCGCACCCAGCACCCTCACACCTGGTGCCCTCGCACCCAGCACCCTCACACCTGGTGCCCTCGCAACCAGCACCCTCACACCTGGTGCCCTCACACCCAGTGCCCTCACACCCAGCACTCTCACACTTGCACTGTCCTCATCCCAACTCTGTGGTTCCTCTGGGGAATCACTGTGGAATCCCTCATGGGAGGATGTTTTCAAAAGAAACAACAGCCCAATGAAGGGTATTTGAGGATGAGAAGCAGGAAAGAAGTCAGTGGGTGGCTGAGTTGTGTCCAGGTTTTGCGTGGCCATGGAAAATCAGGTGAAGGACATTAAATATCTTGCAGTGGCTTCTCCATTAGGAGCATGAAATGAGGAAAGGGGCTGTCCTCACAGGCCAGCCAAGAGGGATGCCTATGCCAAACAGAAAGACTGACAGTAAACAGAATCCAGGATGACATGACTGAGGTATGGTGTGCAGGGCATGGCCCAGGGAGGAGGGTAGATAAGTAAGCCTGGGTGCACCTTCAGAGGAAGAAATAACAGAGGCTGCAGGCGAGAGAGTTACAAGGAAGGAGGAGCAGGAAGACACGAGAAAAATTCAGATAAACTCAACATCTCCAGCCTGGGGGAAACGTGAGAGGGTGGTATGAAGATACACACGATGCATGTTGCTTAGTGAAAGCAGCCAGTCGGAAAAGGCTACGTAGTGAATGACCCCAACTATGACATTCTGAAAAAGGCAAAACTATGGAGACAGGATAAAGATCAGTGGTTGCCAGTGAGGCAGGAGAATAGGGTCTGGGGGCAGGGAGCCTAAGGCTGATTCATGCTGACTTCATGAACGGAATCAAAAGGAAAACCCTAAATTTCCATGCCCACGTAACAAAAGGATCAGAGGCTACTCCCTTTGCAACTCCCCCCAACTTTCTGTGTTGCAGATGAAAAATGGAAAGTGCCTCGGATTGGTCCCCTCCTGCAACCAGTCAGACATCTGCATAGAGCGTAACTTTGTAACTTCACTTCAGCCTCTGCTTGGTCACCTTCCACAACCAATCAGACTGGTCATGGGCCACTATTTCATAGGGTGTAAACCAAGTGACCAATGGGAAACATCTAGAGGGTATTTAAACCCCAGAAAATTCTGCGACCAGTGCTTTTGAGCCTTGCTTGGGCCTGCTCCCACTCTGTGAAGTGCATTTTTGTTTCAATACAGCTATGCTTTTGTTGCTTCTTTTGTTGCTTTGTGTGTTTCGTCCAATTCTTTGTTAAAAATGCCAAGAACCAGCCAGGCGTGGTGGCTCATGCCTGTAATCCCAGCACTTTGGGAGGCCGAGGCGGGTGGATCACGAGGTCAGGAGATCGAGACCATACTGGCTAACATGGTGAAAACCCGTCTCTAATAAAAATACAAAAAATTAGACGGGCGTGGTGGTGGGTGCCTGTAGTCCCACCTACTCAGGAGGCTCAGGCAGGAGAATGGCGTGAACCTGGGAGGCGGAGCTTGCAGTGAGCAGAGATCGTGCCACTGCACTCCAGCTTGGGCAACAGAGTGAGACTGAAATGCCTAAGCTTGTTTTTACTCTAACTGGTTACTTTGAATTTTGTCCTGCTTGTCTCTTTAATCACCTAGCCTTGCTTCTCATGTAAATAAGACTCTCTCTAGCTGGGAAGGCCGGACAAACTCCAATTGACCCCTTAATTTACAAGACACTAAGGGCTCCTTACCCAACCCCCTTTCCTAAGGAGTTGGCCTGGGTAAACAGATCCTCAGCATTTCAAAAGAGCCCAATTAACTGATAAGGCACTAACACCAACAATGTATGAAGTTCCCAGGATTTTTCTCAAAGAGATAACAACAGAAAACCTTGAGTTTGTGTCCGGCATAGACCCTATATATCTAATTATAATGAAAGATTTAGAACCTTGCACGTGGTACCGTTGCTCTTCTTGTAACCGTTTAAGTTGTTTATCTCTCTGTAACCATTTTGCTTCTGTTGATTCTTGCATGTTTTTACTTCTGTAGACTTATTGCATTTGAGTCCCTCTCCCCTTCCTAAACCTAGGTATAAAAGTTAATCAAGCCCCTTCCTCGAGGCCGAGAGAATTTTGAGCATTAGCCGTCTCTTTGGCCGCCGGCTTAATTAAGGACTCTTAATTCGTCTCAAAGTGTGGCGTATTTTTAACTCGCTTGGGTACAACAAGACTCCATCTCAAAAAAAAAAAAGTAAAAGAACACAATGCCAAGAACATAGACACCCTCCACTGGTAACATATTTTGGTGAGCCAGCCAGGAGGTAGGCTCGAGGTTTGGGATTTCTTTCTTTTCTCTTTTTGTTTTCCCTTTTCCATATAGGGGAATCCTTTTCTCTCTCTCTTTTTCCCTTTCCAACTTACGGATCCTTGGTGGACAGCACATAAGCATGCAAGCAACTGTAAGTTTCTGGCCGGAGCCACTCTCTGGTGAAACGGAAAGATTTCTGTGTGGAAGTGCCTGACCGCTACCACCCAGTTCGGGTGAAGGACCTTAGTCCTTTTCCTTTTTCTCTTTTTCAGAAAATCTTTCAGCTGCCGTTTCCTACTAGTTCCTTGGTAACTGAGGGCAGCTGGCCAGGGCCACCCTCTGGTGTTGCCTGAAGGCCAAGGCGTAAATGGGGATAGCTGCCCTGCCCAGAAGGGGAAAAGACTCTTTTCTCTATTTTCCAGTTACAGTCCCTGATCCCTATCTGTGATGCAACTGGCAGCGGCAGCTCATCCAGGGCGAACTCACGCATATTTCAGGTGACTTAAATCCTCTTTTCTTATGCAAAATTCTCCTTAAAGTCAGCCTGTAAGGGCAAAAGATAATGTATCTCATGCATTTGACTTACCTTCTCTTACTCGATTTGACTGTCTGAAGACCTTTGGGATCCACAAGCTTCAGTAGACATTCTACATCTCAGACTTCACTGAGGGGATCCCATAGGTTGACGGTCATTGCTTCTGCATCAATTTGCTTTCCCTGAATCTCACAGAAATTCTCAACCCCAGCCAGGTGCAGTGGCTCACACCTGTAATCTCTGCACTTTGGGAGGCCAAGGCGGGTGGATCACCTGAGGTCAGGAGTTTGAGACCAGCCTGGCCAACATGGTGAAACCACAGCTCTACTAAAAATACAAAAAAATTGGCTGGGCATGGTGGCACACGCCTGTAATCCCCAGCTACTCAGGAGGCTGAGGCAGGAGAACTGCTTGAACTCGGGAGGCGGAGGTTGCAGTGACCCGAGATCATGCCACTGCACTCCAGCCAGCCTGGGCAACAAGACCAAAACTCCGTCTAAGGCTGGGCGCTGTGGCTCACACCTGTAATCCCAGCACTTTGGGAGGCTGAGGCGGGTAGATCACGAGGTCAGGAGATCGAGACCATCCTGGCTAACATGGTGAAACCCCATCTCTACTAAAAAGTACAAAAAATTAGCCGTGCGTGGTGGCGGGCGCCTGTAGTCCCAGCTACTCAGGAGGCTGAGGCAGGAGAATGGCGTGAACCCGGGAGGCGGAGCTTGCAGTGAGCCGAGATCGCGCCACTGCACTCCAGCCTGGGCGACAGAGTGAGACTCCATCTCAAAAAAAGAAAAACTCTGTCTCAAGAAAAAAAAAAAAAAAAGAAAGAAAGAAATTCTCAATCTCAGTCTTTCACATACCGCTGGATCCTTCCTTCACAGAGAATACCCCACCAACCTTGGTACTATTAACTCTGCAATGTTTCAGAACCTCCTTAGTCCTGTGAGGAATGCAGGAAGATACATCACACTGAAATTAGTGGGATACTAAAAGTCTGGGATTACGCCCAGGAACCAAAGGAAAGCTCACAGTAGACCATCGCCACTGGAGGGAAAACATATAAAGCAGCACTGGTGCCCACCTAAAGTCAGAGATGTCTGACACTCTAAGATTGGACCCCAAAGGGGGATCCTCTAGGGGATCCAACTCCAGACCTCAACCTCTCCAAAGGGGACACCCTAGGCTGAGGTTCTGAGGAATAGTACTACACCCTCCCTA
The DNA here is from genome assembly GCF_000001405.40 of Homo sapiens. NCBI lineage: Eukaryota > Metazoa > Chordata > Mammalia > Primates > Hominidae > Homo > Homo sapiens. The sequence goes on along the minus strand of NC_000019.10, from coordinate 58,254,469 downwards.
GGATTTTCTCTCTTACAGACAATAATAGGAAACACTCCATCTATTCCATCTGACTCCCTGCTTGGCTGCATCCTCAACGACTGGAATAAATTTGACCCTGATAATCTAAGGAGGAAACACTTGATATTCTTTTGCAATACTGTTTGGCCCCAACATTGTTTGGAATCTGGAGTTTGCTGTTGAATGGGAAAGTGAGATGGAGTTGCATGTATCCAGGCATTTGTGCTGCTGTTCCTTTTTTTTTTTGAGATGGAGTCTCGTTCTGTCACCCAGGCTGGAGTGCAGTGTCGTGATATCAGCTTACTGCAAGCTATGCCTCCCGGGTTCACGCCATTCTCCTGCCTCAGCCTCTCAAGTAGCTGGGACTACAGGTGCCCGCCACCAGGCCTGGCTAATTTTTTGTATTTTTAGTAGAGATGGGGTTTCACCATGTTAGCCAGGATGGTCTTGATCTCCTGACCTCGTGATCCGCCTGCCTGGGATTACAGGCGTGAGCCACCGCACCCAGCCGACTTAAGTAAATCTTTACTAAAGAAGTTGGCTTTAAAATTATTGGTAAAATGAAAATAGAAATGTCTTCAGAATTGTCAACATATATGGTTTTATATTTGTCTTTGCAAGATATTTTAAGGTGTCAGTGTTTGGCACAGAAGGTTATAAAGGTATTAACCCAGCCAAAACAAAAAATGGTCCTGGTTTGTATGCTTTCTTTGACAAATGAGACTAGTTTGGCCGGGCATGGTGGCTAGTGCCTGCAATCCCAGCACTTTGGGAGGCCAAGGTGGGCAGATCACCCGAGGTCAGGAGTTCGAGACCAGCTTGGCTAACACAGTGAAAACCCATCTCTACTAAAAATAAAAAAAATTAACTGGATGTGGTGGTGCATGCCTGTTGTCCCAGCTACTCAGGAGGCTGATGCAGGAGAATCACTTGAACCCAGGAGATGAAGGTTGCAGTGAGCTGAGATTGTGCCTCTGTACTCCAGCCTGGGCAAAAGAGCAAGGCTCTGTCTCAAAAAATAAATAAACAAATCAGACTAATTTAATGTTGTTAGCTGAATCTTCTGAGTTATTGGCAAAAATACCTGTGTATTTAACTTTGAGGCTTTTTTTCAGTGAGCAAATGATATTCATTGGTAATAAAAAAATGGCTAACAAGGAAATAACTTTAGAGGATGGTGTCTACTATCTTAGTTTTCAGAAGTAATCTAGATAAAATGTTAAAATGAAAGAATTGAGTAAATGAAATTGGGATAAATGTTTTAGGTAAACTCTTTGTGTAACTTAAAATCTTAAAATTGTTTTTGATGTTCATTGGATATCTGGGTCATTTCCAATTAAGAAAGGATTATGGGTTGGGTGCGGTGGCTCACGCCTATAATCCCAGCACTTTGGGAGGCCAAGGTGGGTGGATCACAAGGTCAGGAAATCGAGCCCATCCTGGCCAACATGGTGAAACCCTGTCTCTACTAAAAATATAAAAGTGAGCTGGGTGTGGCGGCACGTGCCTGTAATCCCAGCTACTCGGGAGGTTGAGGCTGGAGAATTGCTTGAACCAGGGAGTCAGAGGTTGCAGTGAGCCGAGATTGTGCCACTGCACTCTAGCCTGGTGACAGAGCAAGACTCCGTCTCAAAAACATAATGATAATAAGTAAATAAAAAGGAAGGATTATGATACGGGGAAATATGTTTCTAAAAGTTGTGGAATTCTTCTCATCTATAAAATGCTCATATCTAATAGTTCAGGATTTCTTGCTTTTTAGGGTTTCACTAAAATTTAAGGTTACTAAGGATAAGAATTCTAGTTAACAAATGATTCTGTATACAAAAGGTGCCAAAAAAGATGTGCTATTGGTAAGAAAGAAATGATTTTGTGTAGTTCAGAGGTTGTCTAAAGGTTGATTCAGGTTGTTGACTTAAAAAAAAGGGTTATTTATGAAACAAGGTAGTAAGAAACCAGTAAGTACGGGAGAGAGAGGTGAAGAAAGTTATGTATATGAAGATGTATTCTTGGTAGGGAAGGATGTAGCAATAATAATTTTGTATGAGACAGGATCCTGTATGGTAAATTCTTGCCCTAAAGTTAAATGAATGGTTGTTTAAAGAGGGATGTTTAGGACAAGTCAGAAAGTCCAGGCATGTCATAGAAGGTCTGTGTAAGTCGTGAAAAGGATTCATGTAAAAAAAGTAGAATGTACTTTTGGTAAAAGGCATGAGAATATGGATTTCTTGCCAAAGTTTGGAGGGTTAAAAGACAAGCTGTAGAAGGTTTATGAAAAATTAATTGTAGAAGGGATTCTGTGTGTGAATATATTGGCTAAAGTTAAAGGGGAAGACTGGCAATTAGACCTCACTGATATGCCAGCTTGCAAAGGATAAAAGTTTCTGCCAGTACTAACAGACACCTTTATTGGCTGGGTTGAAGTGTACCCTACCAGAACAGAGAAGTTTAATGAAGTTATAAAGGTTCTCTTAAAGGAAATAATCCCCTGGTTTGGGTTACCTCAAAGCCTCCAAAGTGATAACAGCCCATCTTTTGTCTCCCAAATAACTCAAGGGGTTGCTAAGGTTCTCAGAATCAACTATTATTTACATTCAGCATGGAGACCTCAATCCTCCAAAAAAGTGGAAAGAGCTTAGCTAACTCTAAAATAGGAGTTCCTATGTCAGGAAACATCAGAAACTTGGATCTGCTTACTGCCCATAGCCCTCTTAAGAATCCATAATTCCCCTAGAGAAAAAATTATTATGAGCCCACACAAATGTTATACAAAAGGCCATTTTTAACTAATGATCTAATCTCTGATCCAGAAACATCCAGTTTAGTAAAATACCTAGTTAACCTGGGATTATTTCAGCAGGCTTTACAAGAGTTTGGAACTCAAAAGCTCCCCACACCAGGAACTAACCACCAACCCAAAATCAGGCCAACAGACAAGGTACCTGTTAAAACATAGAAGGAGGGATCACCTGCTCAATAATTACAATCAAAGTGGAAGGGACCATTTTCAGTACTGGCCATGCCTTCTGGGGTCAAAGTACTAGGATTAGATAGTTGGATACATCTTTCTGGTGTCAAGCCTGTGTTATGTGAAGTCCCAGACCGGGAACCTGAAGCTCCCATCAGCCACTACACCTGTGACTTGTGAAAGACCTGAAGTACCTGTTTAAAAGACAGCCAAAAGATAAGTAAAAGCCTACCAACTTTCCTTGGTGTCTTTGTTGCTTAGTTACTTTAAACTGGATAATAGTAGCCATTGTTATACTTCTACAATTTAATTGCTTTCTTCTAAACAAATGGAATAACTTCCTTTGTAATAATTAAGCAAAGTGTTTTAATTAATTCTTATAACAAGCATTCCTGACAGCATAGGTATCCACCCCTGAAGTTCCTATTCTATAGCACAAAATAACAAATAAGTATTTTTTGGTTCCATAATGGTCACCCACAGCCTGTGTATACAGGACCACGCATAATGGGAATCAGCTTTATTTTACAACAGAGCTTCACTTTACCCCTCCAGCAGTTAATGGATTCTGGGTATTTATTAAAAACTTTACATTTAACTCAAAGACAGTTAAATACCACCAGCCCAGCTCTGGCAAAGACTGTTGGCTTTGGTTATCTCCAGCATCATTCAAATACACTACCACCCCAATCCCAGCCCAATCTTTGGCCTTGGGGAAAAAAACATGAACTACGATGACAGGACAAGCAGTAAACCTTCTCCAGTACTATCAGAGTACCCTTTCTGGGGTTGCATCCCACAGAAACCCATTTGGGGCCCAATATCAATGTACACAGAGCTAAAATTCCAGGTGCCACTTTGTATTAAGAGAAGCCAAAATTTTGGTCAGGCCCTGGGAACCTTGAAAAGTCATCAGTGTAACTACACCCTAGAGATTATTAACCCCTCACATGATTACATAAGCTAGGCAGTTACCCAGACTGTGTCATTTAGAAAACCTGTATGGTTTTCATGGAAACCATCCCTAGATAAGGACACTTCAAAGGATACACAGTCTAAGTACTGCCAAGGTAAGCCCACTAGCTATGATCATATTTTCCCTTGGGAAGACTGCACTAATCCTCAGACATCTAGTTATCTTTTGGTTCCCCAGTACGAAACACCTCTGGATGCTTGTTGGTAGACACTAAGCCTAATTACCTCCAATGGGAAAACAGAACTGCTGGGGCAACTCAGAATATTTCCCAAGGTCCTTTCCAGCCTTTAACTGGGGCCACCTTCATAGGGACCTTAACCACTTGGGAAAGTGAAAACAACAAGCTAACCCACATGTTTACCATAGAAAATTCTTGTCTTGAAAAACTAGGAGCCTTTTACCTGTGTGGAACTAGTTCTTACTTATGTTTACCAGCCAATTGGACTAGAACCTTTACACTTGTTTATTTAGCCTGTGAAATTAATATAGCTCCCAAGAACCAATCCCTCATTATACCTTTAACTGCAATTGCCAGACACAAATGAACCATCCAACTCACATCCCTTTTGGTAGGACTACAAATAACCGCGGGACTGGGAATGGGAGTCAGCCGGGTTGTAACATCCCTATCCTATTACCAATGCTTTTCCAAGGATTTTATGGAAAGCTTGAATGACATTGCCCAAAGTAAAAAAGAAAAAATAGAGACATTGGCCAAAGTATCATCACCATACGAAATCAAATAGATGCCTCAGCAGCAGTTGCTTGGCAAAACAGAAGGGGATGAGATCTCCTAACTGCTGTAAAGGGGGGCTTAGGTCTTTTTCTAGAGGAAGAATGCTGTTTTTATGCCGAACAATGAGGATTAGTAACAAATGCCACCCAAAAACTACCCAACTGGGCCTCTAAAATACAACAACAGCTATCTGAGTCATGGGGCTCCTGGTCAAAAATGCTAAGTTGGGGTTCATGGCTCCTTCCTCTGGCCAGCCCATTAGTAATGACTATACTTGCCTTGGTTTTTGGACCATGTTTGTTAAACTCTTAACCAAATTCATTTCCTGTCACCTAGAGACCATCAAGCTTCAGATGATCATGTGACAATGTTTCCAGCCAGTTCCAGGTGGAGACACCACCCCTGGCCATCAAGAAGCTATCCTGTCTCCACTAGACAGGGCGGGGAGAGAGTCCTGTGATTCCCCAGTACGTAGGGACTGTGCCTCAGGTCAGCATAAAGCAGTTACAGAAGAAAGACTATCAATCCCTTTACCTCCCATAAAGATTTATGAGGATCATGTCTTTCGGGGGGAAATGAGGTATGAGAACAGGGTATGGAGGCAAGAAACCTAAGGGTGATTAATGCTGACTTCCTGGAACTGAATCAAAAGGAAAACCCAAACTTTCCATGCCCCAAATAACAAAAGGATCAGAGGCAACCCCCGCCTTCTGTGTCGCAGATGAAAAATGGAAAGTACCTCTTCCTGCAACCAATGAGACTGGTCACTGGCCTAGTTTTCATCTGCATAGAGGTGTAACTTTGTAACTTCACTTCAGCCTCTGTTGGTCACCTTCCCCAACCAATCAGACTAGTTATGGGCCACTACTTCATTTACAGAGGATATAAACCAAGTAACCAATGGGAAACCTCTCGGGATTTAAACCCCAGAAAATTCTGTAACCAGTGCTCTTGAGCTGCTTGCTCCAGACCACTCCCATTGTGTGGAGTGTACTTTCATTTTGATAAATCTATGCTTTTTTTGCTTCATTCTTTCATTGTTTTATGCATTTTGTCCAATTCTTTGTTCAAAATGCCAAGAACCTGCACATCCTCCACCAGTAACACCAGGGGCTGGGGATGAGGGAGGGATGAATGGGTAGAGCACAGAGAATATTTAGGGTAGTGGAACTACTCTGTCTGATACTATAATGGTGGATACATGACATTGTACATTTGTCCAAATGCACAGAATATACAACATCAGGAGTGAAGCCTGGCCAGGTGCAGTGGCTCATACATGTAATCCCAGCACTTTGGGAGGCTGAGGTGGGAGGATCACTTGAGCCCAGGAGTTCAAGACAAGCCTGGGCAACACAGTGACACTCCATCTCTACAAAAAATTTTTACATTAGCCAGGCATGGTGGTGCATGCTGTGGCACCTGAGGCTGGGGTGCAGAGAGGTGGGAGGATCACTTAAGCCCAGAAGGCTTAAGCTATGACTGCATCACTGTCTCAAAAAAAAAAAAAAAAAAAGAAAAAAAAAAGCATGAACCCTATCATAAACTATGGACTTTGGGTGATAATGATGCCTCAAGGGCAAGGGGTAGTGGCTCACGCCTGTAATCCCAGCACTTTGGGAGGCTGAGGGGGGCGCATCATGAGGTCAGGAGATCGAGACCATCCTGGCCAACATGGTGAAACTCTGACTCTACTAAAAATACAAAAATTAGCTGGGCGTGGTGGTGCGTGCCTGTAGTCCCAGTTAGTTGGGAGGTTGAGGCAGGAAAATCACTTGAACCTGGGGGGCGGAGGTTGCAGTGAGCTGAGATCACACCACTGTACGCCAGCCTGGTGACAGAGTGAGACTCTGTCTGGGAAAAAAAAAAAGGATGCCTCAAGATAGGTTTGCCGATTGTAACAGATGTACAATACAAATCCAAGTTGTTAACAGCAGGAGACACTGCATGTGTCTGTAGGACAGCAGACATGGGTGGGAACTCTGCACTTTCTCGTCAACTTACCTATAAACCTAAAACTGCTCTAAAAAATAAAGTCTATTAGCCTGGGCAACATGATGAAACCCTATCTCCATTAAAAATACAAAAATTAATGGCCAGGTGCAGTGGCTCATACCTGTAATCCCGGCACTTTGGGAGGCTGAGGCAGGTGGATCACCTGAGGTCGGGAGTTCGAGACCAGCCTGACCAACATGGAGAAACCCCACCTCTAATAAAAATACAAAATTAGGGCCAGGCGTGATGGCTCACACCTGTAATCTCAGCACTTTGGGAGGCTGAGGCGGGCGGATCATGAGGTCAGGAGATCAAGACCATCCTGGCTAACACGGTGAAACTCTGTCTCCACTAAAAATACAAAAAATTAGCCGGGCATGGTGGACATGCCTGTAATCCCAGCTACTTGGGAGGCTGAGGCAGGAGAATCACTTGAACCTGGGAGGTGGAGGTTGTGGTGAGCCGAGATTGTGCCATTGCACTCCAGTCTGGGCAACAAGAGCGAAACTCCGTCTTAAAAAACAAAAACAAAAACAAAAGAATTAGCCAGGTGTGGCAGTGTGCACCTGTAGTCCAAGCTACTAGGGAGGCTGACGCATGAGAATTGCTTGAGCCAGGGAGATGGGGGCTATAGTGAGCCAAGACAGCGCCACTGCACTTCAGCCTGGGCAACAGAGTAAAACCCTATCTCAAAATAAATAAATAAATACATACATTAATTAAAAAAAAACAAATCAAGTAAAGAGGCCTAAATGGTTGGGATGATGAACATGTTCTAGAACTGATTGTGGTGAGGGTTCCACACTCAGGGAAGACACTGGAAGCCATGAACTGCATACTTCGAATTGGTGAACTCCTTTGAATGGGTGAACTGCTGCAAAGAGCACCCAAGGAGGCTTCCTCCAAACAAGGCTCCCTCCTTGGCCCCTGGGGCCCTGCGGAGAGCTCTCTGTCCAAGCTTGTTAAACGTTGAGCTGCTCACCACAAGGTCTGCTCTTACCTCGGGGGGCCTCCTGCTCTGCCCTGCACAGGTCCTCTTCTTGCTCCAGCTGAGAGATCACATCAGATTTGGAAAGGAAAAGCCCTGGTCAAAGACGGAAAAAGGACTTGCCCCTCTGCTTGGACACCAAGAACCATGTCCTGGGTCCAAGCTTCAGCCCCTAGTGCTGTCCCGAGGAAACTCCCCACTGTTAGGACTACAAGTCACAAACCTGTCCCAGAGATAGAATGAAGGGCAACCCCTGGGAACTGCACCTGAAAGGGACCTGCTTCCAGTATCTTCCAGCACATCCCAGAACACCCTTCAGAACTTGGTACAGCTTTGAGTCCTAGGGGTAGAACCTCCTTCCATGAGCACAGCCACTTACCCAGGGAGACAATATGCTCCCAGGTCTCCAGTGTCACCTCTCGGTACAGTGTCCTCTGGGCCAGGTCCAGCTGTTCCCACTCCTCCTGTGTGAATGCCATAGCCACATCCTCGAAGCACACAGATGCCTGAAACAGGGCACTTGTTACTGCTCAGAGACCCCAGGTCCTCATGCCCTCACGGAGGTACCTGTTAAGGCCTAAATGTTGGTGTCCCCCCGTAAAATTCATACATTGGAACCTAATACCCAGTGAGATAGTGTTAAGAGGTGGGGTCTTTACAAGGCAATTAATGTCCTCATAAAAGAGGCTTGAGGGAGCCTGTGTTCACCTTCTACCATATGAGGACATGTAAGAGGTGCCATCTATGAGACAGCAGGCCCCAACCAGACCAACTCTGTTGACACATTGATCTTGGACTTACCAGCCTCCAGAACTATGAGCAGTCAATTCTGTTGTTTGTAAATTGCTCACTCTAAGGTATCTTATTATAGCAACCCAAACGGACTGGGACAGCTCCATGTATGTGGTCTGTACCATTCCTTTTCTGGGCATCTCACCTCTTGCCAGTCACAGCAGTGGTCCTGATTTCTAGACTGGAAATGACAGGAACTCCACTAGGAGATCCTCACCCACTTCCTCTCTACAAAAATCACAGATTCGAAATGAGGTAAGAAAGACACTCTAAATCGGGGTGGGAAAACTGCAGCCTGTAGGACAAATCAGGGCTGTGGTGTGTTTTCAAAAGGCTAATGCTATAGAATAAACTGTGTTCCCAAAATTCACATGTTGAACCCTAACTCCCAAAGTGACTGTTGAAGAAGGTGATTGACCGGGCACGGTGGCTCACGCCTGTAATCCCAGCACTTTGGGAGGCCGAGGCGGGCAGATCACAAGGTCAGGAGTTCGAGACCAGCCTGGCCAACATGGTGAAACCCCGTCTCTACTAAAAATACAAAAATTAGCCAGGCATGGTGGCACATGCCTGTAATCCCAGCTACTCTTCCTGGCTGCAGCAGGAGAATCGCTTGAACCTGGAGGCAGAGGTTGCAGTGAGCTGAGATCGCGCCATTGTACTCCAGCCTGGGTGACAGGGTGAGACTCCATCTCAAAAGAAAAAAAAAAAAAAAACCCCACAAACAAGGTGATTAATTTTAACTGTTTAAGAACTGTTCAAGAAGGTGACAGGGGGTCGGGCGCGGTGGTTCATGCCTGTAATCCCAACACTTTGGGAGGCCGAGATGGGTGGATTACTTGAGGTCAGGAGTTCGAAACCAGCCTGGCCAACATGGTGAAATCCCATCTCTACAAAAAATTAGCTGGGTGTGGTGGCGGGCACCTGTAATCCCAGCTACTTGGGAGGCCGAGGCAGGAGAATTGCTTGAAACCAGGAGGCGGAGTTGCAGTGAGCTGAGATTGTGCCACTGCACTCCAGCCTGGGCAACAGAGCGAGACTCCGTTTCAAAAAAAAAAAATGGTGATTAAGATTAAATGAAGTCACAAGGGTGGGACCCTAATCCAATAGGACTAGAGTCCTTATAAGAAGAGGAAGAGGCTGCGCATGGTGGCTCACGCCTGTGATTCCAGCACTTTGGGAGGCCGAGGCTGAAGCATCTCTTGAGTCCAGGAGTTTGAGACCAGCCTGAGCAACATGGCAAAACCCTGTCCCCACTAAAAATATAATAAATTAGTCAAGCATGCTGGTGCATGCCTGTAGTCCCAGATACTGGAGAGGCTGAGGTGGGAGGATCGCTTGAGCCCAGGAGTTCAAGGCTGCTGTGAGCCAAGATCATGCCGCTGCACTCCAGCCTGGGCAATAGAGGGAGATCCTACGTCAAAAAATAAAATAAGAAGAGGAAAAGACACTAAAGGGCATGTGTGCTCTCACTCTCTCTCCTCACTACATAAAGACACAGTCGGACAACGGCTGTCTGCAAGCCAGGAAGAGAGGGCCCTCACCATTTACAGGGGACTCTGCAGGTAGGTAACTACAGTGCTTTAAGGGGACACTCCCCCAGCCAGGGGTGTCCGTGAGGATTGAGGGCCCAGTGTGGCTGTCGGGGTGTGGGGCTAGCTCCATCCACCCTCAAGGGCCTGAGGAGCAACCACAAGCAGAATGTCGGAAGCACAGACCTGGCCTGGTGGAACAGGCATGGGAGACTTGCGCTGGGTCTAGTGCAGGGAGCTCTAGGCTCGTCCATGCTGGTGACGGGTGCCGCGCTTTACTGCAGGGAGCTGGAGCATTTCACTGGGAAGCACTGGCCAGCACTGCGGAGCGCTCCTGTGTGACAGCCTGCAGGGGCGGGTGCTATTCCTGGACCCATTTTACATCTATGGAGACCAAGGCACTGAGAGCAAAGACCCCCCACTCACCTGGGGTGGAACCAGCATAGAACGTGCTTCCATTTCCTCCCTGCACCTGAAGAGGCCGCTGTGTAGAGGGCAGAGGTCCTCAGAAGACCAGTCTGGGGTGGAAAACAAGCAGAGATTCAGCCCCTCGGCTCCTGCAAACCTCCAGGGCCAACACCCACCCTAGAGAACGCGGGGCCGGCCACAAGCAGGGCTTCCCAGGTGCGGGAATGGGCCTCACGCCTGGGGACCTGGGCTACCTCAGGCTCGGGGATGTGCCCAGTCATGTGCTGGGCGTCTCAGCTGTGAGTCCAGACACGCAGCAGCCCCCTCAACAGTCAAGGGCAAGGAGGGGCATTTTTCCTATCATTTCGTGACTAAGGAAGGGAGGTGGAGGCCAGGTGTCTAAGTAATTGTACATTTAGCATATCACAATGGATCATAAGCTGTTTTCAGAAATGATGACAATGGGGGTGTGGGGACAAGGAGGATGTGACACTCCCCAGCAGGGCGGCGCAGGGAACTTCCCTCGGCTCTGGGAGGGGGTGTTGTACAGGGATGCCCTCCCTCGGTCTCAGCTGGAAGTACCAGGATGCTGCCTACTGCCAGGGCATGCCTGTCACCCTCTCTACTGAACTCAGTCACCAAACCCTTCATATCTTCTGCTTGTCTAATCCCCTTGCAGCAGTCACATCACTGTCCTACCGAGAGTTTGGCAAAAACCCTCTTGAATGTGGCACCAAACCCTTCCACACATCTGACTCCCATCGCCACATCGGCACTGAAGCACACCCTCTGCAGGCACCAACAGGTTACTCGAGACCACTGAACATTCCAGAAGCGCATCCTGTATCTCTGCCTTTGCTCATATGACTACGCTCACTCGACCTGATGGTGCCTTTCATTTGCACAATGCTTTCTAGTTCATGAAGAGCCTTGAACTCTGACCCCAAAGGCCAGCATGGTGGCTCAGGCCAGGAATCCCAACACTTTGGGAGGCTGAAGCAGGCAGACTGCTTGAGTCCAAGAGTTCAAGACCAGCCTAGGCAACAAAGTGAGACCCCCCTCTCTATAAAAACGTTAGCCAGCCAGGTGCGGTGGCTCACGCGTGTAATCCCAGCACTTTGGGAGGCTGAGGCGGGCAGATCACAAGGTCAGGAGTTCAAGACCAGCCTGGCCAAGATGGTGAAACCGTCTCTACTAAAAATACAAAAATTAGCCAGGCATGGTGACGTGTGCCTGCAATCCCAGCTACCCAGAAGGCTGAGGCAGGAGAATCCCTTGAACCCGGGGGGCGGGAAGTTTTAGTGAGCCGAGATTGCACCCCTGCACTCCAGCCTGGGCAACAGGGTAAGACATTGTCTCAAAACAAAACAAAACAAAACAAAGAAAACACAAAACGTTAGCCGGGCATGGTCTGAGGTCCCAGCAACTGGTGGGGGTAGGGGCTGAGATGAGATGATCGCATGAGCCCTAGAGGTCAAGGTTGCAGTGAGCTGAGATCACACCACTGGACTCCAGCCTGGGCAACAGAGCAAGACCCTGTCTCAAAAAAAAAAAAGCGAAACAACTCCCATTTGGGCTAGAAGAGCAGATAAAGGCAGCCCCTGCAGACGCTGAACACTTATCATTCTCCCAGGTTTGAACGCTGGCATTTTTCTTGCCCCATAGTCTCAGACAAAAAAAAAAAAATTCCCTGGAATATCAAGTATCAAGCCATGAATTGCAGAAATCTTGCTTTCTCTGTGCTGTATTTTTTAGGCAGTTCTCACCTTTCCCTTCAAAGGCTTGGGAAACCTCTTCCACCAGCATCATCTCCTGCAGATGTTGCGGTGCTGGGGACTCACTCTGGCCAGGAACACAGAGCCTAAGCATGGGCCACCTCACAGCAGCCTCAACACTCGCAGCTGCTGGGACTTCACCCCAGCGATGCTCTCATTTCCCAGGCAATCTCTTCTGAGAACTCTCCTGCTCTCAAACACTTCTGGTGCCTGAGGCCTCCTTTCCTACGCTGAATTCTGCAGGAATACTCTCCCCTCTAGGCATGAGCTTCGCAGGTCCTAATCTCTCTTCTGAACAGACACATAACATTCTTCAGGCAAATCAAGCACTCAAGTCCTCCAAGAACAAGCACAAAGAGAGAGAGAGAGAGAGAGAGAAGTGAACAGCAAATTCAGTGCTGAAACAGAAGACAAAGACAACGCAATGCCAAGAACTGCATGCGACCTCAGTGCCAGGGGGAGGACAGACAAGGCACCAACATACACAAAAGACATGGAATGTAGGCTGGGCGTGGTGGCTCATGCCTATAATCCCAGCACTTTGGGAGGCCGAGGCGGGCGGATCACGAGGTCAGGAGGTCGAGACCATCTTGGCTAACACGGTGAAACCCTGTCTCTACTAAAAAATACAAAAAAATTAGCCGGTGTGGTGGCGGGCGCCTGTAGTCCCAGCTACTCAGGAGGCCGAAGCAGGAAAATAGCGTGAACCCAGGAGGCGGAGCTTGCAGTGAGCTGAGATCGCACTACTGCACTCCAGCCTGGGTGACAGAGCGAGACTCCACCTCAAAAAAAAAAAAAAAGAAATGGAATGTGAATGATTAGAATTGCTATCAGATGACAAGTTTGGGGAGGAGGCATTCACACCCTACCAAAAAAGGTTTAAAGTATAACATAAGTTATGACAAAATATTCAACTTGCAAGACAGAGTTGGTGTATGTACACATTTACCTGACTCCCAACATTAAACTTACTCAAAAGAACAAAGTGGGCCAGGCACATTGGCTCACGCCTGTAATCCCAACATTTTGGGAGGCCAAGGCGGAAGCATCGTTTGAGCCCAGGAGTTCGAGAACTGCCTGGGCAACACAGTGAGACCCTATCTCTACAAAAAAAAAAAAATATATATATATATATATTTAAATATATATATATATTTTAAATTGGCTGGCCATGGTGGTGCATGCCTGTGGTCCCAAGTTCTTGAGAGACTGAGGCAGGATGATTGCTTGAGCCCAGGAGGTTGAGATTGCAGTGAGTAGTGATCGTGCCACCACACTCCAGCCTCGGTGACAGAATGAGACCCTGTCTCAAACAACAACAATAACAAAAAGAAAAGAAAAGAGAAGGAGAAAGAGAAACAGAAGGAGAAAAAGAAAAAGAAAAAAATGACCCCTACCCCAAAAAGGTAAATGCTAAACCCATCATTCCATGATACTGGAATGTTCACACTGCCACATCACACACACATTACAGGGAATGTGCAGGGCTGGTTTAGTAAGCCTGGGTTGTCCACACCCTGTACTTTCTTTTTTTTTTTGAGATGGAGTTTCACTCTGTTGCCCAGGCTGGAGTGTGGTAGCACGATCTCAGCTCACTGCAACCTCCGCCTCCCAGGTTCAAGCGATTCTCCTGCCTCAGCCTCTTGAGTAGCTGGGATCACAGGCGCGCATCACAATGCCCAGCTAATTTTTGTATTTTTTAAGCAGAAGCGGGGTTTCAGGATGTTGTCCAGGCTGGTCTCAAACTCCTGACCTCAAGTCATGCCTATAATCCCAGCACTTTGGGAGGCTGAGGTGTGCAGATCACGAGGTCAGGAGATAGAGACCATCCTGGCTAACATGATGAAACCCCATCTCTACTAAAAATACAAAAAATTAGACGGGCGTGGTGGTGGGTGCCTGTAGTGCCAGCTACTCGGGAAGTTGAGGCAGGAGAATGGCGTGAACCCGGGAGGCGGAGCTTGCAGTGAGCAGAGATCAGGCCACTGCACTCCAGCCTGGGCGACAGAGCAAAACTCTGTCTCCAAAAAAAAAAAAAGAAAGAAAAAGAAAGGTCTGATCCTTGACTGGCTGTAACCTCTGAGCCCTTGGGATATCCCGCCTGTTAAAATGTCTCTGCCTGCCAGGGGCACTGGGCCATGGTGTATTAGGGGGATCTCTGGAGGGCCTGAGTAACCAAAGTAATTTATATAGGCTCCATGCCTACATAACACATCCCTCAATAAAGAAACCTAAGCACCAAGGCTTGGGTGAGCTTCCTGGTCCACATGGTCGTTTGGAGAATTAAGCACTGTCTACGCAACTCCACTGGGAGCTGAATGAGCTGAATGCTGGTCCTGGTCTCTCCCGGACTCCCGTTTACATGCGTGCCTTTGACCACTGTAATTTTTTTTTTTTTTTTGAGATGGAGTCTTGCTCTGTTGCCCAGGCTGGAGTGTAGTGGCGCAATCTTGGGTCACTGCAACCTCAGTCTCCTGGGTTCAAGCGATTCTCCTGTCTCAGCCTCCCAAGTAACTGGGACTACAAGTGCAAGCCACCACACCTGGCTAATTTTTGTATTTTTAGTAAAGACGGGGTTTTACCATGTTGGCCAGGCTGGGCTCAAACTCCTGACCTCGGGCGATCCGCCCACCCCGGCCTCCCAAAGTGCTGGGATTATAGGCATGAGCCACCATGCCTGGCCTTGTAATTTTAATCTGTATCTTTTCAATGTACTAAACTGTAACTGTGAATATAAGAGCTTTTCAGAGTTCTGAGTCCATCTGGTCAACCTGAGAATGGTCTCAAGGACCCGCACACAGTGAACACCAGGCTTACTTAAAGAAACAGGCCTTCAGGAATTTCAAGAAAAGTGGGCCATTTCTTCACAGCAGAGGTCCTCAACTGGGGGCAGTTTTGCTTTCCGGGAACATTGGCCATGTTTGAAGACAGTTTCCAGAGTTTGGTGGGAGTGGAGGGGGGAAGAGGTGTAGAAGGGGACAGCTACTGGCTGCAATCTGGTGGGCAGAGGCCAGGAAGGTGTAAAACATTCTACAGCTCATGGGGCAGCCCTAGAGGATGATCTGGCCCCAAATGCTGACTGTGCTGAGCTGAGAAATGGCTTTACAGGGAGGAAGAACCTTGCGGGCAAGCCTGTGTCAGGCACAGGACTCTTAAGCCTGAGGCCAACCTCACACATCAGCAGATGTGAAGAAAACCTGCAGCCACAGAGCACCCAGCCCTGTTTATTTTCACCACCTTCTCTTCCTGAACGCGAAGGAGAACTCAGAGGCCAGTCAGGACACACTAACAGCAAATGCTGAACACTCTTGCCTCCCCTGCACAAGGAGAAGAAACTCACCCTGATGCCACCAAACCTGTGTCCTGTGTCCCCTCCCTGTTCTGCCTGTCCCTTTGCATGCTGATCAGGGCATTGTAATTTTTTTTTTTTTTTTACCGTGACTTAGTGGGTTGAATGATGGCCATATCCTAATCCCTACAACCTGTGAATATGTGACCCTACATGGAAAGGAAAGACCCACGTTGAGGATCTTTAGATGGGGAGACTGTTGGGGTCACCACAATGATCCCTACAATGAGGGAGGTGGGAGGACCAGAGACAGAGGAGGAGAAGTGACAACAACGGGAGGCTCCTGAGCCAGAAACCCACACCCACTCTGTACTGAGCGCACAGCAGACCCTCACGTACGCACTCCTCTGCCTGGAAGCCTGTGACATCGATGCTCACACGTGTACTGAGCAGTGAGAGGGGAAGTCCTTCCTGACGCCTCCTGCGTGCTCTCCTCACATTCAGCCAAAACCCTGTGTCCCCGTCTTCCAGGCACTATGCACCGCTCCACAAGCCTGCCCCATGCCTGGCTCAGCCACTGTTTCTTGTGCGGGTTACCACGGTGGGTTTGATGGGGTCCTGCCTTTGACTTTTCTCCTCTCTCCCAGGAAGCCGCAGGGACACCACAGAATGAAGCCTGTGTCACAGAACCCTGTGGAGTGCCAGCTTTTCGCTGCCCTTAGGAGAAAGCCCAAATTCCTCCACAATCTCCAGATATCCCTTCCCAGATTAAAAATCTCAGCCAGGCGTGGTAACTCACACCTGTAATCCCAGCACTCTGGGAGGCCAAGGCTGGTGGATCACCTGAGGTCAGGAGTTCAAGACCAGCCTGACCAACATGGTGAAACCCCGTCTCTACCAAAAATACAAAATTAGCCGGGCGTGGTGGTGCACGTCTGTAATCCCAGCTACTCAGGAGGCTGAGGCAGGAGAATCACTTGAACCCAGGAGGCAGAGGTTGCAGTGAGCTGAGATCGTGCCATTGCACTCCAGTCTGAGCAACAAGAGAAGTTTTAAAAATCTCCAGACACTCCCCACAGACCTTGTGACGTCTGTCAGTCTCATGGAACACCTTCCAGCTCCCCGGCCCCACAACACCCCACCTCCAGACGCATTTTCAGGCTTCTCTATCCTCGGGTGGCTCCGCACCTTGCTGCCTCCCCAGGCCCTGCCTCCATGCCGAATACTGGCCATGCCAACAAAGCTCCAGGCTTCTGGCACAGGTCACACACTGGGGTGTCTGCTGCACTCCAACAGCATTTAAGACACAAAAGGAAAATATGAGGAAGACAGGGAAGATAAAAAGCAGCTTGGAAGTCTCCATGGATGAGTGGGGAAAAAAAGCAAAAAGAAGGTGGGTGTGAGGGTCCTACCTGTAGCTGGAAGGGCCCCTCGGACCGCTGGCGGGGCAAGGGTCTGGCTCCGTCAGCCCGTGAGGTGAGCCGCCCTCCAGGCCAGGCTGTGCCTAACACTAGGCCCCAAGATGAAATCAGAGCCACAGCACTCGCAGAGGCTGCCAGGACCAGCAAGCTGCCGGCCTGGAGCGGCTCAGTGTCTTGTGGCCCCTGTAACCAATTTCCACAAAATTGTTGGCTTAAGATGAACAGAAGCTTGAGGCCAGGCGTGGTGGCTCATACCTGTAAACTCTGGGCAGCAGAGGCAGGCGGACTGCTTGAGCCGAGGAGATCAAGACAAGCCTAGGCAACATGGCAAAACCCCGTCTCTACAAAAAATACAAAAATTAGCCAGGTGTGGTGGCGCACACCTGTAGTCCCAGCTACCTGGGAGGCTGAGGCGGGAAGATTGCTGGAGCCTGGGAACAGACGCTGCAGTGAGCCAAGATCACACCGCTGCACTCCAGCCTGGGTGACAGAGTAAAACCCTATGTGGGGAAAAAAAAAAAAAAAAAGGTAAAAAGTTTCATAGAATGAGGCCAGGTGTGGTGGCTCACTTCCGTAATCCCAGCACTTAGGAAGGCCGAGGCGTGTGGATCACTTGAGGTCAGGAGATCAAGACCAGCCTGGTTAACATGGTGAAACCCTGTCTACTAAAAATACAAAAAATTAGCTGGGCATGGTGGCGCGCACCTGTAGTCTCAGCTACTTGGGAGGCTGAGGCACGAGAATTGTTTGAACCCGGGGAATGGAGGTTGCAGTGAGCTGAGATCCCGCCACTGCACTCCAGCCTGGGCAATGGAGAGAGACTCTGTCTTAAAAAAAAAAAAAAAGTTTCACAGAATGATACATACACACAAATGGAGGCTTAAAAATGCTAAATAAGGTCTACAGTCTAAGTAACAATATGTATCGATGTCAATGTCTGGCTTGTGAAAGATGTCACTCTCTGGAAAAGCTGGGTGAAGGGCACACAAGATACTCTGTACTATTTTGCAGCTTCCTATAAGTATATATCTCAAAATGATGGCTTTTTGTTTGTTTGTTTCTGTTTTCTTTCTTTTTTTTTTTTTTTGAGACACAGTTTCACTCTTGTTGCCCAGGCTGGAGTGCAATGGCGCCAAGCGATCTCGGCTCACTGCAACCTCCGCCTCCAGGGTTCAAGCGATTCTCCTGCCTCAGCCTCCGAGTAGCTGGGATTACAGGTATGCGCCACCACCCTGGCTAATTTTGTATTTTAAGCAGAGACGGGGTTTCTCCATGTTGGTTAGGCTGGTCTTGAACTCCCGACCTCAGGTGATCTGCCCGCCTCGGCCTCCCAAAGTGCTAGCATTGCGTGAGTCACCGTGCCTGGCTGTTTCTGTTTTCAAAATAGAGATGGGGTTTCATCATGTTGCCCAGGCTGGTCTCAAACTCTTGGGCTCAAGCAATCCACCTGCCTTGGCCTCCCAAAGTGCTGGGATTACAGGCATGAGCCACTATGCCCAGACATGAAGTTGTTTTTTTGTTTTTTTTTTGAGACAGAGTTTCACTCTTGTTACCCAGGCTGGAGTGCAATGGCATGATCTCGGCTCACTGCAACCTCCACCTCCTGGGTTCAAGCGATTCTCCTGCCTCAGCCTCCCGAGTAGCTGGGATTACAGGCATGTGCCACCATGTCTGGCTAATTTTGTATTTCTAGTAGAGACAGGGTTTCTCCATGTTGGTCAGGCTGGTCTCAAACTCCCGACCTCAAGTGATCCACCTGCCTCAGCCTCCCAAAGTGCTGAGATTACAGGCATGAGCCATCAAGCCCGGCCTATGAAGTTGTTTTTTAATCACACAAATTTTAAAGTTAATTTATTTTTTAATTGACAAATACAAACTGTATATATTTGTCATGTACAATATATTTAGAAATACATATGCACTATAGAATGGCTAAATTGAGGTAATTAACATATGCATTCACATACTTTTTTGTGGTGGGAATATTTTACTTTCTTAGCAATTTTCAAGCATATAAGAGATTATTAACTATAGCCACCACGATGTATAAATCACACACATTTTAGGTTAATTGCATAAAAAGTCAAAGATGTAAATAGCTAAAAGTAACAATAATAAATAATCCAACATCTTAAGAGACAGCCACTGTTACTATTTTGTGCCTACCGTCATGTGCCCCATAATGACGTTCTGGTCAGTGACAGACCGCAGATATGATAGTGGTCCCATATGATTACAATGGAGCTACCCTATACAGGTGGGCCATTTTTTATCTTTTATACCATATTTTTACCGTACCTTTTCTATGTTTAGATATATTTACATATACAAATTCTCACCATTGTGTTATAGTTGCCAATAGTATTCACTACAATAACACGCTGTGTAGCTTTGCAGCCTAGCAGCAAGAGGCTGTACCACATAACTTGTATGTGTATTAGACTATAACCATGTAGGTCTGTGTAAGCACACTGATGATGTTCACACAACAAAGTCACCTAACGACACATTTCGGAACATATCCCCATTATTATGGACTGGTAACTGCATGTCCTTTGAGAAATCTTCCTTAAAACAAACAAACAAAAAACAACAAAAAGAGAGAGAAATCTTCCTGTGTCAATACACACATGTTCACTAATCACCATAATGCATTTCTAGAAAAATGTGATTATAATGTAAACACTCTTTTGAAACTTAGCATTGTAAAGTATCTCCCAATGCCAATAAACAATTTTTGTAATAGCTGTAATCACTGTAATAGCTGAATTTGATGAATGGACTGTAGTTTATTAATAGTCCCAGCTTTAAAGAGTTTAATGTTTCTGAATATTTAGGAGTTTTCCAAATTTCACCCTCACATCAGCCCTATAATGGCCACTCTTGCTTTCATACATGCCTCCCTTTCTGCATGTGTATGTTTAGGTTAAATATTCAAAAGCAGAATTGCCAGACAGCTCGCAGAATGCTGCACGCAGGTACACAGGCAAAGGGAAGAACTGCTCCTTGAGCTATCCTAACACAGTAAGAGAGGAAAAGCAGCAGTGTCACCATCAACGATGATTAACTCTGGGCTCACTCCAAGTGCCAGGCTCCAGGCCAGGGATGTAAGTGGGACCCAGACCCAGCAAGGGCACAACCCTGGCCTGTGGGGCCTTTTCCCAGGTAGCAGGGAGGCCACATGAGCAAACAGGCAACAACAATGAAGTGCAGTCAGCATGGGATCAAGGAAAGACAACAGTTCTAGGCCCACAAGATGAGGTTAAGGGAAGGGAGGCACCCCAATGCACAGGCAGAAGCTGAGGCAGATTGGAAACCTCACCCCAGAGACTGGAACGACCCTGGCCCATCCCGTGACCTGAGCATAGAGAAAGGCAAGGGCCACAGCTAGAGAAAGTCCCATACAAGT
This sequence comes from Homo sapiens, assembly GCF_000001405.40. NCBI lineage: Eukaryota > Metazoa > Chordata > Mammalia > Primates > Hominidae > Homo > Homo sapiens. The sequence goes on along the minus strand of NC_000019.10, from coordinate 58,234,180 downwards.
TTAGATTCTATCTCAGAGAGAGAGAAGGCATTGCTGGGCTTATGTAGATGTTGGCAGGCTGGAGAGTGGACTGTGGGGAGTAAAGGTGGAATGAGGAGAAGAAGTGGCTATCACCAAAGGCCAGGACTCAAGGGACAGCAAAATGGAGAGAAGTGGGCAGATTCATTCTTTACATTGGAAGTATAATCAGTTATGCAATAGAATTGGGAGTGGAGGCTAAATAATGACATCTCTTTCTAGATTCAAGAACTTGGGAAAGTTTATATCTTTTCCCAGAGTGAACAAGTAGGAGGAGGGGAATCAAGACATGTTAAGGCTGGACACAATTTCCAAGTGGGAATGTTACACAGGCAGTTACGTTTGCCAGCCTGAAGCCCAGAGAAGATACTGGGGCACCACAGTAAAGATATTTAAGTCCATGAGACTCAGCAGCACTTAAACTAAACAGGAACAATCAAGTTACAGAGAGGGAACAGGACTCAGGACCAAGGGAATTCAATGATTTACAGATCTAATATAGGAGGGGCCTTGTGTACACAGAAGAAAATCTGGGTCTTTAAATTTTCTGTGGGCAGAATATATTACAGACAGAAGTGTGTAGATAAATCTATAACCTACCTTGACACCATACTTAAAATAATTTATTATACTCTATTTTGTCTTCCTGATCAAATTCTAAGACATGTGTTGAAGTTTCTCATATAGTCCTTCTCATATTTCCTTTAAGTACACAATTTTTGCTTTATATCTATGCTATGGTGTCTGGTCCATAAACATTCAAGATTAATGTATCTTGTTCCTATAGCCTTTTATCACTAAAGAGGTGATAAGGCCAGGCCTTAATCCTGTAATCATGCCTGTAATCCCAGCACTTTTGGAGGCTGATGTGGTTGGCAGTGTCCCCACCTATATCTCCTCTTGAATTGTAGCTCCCATAATTCCCACGTGTCATGTTGTGGGAGGGACTCAGTGGAAGGTAACTGAGTCATGGGGGCAGGTCTTTTCCTTGCTGTTCTTATGACAGTTTCACGAGATCTGACGCTTTTACAAAGAGGAGCTCCCCTGCACACACCCTCTTGCCTGCTGCCATGCAAGGTGTGACTTTGCTTCTCCTTCGCCTTCCGCCATGATTGTGAGACCTCCCCAGCTATGTGGAACTGTGAGTCAATTAAACCTCTTTCCTTTATAAATTACCCAGTCTTGGGTATGTCTTTTTTTTTTTTTTTTTTTTTTTGAGATGGAGTCTCTCTCTGTCGCCCAGGCTGGAGTGCAGTGGCACGATCTCGGCTCACTGCAAGCTCCGCCTCCCAGGTTCATGCCATTCTCCTGCCTCAGCCTCCAGAGTAGCTGGGACTACAGGCTCCCGCCATCACGCCCAGCTAATTTTTTGTATTTTTTTTTTTTTTTTTTTTTTTAGTAGAGACGGGGTTTCCCCATGTTAGCCAGGATGGTCTCAATCTCCTGACCTTGTGATCCGGCCGCCTCGGCCTCCCAAAGTGCTGGGATTACAGGCGTGAGCCACCGCGCCCGGCCCGGATATGTCTTTATTAGCATGAGAACAGACTAATACAGAGGTCAAAGCAGGAAGACTGCTTGAGCCTAGAAGTTGGAGACTAGCTTGGACAACTAAGTGAGACCAAGTCTCTACAAAAAAATCAAAAAGTTAGCTGGGTGTAGTGGTGTACACTTGTAGTCCCAGCTACTGAGAAGGCTGAGGTGGGAGGATCACTTGAGCCGGGAGGTCAAGGCTGCAGTGAGCTGTGATGGCATCACTGCACTCCAGTCTGGGTGACAGAGTGAGACCCTGTCTCAAAAAAAAAAAAAAAAAAAAAAAGATAAAATTGTCTTAATGCTGTTGCACTAAAGGTCTACTTTATCTGATATTATCTTGCCACCCATTTCCTTATTTGTTTTCACTGATGGATCTATGCTCATCCCACCACCTGTTTGTCAAAGCCTGGATCATCTGACTCTTCTAAGTAGAGCGTATCTTTAACTTTTTATTTTCAGTTCAATTTCAAAGTGTCTACTAAAACAGAGTTCTACCCATCACATTTACTGTGAGAACTAGTCTTATTTCTGGCATTACATATTATATTTTGTATTAGTTTTCAAGTTCAAGACCAGCCTGGACAACATGGAGAAACCCTGTCTATACTAAAAAAAAAAAAAATTAGCTGGGCGTGGCGGCACACATCTGTAATCCCAGTAACTTGGGAGGCTGAGGCACAAGAATCGCTTGAACCCAGGAGGCGGAGACTGCAGTGAGCCGAGGTCATGCCACCATTCCAGCCTAGGTGACAGAGCAAGACCTTGTCTCAAGAAAAAAACAAAACAAAACAAAAAACACACCAGGACTATTTTTTGAACTTGACAAAATATTTAAGCTTCTTTAATGAAAATAGAGACCTACGAAAAAGAGAGGTGACAGTCACAAACAGATAGTTCACAATAAAATAAACTACATGGCTGAAAAATGTACAAAGCTGCTCTGTATTAAAGACATATAATCCCAGCACTTTGTGAGGCCAAGGCAGGAGGCTCTCTTGAGGCTAGAAGTTCGAGACAAGCCTGGGCAACATGTGAGACCCCATTTATAAAAAAATAAATAATAAAGACATGAATTAAAACACACCGGGGCCTATGATCTCAGCTTCCTTCCCTAGCAAATGCCCCAGGCCTTCCTACCTTTCAAAATCCACTGACCACTCAGGCTGTACTTCCTACAGGCCAGGCACTGTACCCTGTCCTCTGCCTGAATTCATGCATTTGATCTTCCTTGTAACCCCACAAAGACAATTAACAGAATTTACCCTGCTTTCTAAATGAGGAAACCAAGGCAGAAAGAACTTGAGTAAAATTTAACTGAGGCCTCGTGGCTGGGGAGTGAGAAGGTGGGAGCTCCATAGCTCATGGCCCTAAGCACACTACCACTCAGGCTCCCAGCCTCCCCGTCTGGTACACCCCACCCCAGCCCAGCCCAATGCCCCTGTTCTTTTTCTTAACATCCTTGGCCTGAGGCCCACCTCTTGGCCTCTCTGATCTGTTTGTTCTGTGCAATCTGCCTATGCCCTTGACTGCCCTCTCTGCCCAACCCTGCTAGTTTCTGAGTTCTGGGTGGTATAGGAGTTCAGGAACACCAGTATCCACTCAGTCACTATCCCCTTACAGCTGCGAGCTCATGCTCTCACACCCTACTTCAGTCCCCTCCCACCACTGTCCTCTCTGTGCAGACAAATCGGCCTTTTAATTCACTCCAAGGGATGACTCTGGACTCTTTCAACCTCCTGGCACACAAACTCCTGCAGGCCTGCACTCATTAGTAGCTCCCTTCAAATTCTGAGCTGAGATGTCTTCTCCCTGGTCAAGATGAATCCATATCCCAGTGCCCCACCCCCTGCCTCTTCTCCTCTCAGGTGAGGCCTGAACAGAGTGACCAACACTCTCAGTTTCCCCCTCCTCATCTTGCCCATCCTGCTCTGCTCTCTCACTCCCAAACACACACACAAACACAAATGTAGACCACATCCAAGAGGTCTGCCCAATATCTTATGTGTTACTATCTTGTCCTGATGCTCCTGGCCTTCCCTGGGGAATCTCTCACTGCCTGTGTCCATCTTTGCTCTCTAACCCTGTCCTTCCTTGTCTGGAGGCATCCAAGGGCAACGGCTGAGAACACTCACTTTGCAACCTGCTGTCAAAGTACTGGCTCCATTACCTGCCACTGTAGGACTCTGAACGGGTCTCTTTAACCTCTCCAGGCCTCAGTTTCCTCATCCGTAGACATCTGGAAAAACAGCAAGACCTGCCTTGTGAGGATGCTAAAAGAATTAATTGAGTTGCATTTACAGAGCTTAACATTGTGTTAACCTGCAAAAGGGGCACAACACATGTATTCATAGTGATTATACTTGGACATAAAATTCCCCATCTGTTCCTCATACTGGACCTGTATGGTGGCTGATCTGGCAGAAGTCCCTCTGGCTGCAGGGCTGGGGAGGGAGTTGCTTTCTCTTTCCTTTTCCAGTTTTCTCCTTCCCTGCTTGTGGGGTGACGTTTCCAATCTGCTCCAGGTTACGTGTCCAGCCCAAACCTCCTGGGCTTCCTGCCACTGCCATTCCCTCCTCCACATTCAGCCATGTCACCCACATGCTCCTCAACTCCCATGCAGAGACTGACCAGGCATACCACATCTTCCTTGCACTGTGACTTCTACCCTGGCTCCACGCTGGAAACAGAAACACAGTCTTCCTCCACTCCTTCCTGTCTTTTGGCATCCCTCCTTACACGGAGTCATTTCCACAATCAGATGTTTCCCTACTCCCTTAGACTCTTGAAATCCAACCCCATGCCTTCCTCATTAGCACTGCCTTGTACGGTCCCCATCAAATATCACCCAACACAAATGGAACCCCGATCCCTAACTTACAGGCGTTACATACACATCCCATCCTGTTCACCTCTGTAGTCTCTCTATGGGGTGCACCAGCATCGCTTAACCAGTGCAGGCCCCCAACACCCCAGTTACCCCTGCCCTGCGTGGACTGGCCTTAATCTTCTGTTCACTTGGAAAATACACATGTTCTCTGCAAGGTTCAAGCTTCACGTACCATTGGAAGAAAATGTGTCCACGTCTGGAGCTGGGATGACCTCTGGGGTCCAATAGGCGTCACCTGCCTGGTGCCGCTGTGCCAGGAGGCTCTTGGCTGCCACCTGTGGATAAGCCGCAGAAGATGAGTTGAGGGAGGAAAAAGGAGCCGGGAGAGGCCCGCTGGGTCGGCAGCCCCAGAGCTCCAGACGCCAGCCTGAATCCCCCGCCCCTGCAGCCCTCGACCCAGGCACCCTCTGTCGGGAGGGCCCACCCAGTCCCACCCAGTCCCACCCAGTCCCACCCAGTCCCACCCAGTTCCACCCCTGCCCGTACCTGCGAGGTACTATAAGTTCCCTCCCAGCTCTGCAGCAGGAGAGCCTCCCGACAAGCTCAGACCCAGCCGGGCGCTCCTGCAGGGGAAACCTGACTGGACCGGCCTTCCCCGTCCCTGAGGCCGGAGAGATCCCGATCCCATCAGGCCCCTGCCCTTGCTCGGCCTCGCCGCATGAGGGACCCCCGCAGGCCCTGCTCGTTTCTCCGGCACGCCCAGATCACTTGGGGCGGCTCTGGCCTGGTCCTGCGCTCCGGCCGCACCCGGCTAACAGTGAAACCTCCGAGCCAACCTTGAGGCCGCCAGACTCACCTGCACGCACCGGCCAATGGCGGTGCTTCCGGTGGCCGGCGGACGTGCCCGCGCTCCGCGCAACAAACAACTCCCAGAAGGCCGCGCGCCGGTAGCCGTTGCTCCCACAGGCATAGTCATTGCCGGCGGGAGCATGGGGCCCCGCGGCGGCGGGATGAGCTTTTTCCTGTGTTCGCGACTAGCATTGTGGCTTAGGGAGTTGCTTCCCGCGGCTCTGCTCCTTGCAGCGCCTGTCCCCTCCCCCTTAAACGGGCCACGCTGGTTCTCATCCAGCAACCGAAGCCGAGACTGTGGAGGCGGCGGTCGGCGTCCAGGGCGGGACTAGCGCCTATGGGGCTCGGCGCTGTCATCTCGGGTGCCTTCCCGGCGCCTTGCCCTGCTGGGGAGAGAGACCAAGACTGAGCCATGAGAACAGTCCAAGGCCGTTAACCGGGAGCTCAGGGGCAAGGGCGCCCGCCAACATCTGCGCCTGTGGCAGGGACTCAGGGACAGCCTGGGCGTGGGGACGCGTCCTAGTGATAGAAACAAAGCCCCGGGAGTGCCCTGCTTGGAGCATTCCGAGTGGAAGGTGGAAGCACGCTAACTGGAGGCGATTCGTCCTAGGTGATCGCTCAGTCGAGCCTATTTGGCTTTCTGTGGTAGCTCCTAAGTGGGACAGGGAAAAAAATAGGGAGGCTGGCAGTGACCAAGTTCTGTTTTGTACCTATTGCTGCAGAAGTTGTGGGACAGAGTTCTGTTATTATAAATGGTCTGATGTTCAGTCTCAGTGCGTTGTGGGGCTCAATGTCTGAGACCCACCACCGCCTGACCCGTCCTGGCTCTTCAATGAGGGAGACCACAGGAAACTTTCCTACGAAGGCCAGGTAGGCGGGAACCACTGTGGCTCAGGCACCCTCAGCTCCTGGACTGTGCTTTTGTGTCTGGGGTGCATCTGTGACTAGCCTTCCTTGGCTTGACTGTTTTGTAGCTGACCTTGTCGATAGCTTTACCCAACAGTCATCATCTTTTTACTTGCTTATTTTCATACCTGGCTAGCACGACCCTGCAATTTTTAGATTCTTCCGGGAAATCTAGAATCTAACTCCCTAAGGGAGGATCTTGATGGATTCTAAGCTAATCAGAATGGACTCAAGCTTCTTGCTGTGTGAATTAGGCAAGGATATTCTGGCCAAGGAGAAATAAGGCTGCTAGGGGTTTCCTGGGAAGGTTCCCTCAGTCTTTTTTTTTTTTTTTTTTTTTTTTTTTTTTTGTGAGACGGAGTCTCGCTCTGTCCACCAGGCTGGAGTGCAGTGGTACGATCTAGGCCCACGGCACTCTCCGCCTTCCGGGTTCACGCCTTTCTCCTGCCTCAGCCTCCCGAGTAGCTGGGACTACAGGCGCCCGCCACCACGCCCGGCTAATTTTTTGTAATTTTTCTTTTTTAGTAGAGACGGTGTTTCTCCCTGTTAGCCAGGATGGTCTCGATCTCCTGACCTCATGATCCACCCGCCTCGGCCTCCCAAAGTGCTGGCATTACAGGCATGAGCCACCGCTCCCGGCCGGTTCCCTCAGTCTTAAAAGTGGACATAAGATAGCAATGTGTCTTCTTTTGCCCCTGGACCGTGATGTCTGTATGTGATGTGTAGGACAATTACAAGCACACTGGCACCATGAGGAAGCCACCCCAGGAGGTAAAGGCAACATGCTGAGAATGGCACAGCAGAAAAATGGAAAGAACCAGTATCCATGATGGAATGAATCCTCTTTGTGCCACTGAATCAACATTGCCTATGCTCACCTCAGGGACTTTTCATTATGAGATAATAAATGATCTTGTTTGTTTTTATTATAGAAAATTTCAGGCCAGGAGTGGTGGCTCACGCCTGTAATCCCAGCACTTTGGGAGGCTGAGGCAGGCCGATCACGAAGTCAGGAGATCGAGACCATCCTGGTTAACATGGTGAAACCCCGTCTCTACAAAAAATACAAAAAATTAGCCGGGCGTGGTGGCGGGAGCCTGTAGTCCCAGCTCCTTGGGAGGCTGAGGCAGGAGAATGGCCCTGAACCCAGGAGGCGGAGCTTGCAGTGAGCCAAGATCACGCCACTGCACTCTAGCCTGGGCAACAGAGGGAGACTCCGTCTCAAAAAAAAAAAAAGTTCAAGTAAATAAGAACTTTGATGTTACATTTCTGTTTACTGTTTCCATGTCTGTATCAATAATGGAGTCGTCTGAGGAACAACTTTCCCTACATCAGTGTTTATATTATTCAGTTTTAGGCTTAGTGCTTAAGCTTAGTGATCGCCTTTTGTAGGATTGTGTCATAAGAGCAAAGAATGACCATATATTGTTACATTAAAAATGTTACCTTTGGCTGGGCACAGTGGCTTATGCCTGTAATTCCAGCACTTTGGGAGGCTGAGACAGGTGAATCACCTGAGGTCATGAGTGCAAGGTCAGCCTGGCCAACATGGCGAAACCCTGTCTCTACTAAAAATACAAAAACTAGCCAGGTGTGGTGGTGGGCACCTGTAATCCCAGCTACTCAGGAGGCTGAGACAGGAGAATGGCTTGAGCCCAGGAGGTGGAGGTTGCAGTGAGCCGAGATGGTGCCACTGCACTCCTCCAGCCTGCCTCTGACTCAAAAAAAAAAAAAAAAAAAGTTACTTTTACCTTGATGTCTAAATAAAAGGGAAGAAAATCTTTTAAAAGTTATGGCTGGGCACAATGCCTCACACCTGTAACCCCAGAACTTTGGGAGGCTGAGGTTGGAAGATCACTTGAGACCAAGAGGTTGAGGCTGCAGGGAGTGATGATCTTGCCACTATACTCCAGCCTGGATGACAGAGTGAAACCCTGTCTCAATTTAAAAAGTTCATTGGCCAGGTGCGGTCGCTCACGCCTGTAATCCCAGCACTTTGGGAGGCCAAGGCAGGTGGATCACGAGGTCAGAAGATCGAGACCATCCTGGCTAACATGGTGAAACCCCGTCGCCACTAAAAAATACAAAAAATTAGGCCGGGCACGGTGGCTCACGCCTGTAATCCTAGCACTTTGGGAGGCCGAGGCGGGCGGATCACTTGAGGTCAGGAGTTCAAAACCAGCTTGGCCATCATGGTGAAACCCCGTCTCTACTAAAAATACAAAAAAATTAGCTGGGCATGGTGGTGTGTGTCTGTAATCCCTGCTACTCGGGAGGCTGAGGCAGGAGAATAGCTTGAACCCGGGAGGTGGAGGTTGCAGTGAGCTGAGATTGTGTCACCACACTCCAGCCTGGGCAACAGGGAGACTCCATCTCAAAAAAAAAATACAAAAAATTAGCCGGGCATGGTGGCGGGCACCTGTAGTCCCAGCTACTTGGGAGGCTGAGGCAGGAGAATGACGTGAACCCAGGAGGCGGAGCTTGCAGTGAGCCGAGATCACGCCACTGCACTCCAGCCTGGGCAACAGAGCGAGACTCCATCTCAAAAATAAAATAAAATAAATAAAAAGTTCATTAACAGTTTGACTCAAGAATGAGTTATCTGGTGCCTGACATGATTAGAATGCTGCCTGAAAGGCCTTTCTGCACTGATTATATGCATACAGTTTCTCTCTATTATGAATGATCTGGTGTTCCATAAGGTCAGATAGTCTCCTGAAGGCTTTTTCACATTTAGACATTCATGTTGGCTTTTGCCCATATGAATTTTTTGGTGCATACACAATAATAATTCTGTCTGAAAGTTTTTCCACGTTGACTACATTTATAGGCTTCTCTCCAGAATGAGTTATTTGCTGTTCAATAAGGTGAGAATTCTTGCTGCGGGATTTTCCACACCAGTGACATTCATGAGGTTTCTCTCTAATGTGAAATCTCTGATGCCATATAAGTAATCAGCTCCAGCTGATTTCCTACACTCAGGACACTCGCAGTTTCTCACCGGTATGATTTATCTGATGAGCAACAAGTGAGAACTCTAACTGAACCATTTCCAACACTGATTACAGTCACGAAGCTTCTTTCCAGTATGAGTTATTTTATGTGCAACAAGGCCAGAGCTGTATAGAAAGATTTCCTACCTTGACTACATTCATAAGGCTTCTCTCTATTACACTTTCCCTGATGCCAATTAAAATCAAGGATGTCACTGAAATATTTCTCACATTGATTACATGGAATTGTTTTTCTTCAGTATGAGTTTTCTATTGCCCAATTAGATGAGATCTCCTGCTGAAAGCTCTCTGACGTTCCCGATGTTCCCAGAGTCTTCAGTATACGTCTAACAAGGTGGGAGCACCAGGCTGAAAAACTTTCCACATTGATTACATTCATAAATTTTCTATCTGGTATAAGTTGTGATGTGCAACTAGGTGAGAGCTCCATCAAAAAGATTTACCATGTTGAATACATCCATGGGGTTTCTCTCCAGGATGAGTCCTCCCCCTTTGAGAAAGGCAAGAGCTATAAAAGAAGTTTTTCTCAAATTTATTATAATCACATGAATTATTTTATTTTTTTTTTTGAGTCTTGCTTTGTTGCCCAGGCTGTAGTGCAGTGGTGCGATCTCTGCTCACTGCAAGTTCCGCCTCCTGGGTTCATGCCACTCTCCTGCTTCAGCCTCTGGAGTAGCTGGGATTACAGACCCCCGCCACTATGCCTGGCTAATTTTGTTTTTGTATTTTTAGTACAGATGGAATTTCACCGTGTTAGCCAGGATGGTCTCGATCTCCTGACCTCGTGATCCGCCCACCTCGGCCTCCCAAAGTGCTGAGATTACAGGCGGGAGCCACCGTGCCTGGCCAAATTATTTTATCTTTTAAGATTCTCTGGTGTACATTTAGGGATATACTGGGGGTTGTTTTTTGTTTTTTCCTTTTGGCCAGTAGAGATCTAGTGTTGTTCAAGTTGTCTATATTTACTATAGTTATAAAATTTTCCTCCTGTATGACTTTTCTTCTGAATATTAAAGGGTAAAACATGGCAGAAATAAAGATTATTGTTGGCATGCTTATACAGTTTATCTTTTGTTTGCTTTCTTATTAGATGATTAAGGTGAAGCTCTGACAGAAAGTTGGTACACACTCATTTTTGCACAATTTTTCACTTCCATAATTTTTTTTTTTGAGACAGAGTCTCGTTCTGTCGCCCAGGCTGGAGTGCAGTGGTGCGATCTTGGCTCACTGCAACCTCTGCCTCCCAGGTTCAAGCAATTCTCCTTCCTCAGCCTCCTGAGTAGCTGGGATTATGGGCGCGCACCACCACGCCCTGCTAATTTTTGTACTTTTAGTAGAGTCGGGGTTTCACTATGTTGATCAGCTGGTCTCGAATCCCTGACCTCGTGATCTGCCAGCCTCGGCCTCCCAAAGTGCTGGGATTACCGGCATGAGCCACCGTGCCCGACTATAATTTTTCTAATGATTATTGAAATAAACTTATTTTTCAAACTTTTATTCTGTGAGCCAGGTTTATGGAAATATTATAGTATGAATTATCTGGAGTGGAAAAAAGTTGGAACTCAGGAAATAACAGAAAATTCAAATAGAAGATGACATAGACTCCCATCCTGAAATTAAATCTTATGTTTTCATTTTTGGATGACTCTCGTTTTTGCCCAAGTGCATGCTCACTTTTACATGTCTAGAAAAACTTCATACCTTGTGGCTGGGCTCAGTAGCTCACGCCTGTAATTCCAGCACTTTGAGAGGCTGAAGTGGGCAGACCACAAGGTCAGGAGTTCAAGACCAGCCTGACCAACGCGGTGAAACCCTGTCTCTACTAAAAATACAACAATTAGCCAGGCATGGTGGCGGGAGGCTCAGCTACTCGGGAGGCTGAGGCAGGAGAATTGATTGAATCTGGGAGGCAGAGGTTGCAGTGAGCCAAGGTCATGCCATTGCATTCCAGCCTGGGCAACAGGGCAAGACTGTCTAAAAAAAAAAAAAAAAAAAGAAAAAGAAAAAAAAAAACTTCATACATTGAACCTTACATTCATATTTTCTCTTAACTAATTATAGCAGACATCACTTTCAATTTGCTCCAGCCTACTTCTTCCCCCTCATCTGCACCTCTTTCAGTGTAAAATCCTAGCATTCACCTCCCACACTCTTCTCTATTTCCAAACACAACATAAACAATACTGTAGTAAACACCCCCGGACACCCAGAATTAGTGCCTTCATTTCTATAGGTCAGAGCCCCTCCAGTGGGACTGCACAAGTTGAAGGATAAGTGTATTTTTGATTCTCTTAGGTATTACCAAATTACTTTCCAAAGTGAGAATAATAGTCCCTATTCTTTCCAGCATTGGGTATTATCCTTTGTATTTTGCCAGTATTTTGGGTAAAAGTAACATTTTGTGTAATTTGTATTCCCTAGCTACTTGTGATTTCAGGATCTTTACATATTCTTACTGGTTATTTGAGGTTTTGTTTTCTGTGTTTTGTCTAATTAATATTTTTTTCTTTTTTGGCACTTTATAGGCGTTCATGATAGTTTATCAATGTTAATCTCGTCTGTCATTTGTGTAACAAATATTTTTCTCAATACATAGTTTATTCTCTTTTTAAATTTATGGTATCTATTTTAGCATACAAAAAATTCTTTTTAGGCCAGATGCAGTGGCTCATGCTTGTAATCTCAGCACTTTGGGAAGCTCAGGCAAGAGAATCACTTGAGGCCAGTTCAAGACAGCCTGGCCAACATGGCAAAATCCATCTCTACTAAAAATACAATCATCAGCCAGGCCTGGCGGTGCATGCCTGTAATCCCAGCGACTCAGGCGGGTGAGGCATGAGAATCGTTTGAACTCAGGAGGCAGAGGTTGCAGTGAGCCGAGATTGCACCACTGCACTCCAGCCTAGGTGACAGAACAAGACTTTGTCTCGAAAAAAAAAAAAATTCTTTTTATGTAAAGTATGTTGTCTACTCTTCCTTTATGAATAGATCTGAGTTTTTTGTCTTGCTTTAAAAAGTATTGCAAGCCACAGATTTTATGTTTATGTAGTCTTCTAAATTTTCTTTTGCACTTTTTAAAACATGCAAATCTGGCCAGGTGCGGTGACTCAAGCCTGTAATCCCAGCACTTTAGGAAGCCAGGGCGGGTGGATAGCTTGAGGTCAGGAGTTTGAGAACAGCCTGGCCAACATGGTGAGACCCTGTCTCTACTAAAAATACAAAAATTAGCCAGGGCATTATGCCACGCGCCTGTAATCCCAGCTACTAGTGGGGCTGAGCGGGGAGAATCGCTTGAACCTGGGAGGCAGAGGTTGCAGTGAGCCAAGATCTCGGCACTGCATTCCAGCCTGGGTGACAGAGCAAGACTCCATCTCAAAATATAAAAAAAATTTTAAAAACATACAAATCATTAGTCTATTAGGAATTACTTTTGTTTGAGGTCTGATGCAGGCATCAGCTTACTGGGAAAGCTAGAATTCTCCCAAAATCACTTTTCAAATAAGCTATCATTTTTCTTCCACACATCCATTTGTCAATTCTTATAATAATACCATTCTGTAGCCGGGAGTGGTGGCGGACGCCTGTAATCCCAACTACTGGGGACGCTGAGGCAGGAGAATCGCTTGAATCCGGGAGGCGGGGGTTGTAGTGAGCCAAGATCGCGCCATTGCACTCCAGCCTGGGTGAGGGAGTGAGACTCCGTGTCAAAAAAATAAATCAATAGGCCGGGCACGGTGGCTCACTCCTGTAATCCCAGCACTTTGGGAGGCCGAGGCGGGTGGATCACGAGGTCAGGAGATCGAGACCATCCTGGCTAACACAGTGAAACCCCGTCTCTACTAAAAATACAAAAAATTAGCTGGGCATAGTGGCGGGCACCTGTAGTCCCAGCTACTCGGGAGGCTGAGGCAGGAGAATGGCGTGAACCCGGGAGGCAGAGCTTGCAGTGAGCCGAGATCGTGCCACTGCACTCCAGCCTGGGCGACAGAGCGAGACTCCGTCTCAAAAATAAATACATAAACAAACAAATAAATAATAATATAATACCATTCTGTTGAGATTATAATGACATTTTAATATCAAGCAAGGCCGGTTCCTTGACTGTTATTTTGATTATAATTTTCTTGGCTGTCAGACTGTCATAAGCATTTATTTTTCCTTTTGATCTTTTAAATCATTTTCTTTTTTTTTTTTTTTTTTTTTTGTGAGACGGAGTCTCGCTCTGTCACCCAGGCTGGAGTGCAGTGGCGCAATCTTGGCTCACTGCAAGCTCCGCCTGCCGGGTTCACGCCATTCTGCTGCCTCAGTAGCTGGGACTACAGGCGCCCACCACCACGCCCAGCTAATTTTTTGTATTTTTTGTATTTTTAGTAGAGATGGGGTTTCACCATGTTAGCAAGGATGGTCTCGATCTCCTGACCTCGTGATCCACCTGCCTCGGCCTCCCAAAGTTCTGGGATTACAGGTGTGAGCCACCATGCCCGGCCTGAAGCATTCTTGCATTCCTGAGTTTAAATATACTGTCATCCTTTTGATAAATTGTTGAGTGTGATTTTTTTTTTGTTTTTTTTTTTGAGACGGAGTCTCACTCTTGTCGCCCAGGCTGGAGTGCAGTGACTCCATCTCAGCTCACTGCAACTTCCGCCTCCCGGGTTCAAGCAATTCTCCTGCCTCAGCCTCCTGAGTAGCTGGGATTACAGGCACCCACCACCACGCCTGGCTAATTTTTGTACTTTTAGTAGAGATGGGGTTTTGCCATGTTGGCCAGGCTGGTCTCGAACTCTTGATCTCAGGTGATCTGCCCACCTTGGCCTCCTAAAGTGCTGGGGTTACAGGCATGAGCCACCACGCTTGGCTCTTTTTTTTTTTTTTTTAAGACAGAGTGTTGCTCCATCACCTAGGCTGGACTGCAGTGTTGTGATCTTGGCTCACTGCAACCTCTGCCTCCCGGGTTCAAGCAATTCTCCTGTCTCAGCCCCCCGAGCAGCTGTGATTACAGACGTCTGCCAGCACACCCGGTTAATCTTTGTATTTTTAGTAGAGATGGCGTTTCACCATGTTGGCCAGGCTTATCTCGAACTCCTGACCTCAGGTGATCTGCCCGCGCCTCAGCCTCCCGAAGTGCTGGGATTACAGGCATGAGCCACTGTGCCTGGCCCTATGTTCTTTCATCCCTCTGAAATTTAACTTTCTGTATGGTATGATGGAGGTCTGACTTAATTTTCTTCCAGACAACTATATACTCTCCCAGCACATTTTCAGAACATTCCCTCTTTTCTGGATAACTTAAAAATGGCTGCTTTATCATATGCCACAAATGCCATCTCTACATAGCTTTGTTGCATTGCTCTGTCTCTGTCTGCTCCAGGGTCACAGTTTTAATTACTTCAGCTTAACAATACACACTTTCATTTTGGTAAGACATTCCGTACATTGTTCTTCCTGTTCAAAATTGTCTTAACTTCTGCCATTTTCCCCTTGTAGATGATGATAATGATGATGATTTTGAGATGGAGTCTCACTCACTCTGTTGTCCAGCCTGGAGTGCAGTGGCATGATCTCGGATCAGTGCAACCTCTGCCTCCTGTGTTCAAGGGATTCTCCTGCCTCAGGATTCTGAGTAGTTGGGACTACAGGTGTGCCTGGCTAATGTTTGTATTTTTGGTAGAGAACGGATTTCTCCAGGTTGCCCAGGCTGGTCTCGAACTCCTGACCTCGAGTGATCCACCCACCTCAGCCTCCCAAAGTTTTAGAATTACAGGTGTGAGCCACTGCGCTGGGCCTTTAACCAACTGTATTTAACTCACGTTTATTTTGGCAAGTAAATAACCAAAAGGCCCCACCCCCCCACCCCTCTTTTTTTGAGACAAGGTCTCCCTCTGCTGGCCAGGCTGGAGTGCAGCGGTACAATCACAGCTTACTGCAGCAGCCAACTCCTGGGCTCAAGCGATCCTCCCAAGTAGCTAGGACTACAGGTGTGTGCCACCATGCCCAGCATTTTTTTTTCCCAGATATGCAGTCTTGCTGTGTTGCCCAGGCTGATCTCGAACTCCTGGGCTCAAGCGATTCACCCGTCTGGGCCTCCCAAAGTGCTGGGATTACAGGCCTGACCCACAGGGCGCGACCCAAATGATCCCTTTTAAATCAGTTTATAAATTTTGAATTTTAACGCATGGATTTAAAAAAATTATTCAGCAGGCCGGGCGCGGTGGCTCACGCCTGTAATCCCAGCACTTTGGGAGGCTGAGGCGGGCAGATCACGAGGTCAGGAGATCCAGACCATCCTGGCTAACACGGTGAAACCCCGTCTCTACTTAAAAAAAAAAAAAAAAATTAGCAGGGCGTCGTGGCGGGCGCCTGTAGTCCCAGCTACTCCGGAGGCTGAGGCAGGAGAATGGCGTGAACCCGGCAGGCGGAGCTTGCAGCGAGCCGACATGGCGCCACTGCACTCCAGCCTGGGCGACAGAGTGAGACTCCTTATCAAAAAGTAAATAAGTAAATAATAAAAATTATTATTCAGCAAATAAGACTGAGGATCCTGGATATGGCAAAACACAAACTGGTGTAGTAAGCATCTCGATATTCCCCCTGCCGGGCGTGCCTAGAGATGCGTGGTCCCGGCAGAGCTACTCACATTTCTTTCAAGTTTCTGCTCAGGACACAGCTCGAGTCCCCCAGCACCCCTACCATCATCACCACTACCACAGCTGAGTGATGCGCAGCCCAACCCTTCACCAAGAGTCCGTGGCCAGGCCAGGCTGGGCGTCTAGGACCGGCAGGCGCTGGGCCATTCCCAAGGTGGGAACGGGATGCTTCTCACCTGTGATTGAGGACCAGGCCAGCTCAGCGCTTGTGCGCCTGAGCCTAATGAGGAGACCCGGGCGGGGCCTGGCGGTTGCACAGACCAACGGCTCCCTAGGGCCCCAATCCCCTAGGAGCCTGTGACCACCTGTCTCCAGTCTGGGCTCTCACTGTTACCGGAAAGGGAGTCCCGATCCAGATCTCAAGAGAGGGTTTGTGGATCTCATGCAAGAAAGAATTCAAGTCCAGTCCATAAAGTGAAAGCAAGTTTATTAGGAAAGTAAAGGAATAAAGAATGGCTACTCCATAGACAGAGCAGCCCCGAGGACTGCTGGTTGCCCATTTTTATGGTTATTTCTTAATGATATGCTAAACATCGGGTGGATTATTCACGCCTCCCCTTTTTAGACCATATAGGGTAACTTCCTGACGTTGCCATGGCATTTGTAA
Organism: Homo sapiens; assembly: GCF_000001405.40. NCBI lineage: Eukaryota > Metazoa > Chordata > Mammalia > Primates > Hominidae > Homo > Homo sapiens. The sequence goes on along the minus strand of NC_000019.10, from coordinate 58,217,782 downwards.
CTGTCATGGCCCTGGTGAGAGTGTAGCAGCGAGGACGACCAGAGGTCACTCTCATCGCTATCTTGGTTTTGGTGGGTTTTGGGCGGCTTCTTTATTGCAAGCTGTTTTATCGGCAAGGTTTTTATGACCTGTATCTTGTACCGACCTCCTATCTCATCCTGTGACTAAGAATGCCTTAACTTACTGGGAATGTAGCCCAACCGGTCTTAGCCTTAGTTTAGAGAGTCCCTATTCAAGATGGAATTGCTCTGGTTCAAACACACCTGACACTACCCCCCAGGCCGAGGACGGGGTCCCCAGGGGCAGGCGAGCCTCCACAGATCCGGGGCCATTCATCTCTGCAGCGGCCGCAGCCAGCCGCCAGGGTGCCCTGCTCCCAGGTGTAGCCAAAATGGCCCTGAGTCTGTTTCCACCAGGCCCGGGAGCGAGAAGAGGCGCAAGACGCTGATTGGGCCAGGCACCGGCACACGCAAGTAGCGGTATGGAGGAGGCAAGAATCTGGTTGGGCAAGACAAGGAACTAACCGGGCAGGCGAGACGCTGATTGGATGAGGCAGGTTGCTTATTTGCCAAAGCGTGACTCTTACCCGGCAACGTGTGTCGCCGCTTGATCGCAGCGGTGCGGTGATTGGGTAGGTCAGTTCTGGCGGGCCGCGCGCGCGGGCTTTGGGGACGTGTCGTTTCCGGCCTCCAGCGTGAAGCCGACTGTGGGCTCTGGAATAGTCGGCGGTTGTGTGTCCTGGTGCTCGAAGCTTAGCCGGGCGACGCTTCGGGAGAGAGGCAGAACCAGCCTCCCAGAGTTGTGGGCTCGGCTGGATCGCGACTCCGCCATTAACCCCTCCGCCAACGTCCCCGCTTGTCGTCCTCCCTCGGGCCCTGGTCAGCCTCCCCAGGGCCTGCAGCCTTTGACGCACTTCGAGGTGGAGACCTGGCCTTGGAAAGTACCCGGGGAGCCACTCCGTAGCCTGTGCAATGAGGATGGACCCTCCTCACTCGGACCCATGCTGGCCATGCTGAATGGCCCCGCAAATTCTCGCGAGCTGCGAGGGAAGGTAAAATTTCGCACAGCATCAAATACCACAACCCCGAGTGTGGTTTTACACCTTAAGAAAGAAAGATCACACTATTGGAGGGTAACTTTTGTGTGGTACAAATGTCAGTTATTTTGTTTTTGGATGCACTGTAGTCCACGGAGGCATTTTTTTTTGTAAGCATTACACCCCTAGAAAAAGAATCCCAGGATTTTCCCTTTTGTGTATTTTTGTCTTGCTGCTTCGTGGTCCATGATGCCGGCTGAAGTCAGTACAATGAAACCAAACTGGCAGGATGGAAGCAGATTATTCTGCCGTTTTTCTAGAACTTTGAGTACATCAAATCTGGGGCTGATCATTCCACACTTGTTTAACATGCCTGTGAGGTTCACGACAATTTCCCCAGCTCTGTGATCATCAGTGATGTCAAATTTACCAATGTAACCATGCTTCATCATCACAATTAGAAACCGGAGAATGTCTTTGGAGCACCTCCTAGTAATAATCTGTCTTTTGCCTCTCTTCAGCATTGTTGATCCTCTTGAGAACATCAGACAGGATATTCATCCGCACCTTGACGACGGCACCAAAGGATGGTGGAAAGAGAGATTTTTAAAAAATCAAATCTTCTGTTACTTTGTATTCAGAAGAAAACTATGCAAAGATTAACATAAAATTAAAAGTATGGAAATCCAGATTTTAGTAAAACCTATTAAAATTAATCAGAGTTTGCTCAACTGGCTAGATCCAGGATACATAGTCTCTGCATTAAAAATCAGCCACAAAGGAACAAAGAGAACAAAATTACTTTTTAATCCTTCTTGGTAAATGATACAGACACTCTTGTTGAACAAATAAGTGGATGTGCTGGAATTAATTGGTCCCACTCTTTGGTTCATTCTTGAGAGGTGATATTGTAGAGTTCTGAATGGCTGAAGAGGCTGTTTTTACCAACATCCCTGGGCAAGTTCCTCAACTGCATGTGTTCTCAAAGAAGCTAACATCTTTGTAACCTCTTTTTACAATTTTTAAATTTATTTTTGAGACAAGGTCTCACTCCCACACAGGCTGGAGTGCAGAGGTGCTATCATAGCTCACTGCAGCCTCAAACTCTTAGGCTCGAGCATTCCTCCTACCTCAGCCTCCTGAGTAGCTGGGACTACAGGTGCATCACCACACCTGGCCTTTTTTTTTTTTTTTTTTTCCAGACAGGATCTTGCCATGTTCCCCAGGCTGATCTCTAACTCCTGGCCTCAGATGATCCTCCCAGAGTTCTGGGATTACAGGCGTGAGCCACTGTGCCCAGCGTCATGTACCTTTTCACTGGTGTACTGGATATATGGAACGTGGACCCTCCAGGCATTAATCTTCTTTCTGACAATCACAGACCCAGTGAGGAGCAGAGCCAGGATTTAAACTACATCTAATAATTGTGTCTAGTGGGTCAGCTCCCACATGTGCAGCCTCTCTCCCTGCCTTCCTCTTCCTGTCTTGCAAGCACAGGTGGGGATACACAGTATTTAAAGGTAAATGCTGGCATACTTGTAGACCTTTTTAACCAGAGTTGGCCACCACACTCTCCTGCCTTTCTTAACCTTGGTACTCTCCCTTCAAGAGATGGAGTTTAACCCCCTTCCCACTGAATCCGGCTGGCCTTAGTGACTGGCTTGTAAAGGATAGACTGTCCTGGGGTGACACCATGTGACCTAGGCTGGGTCAGAAAAAGCCATGCTGTTTCTGCCTAATACTGTTGGAACCCTGGCTCTTTGGATGAGAGAACCTAACACAACTGAACTCAGCCTTAGAGCCACCTCAAGCCCAGGTGCCAGCCATGAGATGAGCCATTCCATACCTTGGAATGGACCCACTGGCCTTGTACTTTGTAGTTCCAATCAGCTCTCCCATACCCTAGTATGTTCTCCCCCTTTCCTATTCCTGGGTCCCTTATTTTCCCAGACCCAGCTCAAACCATCATCTCAGTTCCTGAAGCCATCACTAAAACTTTGGACTCACCCCTCAGTCTAGGATTTGGAATCTGGGAATTTTTAGTTTACCAGGTTCTAATCTCAAGGGTCCCATTCTTTGGTTCATTCTTGAGAGGTGATATTGTAGAGTTCTGAACAGCTGAGGAGGCTGTTTTTACCAACTAACGTCCCTGGGCAAGTTCTTCAACTGTGTATGTTCTCAAAGAAGCTAACATGTGCCATATTAAAGTGCTGAAATGACTAGAAGCAACATAGCAACCACAAGCCCTGTGCCCAATGTGTGAATGGCAATAGGGCTGCTGGTGTACCACCATCATTCTCCAGGCACATGGGCTCAAGGTATCTACTCTGGTCCTGTCTCCAAGGGTTTTTCACTTCTGCAGAGAAAGGAGGTACTCTCATCCTAGATGGCACGACTGCACCTCACCCTTGTTGGCAAGACCCAAGGGTTCTAAAGAGGCTATGCAGAGTAGCACTCAACCAGTGTCTTGAACCTAAGTATTTTTGATCCAGAGTTTTATGTTAAATGTTACATGGAACTCAAGAGCAAAGGTGGAGCCTAGAACAAGGAATGGAGCGGGTCATATACTGTGGGCTATGTGACCTGGAGAAAGAATGTGAACTGTGGGCAAGTACATGCTCTAGTATTGCCAGTGTCTTTTTGCTTAACTTAGTGATGGGCTCCTGGCCAGAGCAGTTGCCTTCCTTGTGATAGTCTCTCAGGAAAAATGGAAACACAAACCAAATGAAGCTAGGCATGGTGGTGCATGCCTATAGTCCCAGCTACTTGAAAGACTGAGCCAGGAGGATCTTTGAGCCCAGGTGATCCTTTGAGCCCAGGTGTTCGAGGCTACAGTAAGCTATGATTCTACCTCTGCACTCAAACCTGGGTGACAGGATGAGATTCTGTGCGAAAAATAACAAAAGAAACATGAATATTCCCAGGAAGCCCCACACTTGCCTGGGGTTTCCAGCCCTTTGGGTTTAAATTTTCCTTACCTCCACCTAACCATATCATGACAACCCCCTAAGGAGCAGAAAGATTCAGTCATCCCAACTCACATAGTATCTTGTGCCCAAGGTGCTGCAGCCTTGCACAGAATCTTCTAGAACTATCTGATGATCTCCTTCCTTGTGTTTTAATGTTGCTTAAATATTAATCATTACTATAGAGATATTTAAGCAGGCAGGAAATACACAGGTTCTACACAGACATAGATCAATAGTTTATTTATCCACATTATCTTTTAATCCTTAATTCATACACATAAATACTGTGGTACTGTGGATGTAATATCAGTGCAGATTATTAATTACCTGGCTTTTTAAAGTTATTATATAACATTTTCAGATTTTATTAATCTCACTTTTAATGACTAAATGAGTGAACAAACAATATCAAGTGAATGGGAAATCTTTTTTCCAAATGATGTTAATAACTCCTCACTCATTTTCTTATTTATTCATTATGTGCTGGGCAGTCTCCTCAGTTGTCCTTTGGTTTTGGGAATGTCCTCACTCAATACTTCCCTTTCACATTCAGTCCTGATTCACAAGCAGGCCTGTGCATGTTATATTGCAGGGTCAAGCTGAAAAGGCAAGGTTTCTTCAACTGGCTTGAGAGCTATGAGGTAGGCTGTTTCTTCTTTCGCTTTGTCCTATTGTGGGTTCTCTGGTGCCCAATAAGGTGTGAGCTCTGGGTGAAGGCCTTTCCACATTTGTTGCATGCATATGGGCGCTCCCCGGTGTGAGTCCTCTGATGTCTGATGAGGTGGGAGCTCTGGCGGAAGGCTTTTCCACAGTCCTGACACTTGTAGGGCTTAGCGCCAGTGTGAGTCCTCAGGTGCTGGGAGATGGCTGAGCGATCATTGAAGGTCCTCCCACACTCCTGACATTCAAATGGTCTCTCTCCAGAATGAACTCTCTGATGCTGTGTGAGGGAAGAGCTCTGAACAAATCCTTTCCCACAGTCTTGACACACATAGGGCCTCTCTCCGGTATGGATTTTCTTATGCACAGAAAAGTATCTTGGGTTCCGGAATATTTTACCACATTCACTGCATCGGCAAACTTGGCTCCCCTTGTGAATTCTTATAAACGTAATCTGTTTAGTACTCCGACTGAAGGTTTTCCTACAACCATTGCCTTCCTTGGCCTTTTGCCTTTCACAGCTCTTCTGATGAATTTTTACACGTGAATTATGTTTCATACTTTTAACTTGTGAGTCACGTTTGCGCAATCGTTTTCTAGGAGGAATTTTGTGGAGCAAAACTTGGTTTGTGTCAAGAGCGCCACTGTTTGCCTGGGACTCAGGGTTGTCAATTTTCTGGAGCGAAACTTGGTTTGTGTCAAGAGCACCACTGTTTGCCTGGGACTCACGGTTGTCAAAGTGCTTCTTCTGAGGAAGGTCTTTTTCCTGAGCAGACTCCATCTGCTTCAACACTGTGTCTTGGACTTCCTGGACCCCACCCTGCAAGGTATCTTCTAATGTAGAGGACAAGGCACAATCCCTTGAGGATTCTTGTACTTTCAGGCTGGGGGCTGGTTCTTCCTCAGGAATGTCAGAATTTGGAGCTAACTCTTTATTTTCCAGTGTAGTCTCCCACCCTGAAAAAAATAAACAAAAGATGTGGATCCCATAGAGAGATGTGCTGGGATGGGTCTGAGAGCATGAAATGCATAATTAAGTTCAAAAGTCAGGATTTTTTTTTTCTCCCAAATAGAGTCATGCAACCTGGAGAGAGACTGAAAAGCAATGAAGCGGCAGGGAGGGGAGCACTGACCTTGGTGAACAAGGGACAGGAAGGGCAGGGAGTGTCCTCCGAGCTCTTCGAGTTCCTGTTCTCTCATACTCCCTCAGGAGATAGATAGCAAATCACTCCTTCACCGGACCTAAGGCTGCTTCTGGCCACCCAGTGACCTCACCCCTCTAGGTCTACAGTTCCACTTACAGGCCCTGGATGCAGCAAGGGCCCCTTGAGGGAATGCCCAGTGTGGAGTCTAGAGAAGGTGAACACCCCTGACTTGGGGCTCCTGTGGCCTACCAGCCCTGAGGTGGGTGAAGAGGGGGCACAGCCTTACCCACAGAGACCAGGTGCCCAAAGGTCTCCAGCATCACATCGCGGTACTCGGTCCTCTGTGTCGGGCCCAGCAGCCCCCACTCCTCCCGGCTGAAGTCCACAGCCACATCCTGGAAGGTCACTGGCTCCTGTAACATCACATATGTGTCTATGCTCAGCAAGAGGGTCAGAGGGTTGTCAATGAGGGCAGAAGAAAGGCCAGCTGGGAGGTTCTGACAGAGCTCACGGTGCTAGGGACTCTCCTGCTTTGGGGATTTGCTCAGAGACACCAACCCAGGGCCCACAAGAGTTCTACTGGGTCCAAACCAGGGTCTGGGTCTCAGGCTGGGAGGCAGAGCCCTTGCTTCATAAAGAGCTCCAAGTGCAACAAGCAAACAACTCCATCCTAACCACGGCTCTATCCAGCTTGCCCATTGCTGAAATCTTCCCACTGCAGAGGGTTCTCCATCTATTAATACTGTCTTCCCACTTGGTGGAAATGACAACCAAGCCCCTGCCTTTGTCGACAGGGCTGACCTGGGGGAGGGCAGTCACCCTGGCACAGCCATGACTGGTCCTTTCTGGGGAACTGACCAGGACTTTGGGAAGAAGAGGTACCCCCAACGCTGCTTTGCCAGGATCTGAGGCATTTTGCTTACATGGGGCAGAATCTGCCTAAGAAGAAAGGGGAGTGGCCACGCGCAGTGGCTCACACCTATAATCCCAGCACATTGGGAGGCCAAGGCGGGTGGATCACCTGAGGTCAGGAGTTCGAGACCAGCCTGGCCAACATGGTGAAACCCCGTCTCTATTAAAAATACCAAAAATTAGCCGGGTGTAGTGGCAGCTGTCTGTAATCCCAGCTACTCAGGAGGCTGAGACAGGAGAATCACTTGAACCTGGGAGGCAGAGGTTGCAGTGAGCTGAGATCGCGCCATTGCACTCCAGCCTGGGCAACAAGAGTGAAACTCCATCTCAAAAAAAAAGAAGAAGAAAGGGGAGAAAGCAGAGCCATGAAACAGGTTGGCCAGAGATTCTTCCCATCACCTGGGAGCACCTGGATGCAGCCTTGCCTGAAGCCTACCAGAGAATACATGAGAGCCAATAAATTGACTTCTACGCTTGAGCCAGTATAAGCCATTTGCAGTGCAAACAGGTCTGACCAATGACACATACATACCACTACCCCAGTGGTCAGCGCATCAGGACCAATCTTTTTCACCCACACCCCAGCTCTGGGTTATTCTGAAGCAAATCCCAGATACCAAAGATAAATACCTAAGTATGCATTTCTGAAGGTTGAGGGCTCTCTTGTTCTGACCTGGATACAGATGTGCCTGCCTGTGGTAGTTCCACCTCTCAAGTCTCTGTAAACACTTAGTCCCTTCCCTCTTGCCTCCTGCTTTCTCAGCTCCCGGGTCACCATGCGTTGTCTCCAGTGATGCCACAGTGGCTGGAGGGCAGGGCTGCTCTTCATACTCAGATTGCTTCAGCACAGACCTAAGAGCTCAGAATCTCAGAATGTCCCAGCCTGTGGGAGGTCTTAGGAAAGCCCAGGGCAGAGTGGATGCCTCAGGGGTGGGCCTGCCTCACAGGAGATGCTGTGACCAAAACAGGGTGATACTCCCCGCTTACCTCAGGGAGCACTGTCACTGGGCAGATGGCTGCATCCTCCTGCTTCTCCTCCTGCTGGGCAGTGACCTCGAGGCAGCAGGTGGTGCCCTCGGCAGGTTGTCCTGCAGGAAGTACTGGGAGGAGACACCAGCCAGAGGAGGTCAGCAGGTGTGGGGACCCTTAGGCAGGGCAAGGGTGGCCTCTCTGCAACCCATGGGGCCACCGCACCCCTGCATCGTACTGTGGCTCCATGACAGCCTCTGCTCCTGTCCTCCCTTCCCACCAGCTCTGCTCCCCTCACAGCACGTGCCCGAGTGCCCACACCTGGATGGGCCCGGGATGGCTCACCCTCCAAGGGTCACAGGGCACCAGTGTCCTCACTGCTGAGACTCTGGTCCCACTCCTTCCCTTTCCGGGGGCTGCTGAGGGCCCCAGCCCCTCCTGTGAGGCAGCTGACTGACGCCCCCTCCTTAGAGTCAAAGCCCCTGTTTCCGGCCTCCAAGCCCTGCACCCTGCCTATTTGGGCACCTCTTCCTTCTTCCCTCTCTCCTCCCACCTCATGGAAGGTGAGACTTTCCCTGGACCCATGAAATGCAGCCATCTTGAGGTGAACGTCACCAAGTCTCCTCCACCTAAGAAAACAACAGCTCCACCTGGCCCAAGGGCCCCTGTAACCACGGCTCCTTCATTCTAACCTTCCTCACATGACCCCAAATGGTCCACAGGCTTCCACAATGCTAATCTACCCCCACCATCAAGGTGGGCCACAAGATGACTTAGGCTGGCACACTGGACCATCCCTTTCTCTTGGCCACAGTGATTAGATCTGGGATGAACACAGCCTATAGCCAGATGATTGGAGCCAACAAGGCCTTAGTTGGAACATTTGGGAAAGAGAAATCCCATGCAGGGAGACAGCCTGCCCATGATGAAGCCAGTGGAGGGCAGAAGAGGTAAGAATGAGGGACAGGACAAGTCTGGAGGACACTATTGGAGCTCCTGGGTCCAGCCCTGCCTGATGCTCGAGCACCCTGGAACTTTTCCAATAAATTCTCCTTCTCCCTTGAGCCATTCTGTGCAAGGCTTTGCAGCAGTCACACTCAAGCGTCCCAACTAACACACTGATCACATAATGTGAGATTCTCAGGGTTCTCTGGAAAGCCTCTTCCCATTGTCTTCTGTGGCACTAATTTATTTTATTCACCCCTGAGGTTAAACACAGGGTGAATTCACTGACTTTCACCTCATTAACCCCACAACTGTCTCCTTGGCACCTAACTAACTAGTTTCCTATTGCTGTTATAGTGAATTGCCACAATGCCAGCGGCTCAGATTAATGCAAATGTATTACCTTATGGTTCTGGAGATGAGAAGTCTGGTTTGTGCCTCACTGGGCTAAAATGAAGGTGTCAGCATGGCTATGTTCCTTTTGGAGGCTCCAAGGGAGAATCCATTCCTTGCCTTTTCCAGCTTCTAGAGGCTGCCCCAAACATTTGGCTTATGGCTTCTTCCTCTATCAGCTGCTCCTATCATTACATCTCCTCTGACCCTCCAGCCTCCCTCTCCTAAGGGCCCCTGTGGTTATGTTAGATCCACTCAAATAATCCAGTGCATCTCTCCCTCTCAAGATCCTTAATTGTTTCTGCAAAGTCCCCTTTGTCATGTGAGGCAACTTATTCACAGGGTCCAGGAGTCAGGACATGGACACCTTTGGGGCAATTATTCTGCCAAGTACAGCACCCCAGACTTGGTGCATCTGACACAACTCATGCAAGTGCCTGCCCTGCTGCCTCGGATACCCGATCTCCAGGATGCCCTGGCCTCTTAGAATCCCACCATCCCCCTGCAGGATACCTTCCCCTTTCCTGCAATCACAAACATCAACCAGTCAATCATTCGTTCACATCAGAAACATCTTCTGGGCACCCGTGAAATGTGGAAAATGGAGGTGAGCAATGCAGAAGCATGCACGCTCTGTGAAACTCAGCCTGATGAAGAAACCAAGTCTTGCAGTCTTATTCCCAAATACACACTCCACACGTGTAGTCTCTCCCCAGTCAGACATCACCATCACTCCTATCCAAGACACCACCCCATCAGAGGGCATGGCAATAGCTGCGGGTAGCCTGTGTCCAGCCTCGCCCCCATCCTCTGTCCACCATCCACCACACATGCAGCCTGGTAAATCTCTAAAGGTCAAATCCAGTGGTGCCACCAGTTTCTGGAACTCAGGGATCGAGCCCTACTGTTTTAGAAGAACATTTTGCTTTGCTTTAGGACTAAAGTCCCCACTGGCAGTGCCAGCTCCAACCTCTGCTCCCTTCCATCACAAACATAACCGATTTTTCTGAGTTTTGCATTTACTGTGATCCCTTCCATCTTGGCCCTTACAGGCAGTGCTCCCCTCTGCATGGCACATCTTTCCTGCCCCCTTTCTTTACCCTGGCCAAGTTCCACTCCACACCAGGTGTCAGCTGCAGACCTTCATAAGCCTCACCATCACCTCGAGCTCCTCATAGTCCCAGCATTTTTCTATGCATTCTCATTTGTCAAATCCCTGTCTCTCCTGCTACTGCGGGCTCTCTGAGCTCAGTATTCCCATCTATCTTATCAAGTGCTACAGGGCTTATGGTGCAGCAGGGATGCCAGAGGGATAAAAATGAAGCACTTCATCTGTGTGCTTCCATCAGAAGCCCACGAAGGGCTAAAGAATGCAAGGGTTTCAGTGGCTCTGACTCAGGAACACGTGGGCAACATGGATGTCCTTGGTCTGTATGGAGCGGACACAATCCTTCCCATGACCTTCCTAGGAAGCCTGGAGTTCTTATCTCCCCCACAGGGTACTCCAAGACACCCTCATTAAGCTGTCCCTCTACCCACCCTTCTACTTACCTTCCTCCTCAGACATCCAGGTCACACCCTCTACCAGGGCCACCACCTCTTGGCAGTTCTCTGGGTGCTGCGATTCCACCCATGTCCGGAGCTTCACAGGCAGTGCACCTAGGAACTGCTCCAGCACCAGCAGCTCCAGGATCTGCTCCTTGGAGCGTGCCTTAGGCTGTAGCCACTGGTGACACAGCTCTCGGAGCTGGTCCAGGGCCTCCCGGGGACCTGTCATGTCCTTATAACGGAACTGCCGGAACCTCTGGCGCGCGGCCTCAGGGTCACCTGGATGCTTGCCCTGCTGTTGGACCTGCTCACTGGGGGCATCTGCACTCAGGCTTCCATCTTCAGCATATAGGGCCTGGATCTGGGCATTCCGGGGACCAGCCACCTCCTGGTTCAGTGTGAGGACCTCAACAACCTCAATGTTCATTAGGGGACTCTCAGCAGGAAGAGGATCCAATTTAGGGTCCAGCTGGAGCTCAGGATACTCTGTAAGTCAAAAGCAGAGCAAGACAAATGAGAACAAGCACATGAAAAGATGCTCAACGCCATTATTCACTAGGGAAATGCAAGTCAAAACCACAGTGGAATATGCTTCAAACCCACTAGCATGGCTGTTACCAAAGACAGATGATAACAGGAGAGGATGTGGAAAAACTAGAATGCTCACACACTGTTGGTGGGAACATAAAATGCTGTACCACTCTGCAAAACAGGTTGGTAAATCCTCAGAAGTTAAACACATAGTTATCCATGACCCAGACATTCCCCCCAAGTATATATAGCTAAGAAAATTGAAAGCATATGTCCCCAAAAACTTCTATAAGAATGTTCACCAAAGTGTTATCCATAATAGCCAACAAGTACAAATAACCCATTGTCTATCAACTGAGGGATGTATAAGCAAATTGTGATCTAGTCATATAATGAAATATTGGCAATAAAAAGGAATGAAGTACTACTAATATATGCTACAACACAGGTGAAACTTGAAAACATCATGCTAAGTAAAAGAAGCCAGACACAAAAGGCCACATATTATATGAAATGTCCAGAATATAAAAATCCACAGACAGACAAGTAGATTAGTAATTGTTAGGAAATGGAGAAATTGAGAGGATTGGTGGGAGACTGCTAATGGGTATGCGGTTTCTTTCTTGGGTGAAGAAAATGTTCTGGAATTAGACAGTAGTGACAGCTGTACAACCCTGTGAATATATTTAAAAACACTGAACTGTACACTTTACAAGAGTGAACTTTACAATGTGTGAATTATATCTCCATAGAGCTGTTATAGGGAAAGAACAAAAGGCAATGAGGGTTGAGAAGGGATCTGTGACACTGTACATGTATGCATGGTCACAGGAAAAAGAACCTTCTCCAACCTCCACTGGGGACAAGAACGAGGATATATGGGAAAGGCAGGGGCTCTGGGTCCTGGCACAGAGTCCACAAGAGCACATTGCTAAACTGAACTCCAGGACTGTCCTGAAATGCTGAGGAGGCAGCACAAAACAAGAGGAAACAAGAAAGCTCTCTAAAACTCCCCTTCAAAATGCTAATTCTAAATAATTTGGCCAGCGGGGTGGCTCACACCTGTGATCCCTGCACTTTGGGAGGCTGAGGCAGGAGATTCGCTTCACGCCAGGAGCTTGAGACCAGCCTGGGCAACATAGTGAGACCCTGTCTCTAAAAAAGTTTAAATTAATCAGGTGTGATGGCATACACCTGTGGTCCTAGCTACTTGGAGGCAGGAGGGCTGCTTGGGCCCAATAATTTGATTTTACAGTTATCTATGATTGCACCACTGCACTCCAGCCTTGGCTACCAAGCCTGATATTGTCCCTAAAAAATAAGGCCTTAAAAACAAATATAAAAGTATAAATAACTACAGATTATGACTTACTTTTGATATTTGTAATATTTAGTGGCAACGACAAGAGCAAACCTGCAATTTCACCCTTGCTGTTGTGAATATAAATGGTCAGCACAATTCTACCAGGAAGTAGCTCAGCATGAACTAGCAAAGCCACAGCAAGGAACCACAGCTACTTTCACGGGATGAATCTACTGGAGCTATTCGGAGATGAAGATAGGTATAGAGGCACCAAAGGAATGAATAAAAACACAACAGCCAAACCAAATATAGTTAACACAGCACTGACCCACAACCTCTGGCAACAAGCACAGCTCAGGACTTAGATGACTGCCAATATACCCTTTTACTGCTCCCCGCCAAGCCAATAGGGTTCTCCACTCAGAACCCTTCCTTATGAATGCACGTCTTCTCACTCCCTACCTGCCTTTGACTCTCTCTACAGAACACAAGGGACCGTGGCTGGCTCCCTACTATACCCGGCTCTGAGTCAACCTCTGGGTGTCCTCATCTGGACGGCCTGGTCTTTATTTCCACAACATACCTGGAATATTCCTGCCCCGCGCGGTGTTAGGACAAAACTGGAAGAACGGGTAGTGTTGTAACACAGTTTAAGAAAATTGTTAAAAACTCCCTTGTAAGCAGTAAAACCTGCACTACTTTTAGCGTGATTATTACAGCGCAGAAAAACGGTCGCAGAGCAGAAAATTACTAGTGTGCAATAGCTGCAGCTACGTTAAAAATAAAAAAGCTCGGGCGGAAGCATCTTTCAGAGCCCGGAAGCCGCCTGCACAGACCCCTCCTCGGCCCTGGTCTCTCACGCACCCGCCGAGTCCGTCATCGCGCACTCAGGAATGCGAGGCCACAACCATAAGCTAACCCTTTCGCCCAGAATAGCACCGTCCACACAAGACCCAGTCTCTCAGCCGACGAAATGGGTCGACGCCTACAACGCCTCTAGGCCACGCCTCGAACCCTGCCCCCCCTGGACCCGGAAAAGCGCCCAGAACTACGACACCCGCGGGGCCTACAGCTCCCAGCAGCCTCCGAGACACGGGCTTCCGGTACCGTTCTCCCTAGTCCCCGCTGACAGGGACACGTCCTGGGCCTACATGGGGCAACGGGGCAGTGCGGCAGGAGTTTCCACGCCTGCCCCACCTGAAGGTATTTCTCCGGACCTCGCGGGCTGGGGTAGACGTTCCGCTGAGGCCACAGCAGACGGCTCCCAACCCCTCCCCTCTCCCGTTCCTCGAGTACAAACCCTGGTCTGTCTGGGCTTCCCGTTTGCGCGCTGCACAGGTTTGGCTGGAGGTGCCCACCGCTGGCACGGGCCCAGGGAGTCAGCTCCGCGCTGGGATCTGCCCAGAGCCAGTGCCCGCGCTGCCTTCTCGCAGCCCAGGCCGTCCTTCCAGCGAGGTGGCGCAATTGTAGATCACGACCTGAGCCACGCTTTAAATTTTCGACCATTACCAGTCTACGCTTGAAGTGATTTTTCTTCTTGATAAGATTAATCAGACACACTTGTGCACCTAATTCCAACCTCTTCCCCCAAATAAGCTTTTGAGGTATTTTCATTTTGGGGGCTTGGCCTCTCCAACTCATTTATAAGTGCTCTGATCTGTATTTAATTCCCTTTCTGTTTCTTAGGACTTCTGGGGACTTACTTCGCCCCAAGTAACTTTTCTTAATTTGAAAGCATACTTCATTTATTTTCTTTCAATTACAGCGTTTTTTTCTTTTTTTTTTTTTTTTTGAGACGGAGTTTCGCTCTTAGTCGCCCACGCTAGAGTGCAGTGGAGGGATCTCGGCTCACTGCAACCTCCGCCTCCCGGGTTCAAGCAATTCTCCTGCCTCAGCCGCAGCTGGGATTACAGGCGCCCACCGCCAGGCCCAGCTAATTTTTGTATTTTTAGTAGAGACAGGGTTTCGCCATCTTGGCCAGGCTGGTCTCGAACTCCTCACCTCAGGTGATCCGTCCATCTCGGCCTCCCAAAGTGCTGGGATTACAGGTGTGAGCCACCGTGCCCAGCCCAATTACAGCTCTTAAGGCTTGAATTTTTCCTGAGAAGCAGCTGGGGATAAGATTTACTGGAGGCCCAGCAGCACCGGACTAAGTGCCTAGGACATGGGACATGCACCAACTGAATCTGTACTTCCTGGGGGGGGGCTAAGTGGCAGACCAGCACTGGGCCACCAGTACTATTTTAGGTAACCATGCATGACACTTAAACATCTTAAACGTTACTTCATAAATTTCTAAAATTTCATTTTTGTATTCCTTAATCGAGGGATTTTCATGCCTTGGCCCCTAGGAAAACAACTGTTGGATTCTTCTACTCCACCCCACCCCTTTCTAATGTACTTACTTCTGCTTTAATCTTTATTATTAACCCATGAGGCCCCACACTCTGTTCTGTACACAGTTATCATAAAGCACCTTTTGCATGCTGTGGAACCAAGGACACCACAGTGAACAGAGAGACCACAAACCCAGAAACTGGTGAGGAAGTGATGGACTCATTCTGTGCACCTCAGTCCTCCAAATGTCAACCCATAGACTATCCCAAGACCTTTAGGGCAATCCTTACCACTGTCTATTGCAGGAAATTAGCTGCTCCACTTCATGGAGGAGAAAATGGAAGCTCTTAAGTTCACCACCAGGCAGAGGTGGAACTGGATTCTCATTCCACCCATCTCATTCCACAGACATGACTGACCCAACCCACTCATGTGGAGCTGCATAATCCCTATCAGCTGGAGCTCCAAATGGCTTTCAGTCCAGCAACTGAATGAGCCCGTAGCAATGTAGTCACCTCACCTACAACTGTCTGTCTAATGGGTTGTGAAACAAATTCACTGAGGCTCAAAGCAAGGGGTTTAATCAAGAGAGATTAACTTCTTGAGCCTGAGTTTCTTCACCCAAAGTGATGAGATACCAAAGTCCAGGCACAGCATGTGGTAAGGGCTTGATGGGAGCTGCTGCTTTCTCCCTCTTGACACTATTTTCTTCTCTCAGGATACTTCTACCTCTCTGCTGCTTCCCTTCCAGGGTGACAAACAGGCCTTAGGCAGCTGTCTTCCTCACAGTGCTGTTTGCCAGTGAATGCTGATTAGCCAGGTATACCAGTCCAAAATATAACGAAAAGCAATGATCTTTTTAGCAGCTTGTGGGGGAAAAGTCAGAAGAGTACTTACCCTCAGCTCCCCTAATCCCTGGGCACAGTACCCCATCACTTTTCCTCCTTGTCTGGAAAGCTCTCAGCTCTCCTGTTCTCTCTCATCATTCCCTCAGTGCCCCTAAGCTCCCTGTTGGATTACCTTCTGCATCTGTCTCCTCCAGTGTACCACTGAGGCTGCCAACTGGGACTTGTGGATCTCACACCCCTAAGTAGAGGATCTGCCAAAGGCTGCTGATCATCTTTACGTTACTCAGTTTTTGAATCAATGACAGTACCATCATTTCACGAAGGCTGCCCACAGTCCCAGGAAGCAAATGTACACCATACACAAAAGAAATATGCCTGGTGCGGTGACTCATGCCTGTAATCCCAGCACTTTGGGAGGCCGAGGTGGGCAGATCACAAGGTCAGGAGTTTGAGACCAGCCTGGCCAATATGGTGAAACCCCGTCTCTACTAAAAACACAAAAGTTAGCTAGGCGAGGTGGCGGGCACCTGTAGTCCCAGCTACCTGGGAGGCTGAGGCAGGAGAATCACTTGAACCCAGGAGGTGGAGGTTACAGTGAGCTAAGATCACACCACTGCACTCCAGCCTGGGCGACAGTGCAAGACTCCATCTCAGAAAGAAAAAAAAAAAAAAGAAATTCATGCTGGGATAGGCTAGGAACCCTGCCCAGGGTTGCAGAGTGGATGATCCGGTTTGGTTCTGTGTCCCTACCAAATCTCAGGTTGAAAAGTGATGCTGTGTTGGAGGTGGGGCCTGGTGAACCTTCAAGAATGGCTTAGCACCATCCTCCTGGTGGTTAAGTTAATCACACGAGATCTGGTTGTTTAAAAAAGTGTGGCCGGGCAGAATGGCTCACGCCTGTAATCCCAGCACCTTGGGAGGCTGAGGTAGGTGGTTCGCTTGAGCCCAGGAGTTCTAGACCGGCCTGGGCAACATGGCAAAACCCCATCTCCACAAAAAAAAAAAAAAAAAAAAATTAGCCAGGCGTAGCGGCATGTGCCTGTAGTCCTGGCTACTCAGGAAGCTGAGGTGGGAGAATCGCTTGAACTCAGGAAGTCGAGGCTGCAGTGGGTCATGATCGCACCACTGTACTACCGCCTAGGTGAGAGTGAGACCGTGTCTCCAAAAAAAAAAACAAAACAAACAAACAACAGTATGCGGCACCTTCTTCCTCTCTCTGGCTGCTGCTTTTCCCATGATGTGCCTGCTCCCTGCCTTCCACCATGAGTAAAAAGCTCCCTGAGGCCTCCCCAGAAGCCAACCAGATGCCAGTGCCACCCTTGTACAGCCTGCAGAACTGTGAGCCAATTAAATCTCTTATCTTCATAAATAACCCAGTCTCAGGTATTTACAGCAATTTAAGAACGGCCTAACATAGTGGGCAACAAAGGAGCCGGGTTCCAAACCCTGTTATTTCATGTCCTTGACGCTAAAGGGGTCTCCCACAGCCACCATCTTAGTTTTCCTAGAATATGGCCTTTCATCCAGAGATCCACATGTGCACCACCCTCCTGCCTGGTATAGTCTTCCCCAACATCTTCGCCTGGTTCACCTTCCCCAACATCTTCACCTGGTTCGCCTTTCCCATTCAGGTCTGAGCTCAAACGTCACCTCCTCAGAACCATCTTCCTACTTAGTTCTGAACTACTGCTGCCCACCCGTACCTCGCTTGTCCCCCACCAATGTATCCCATTGTTTCCTTCTCTTTCCAACACTCATTACCATCCCAAATATCTGATTCATTAATTTATCATGTCTATCACCCTATCTAGAGCAGTGCTGTCCAATGGAACTTTCTATAAATGAGATGTTCTAGATCTGTACTGTCCAACATAGTAGCATTAGCTGCAGGGCCAATGAGCAGTTGAAAGGTGCCCAGTGCAATTGAGGTACTGAATGGGCAACTTCATTTTTGTTGATCCAATCAGCCATGGAATGGATGTAGGCCCAATGAAAGCAGGTGTAAGACCTGCCCCACTCATCACTGTGATCCAGCCCTGGAACAGTACCTGGAATCCTGGCAAGTGCTCAAGTAATATTTGTTGATTCAACACAGCTTCTTTGCAACATGAAAGCACACATAGTTTGCACCCCACTTGCTTCTTCTCAGCCAAGCCCATGTCAGGGACTTGTATTTCTGGTCCCATGGTAAAATGGCCCCAGCAGCATTTCTCCAGAGGTTGATGGCTAGAATGACTTCAGGACTCAGGAAAAGGACATCAGTACTTCTAGCCTTTTTAAGCCCTCAAAATAAGTTAATACTTCTATTTATCAAGTCTTCCACACTCCAGCACTTACAACTTTCTTCAAATAGGTCCTGCTCATTCTTTAATAATTTATTCTTTGGTATAACTTTTTAAAGGTATTAATGTATTTTGTATATCCATGTCAAATTTGATATTCCTGGTGTAAACCAAAGCTTTTTCTTTCTTTTTGAGATGGAATCTCGCACCATAAGCCAGGCTGGACTGCAGTAGTGCGATCTCTGCTCATGGCAACATCCAACTCCTGAGTTCAAGCAATTCTCATGCCTCAGCCTCCCGAATTACAGGTGCACGCCACCACGCCCGGCTAAGTTTTTGTATTTTTAGTAGAGACAGAGTTTCACCATGTTGGCCAGGCTGGTCTTGAACTCCTGGCCTCAAGTGATCCATTCACCTTGGCCTCCCAAAGTATCGGGATTGAGCCACTCCAGTACAGGTGTGAGCCACCATACCTGGCCAAGCCAAGCTATTACTATGAATTTATTTTGTAATGTCATTTTGCTGAATCTTTTTTTTTTTAGACAGAGTCTTGCTCTGTCGCCCAGGCTGAAGTGTAGTGGCACAATCTCGGCTCACTGCAACCTCCGCCTCCCGGGTTCAATCAATTCTCCTGTCTCAACCTCCTAAGTAGCTGGGATTACAGGCGCCCACCACCACACCTGGCTATTTTTTGTAGTTTTAGTAGAGACAGGGTTTTGACATGTTTGCCAGGCTGGTCTCAAACTCCTGACCTCAGGTGATCCACCTGCCTCGGCCTCCCAAAGTGCCAGCATTACAGGACTGAGCCACCGTGCCCAGCCAAATAGTATCATTTTAATAGTATTTCAGAGGTGCGCACCCCAGCACACATGGCTAATTTTTAAATTTTTTGTAGAGACCAGGAATT
Source organism: Homo sapiens (assembly GCF_000001405.40). Classification (NCBI taxonomy): domain Eukaryota; kingdom Metazoa; phylum Chordata; class Mammalia; order Primates; family Hominidae; genus Homo; species Homo sapiens. Next base: position 58,198,997 of record NC_000019.10, on the reverse strand, counting down.
GCTATGCTGCCCGGGGTGGTCTCCAATTCCTGGCTCCAGCAATTCTCCCACTTCACCCTCCCAAGGTGCTGAGATGGGTGAGCCACTGCACCCATCCCTGTCTTTAATGGGAAGTTAAAAAATCTCCACTGCTCAGGGCAGTACTCAGATGCAAGTGGTCAATTTGTTCTAAAAAAAAAAAAAAAAAAAAGTCAAAGTTAATTTTAATATTTCTCCTAGGACTAATTTTGGCAACTCTACACTTTTCCAAAAATCTTTCCATGTTTTGTTTGTTCATTCCTACACTCAACAAATAATTACTGAGCACCTATACTGTGTCAGGAACTGGACCAGGAAGCAGTGACACAACAGGAAGGAGCTACCATTTCCATATGATCACAGTTATGGGCAGCACCTCCGAAAATTAATATAAAATTCCAAAGAAGTCTCCATGTCTTTCCACTGATGATCAACTGACACACAACCATGTTTGTGTGTTCGCACTTGACTATGTATTTTGTTATTTTTAAATTTTTATGCTCATCTTCTGTACTGTTCCAATTTTAGTATATGTGAAGCCAAAGCAAGCACACTTAAATTTTAAGAAATAGTTTATGTATATTTATATATTAAAATGTCATATACTTTAAGTACACACATGTGGTTTCAAATCAATACATAAAGAGGTTGCTCATTCTTTGTAACAGCTGTGCAAACTACTGTAACTAAAAACTACATGTAAAATATCTGTACAGGTTCTTTTCCCCTGTATAGGTTTACTGGTTGGTTATTTATTCTTTACTTACTCAAAGTCATTTTGGCATTCTGCCTATCCAGAAAATGAGCTCTTGGAATATTTTTTTCTTCTCTATTTCTGACTCATTTATTCTTCTTTTTTTTTCTTAAAGCCATTGTTCCTCTTTCTATAGGACTGTTGATGGTATTTTTCTTTCCCCCCAAAAATGTCTGCTTCAAACACTTAGTTCGTTTGTTTTCCTTCTTAATTACTACTTAAGACATTTCAGACTTTGAAGTTATCCCTGAGTACAAGCCCTAGAACACAGGGAGAGTGATCCCCAGATAAGAGGATCACGATTTACACAGGTCTTAGAGATCAGATATGTGGGAGGTGGCAGAGAATGTAAAGTGTTCTTCAATAAAAGATCACAAAGCATGAAATGACTCTGCTTCACTGAATTCCAGCCAAAACATGTTTGACAGCCACCCAACATTCCAGACTCAACCTAGTTGCCAAGAATGTGGGCCCCGCAGAGTTCTTTGTAGCACTCTCTCAAGATTTTCCTTTACCCTCTCTTACCTACCCTTTTGTTTCAAAGCCTGGCCTTGTATTCAGTCTTCTCTTTGAAGACATATTCTTGTCTCCTGCAACTTCTTCAGACATCTATTCACTCAACGTTATGTACTGAGTTCCTAGTAATTCAGTCATTGTGTTAGCAAATGGGGACATACAGAAGTAAAAGAACACCTGCTCTCATCCATATTTTAAATATTTGTTCTAGATGTTCAGGTCAGATAATAAGCAAATTAGAAGAGACAAGACTACATTTATATACTTATCAGTGTTTTATGTAGGGTTTGCCTTCTCTACGACATGATATAAAAATAGGATGAGACATTTCATTTTTATTATTCAACGGGGTTCTTTTCAGTGTATATTTTTTTCGTTCTGTCACATAAGGTGAGAGTTAAGGCTGGTCATTTGTCTGCACAGATTTCATTCACAGGATGTTTGCCCATATGAGTCCTCTGATGCTGAAAACAATGAGGACTCCTACTGAAGGGGTTCCCAAAATGCTGTGTTCAGAGAGGGATCCTTGCCAGTGAGTTCTGGGACACCCGAAGGCTTCCCAGCCCTATGTTCTCAGGTAATCTCTAGTACAACTTCTGTGATGCTGAATAAGGGAGCTATGCATAAAACCTTTCCCACAGCAATTATATTCTCATGGTTTCAGAAGCTCTTAGATGTAATACTCAATGTAAGAACTTTTCCAGTATGAATCCTCTCAAGATAAGACTGAGTTAGGCCAGAAGTCTTTCCTCACGTGATCATATTTCTGAGGTTTCTTCCCTGTGTGAGTTCTCAGATGGTGAAAAGTTCATGAAAAGGACTTACTTCATTTGGGGTGTTTGCTGGTTAATGTCCCGTGAAAGATGGCAAAGACATTAAAGAGGGCAAAAACATTAAAGAGGGCAAAGACAGGCTGAAAGTGAATTTTTTCAAACTAAACACATTTACTCCATCTTATTCTTGGATAAAAGAATGGTATGCTGTTGATCACTCTATAGCCTATGTGACCCTCTCAAGCTATACAAAGGATGGAATCTCAAGAAGAATTTGGCTTTCTTCCTCCCAATAAAACACTCACCTCATCAAACTTATTTTTCAGACTCATGTTTGGTCTATGTTTCAAAAAAGCTGCTAAGTTCTTATTTGTAGGACTCATTTCCTACTTAACTTTGTTTTTTTTTCTGCAGTGGCAGGATCCCAGCTCACTGCAACCTCCACCTTCCAGGCTCAAGCCAACCTCCCACCTCAGCCTCCCAAGTAGCTGGAACTATAGACACACGCCACCATGTGTGGCTAATTTTTTCTATTTTATGTAGCAATAGGGTTTCGTCATGTTGCCCAGGTTGGTCTCAAACCCCTGAGCTCAAATGATCTGCCCACCTTGGCCTCTCAAAGTGCTGCAATTACAGGCATGAGCCGCCGTGCCTGGCCTCTACTTAACTTCTTGACAAGTAAAAAATGTAAAATGCCCTGCAGGGTTTCCTAAATCATGACCTTCATAATAGTCTCTTCCCTGCATTCCTTTCCTAATGACTAAATCTGTAATAGTTTACATCTCAAGTATTCCACCCAAGAGCCACATATATGGCAATGGTTCTTGAAGGGACATTAGTGAGAGCTGAAGATTCGAGTGCCACCTATTTTCCCTACATTGCTTACTGTCACAGCATCATTCCTCATTCAGTGCTTTCCTGAGGATGAATGCCATTTGTCCTAGCATTTGTTTCCCTTCTACTTAAACCAGGGGTCCCCAGCTGCCAGGCCATAAACTGGTACCAGGCTGCACGGCAGGAGGTGAGCGGCAGGCAAATGAGCATTACCATCTGAGCTCCACCTCCTGTCAGATCCGCAGTGGCACTGGACTCTCACAGGAGCATGAACCCTATTGTAAACTGTGCATGAGGGATCTAGGCTGCATGTTCCTTATGAGAATCTAATGCCTCATGATCTGGGGTGGAACAGTTTCATCTCAAAACTATCCCTCCCCACCCCAAGGTCCACGGAAAAACTGTCTTCCACAAAACCGGTCCCTAGTGCCAAAAAGGTTGGGGACTGCTGACTTGACTGCCATTCTTGCTATCATGGGAAGCTCGAGAAGCACACAGAGTTGTCAAAATGGCCCAAGTCTAAACTCAATACCAGTTCTGTCCATTAATGAGATGCACAGCTATGCCACTGTTGGGAGAAACTGACCACTTTAGAAGACAGTTCCCCGTCTCACACTCACAGTAAAGCATTCCATTCTAAACACCTATGACTTCCACACGGATGTTTTTATGTGCTGTGTGGATCTCCTTCTTAGGTCTAAATAGGTGTATTCGACTGGATTTGCAAACCCTTGAGTGTCTCTATGGTGCCTTCTCATTCATCTGTCATTACAAGAATCAGTTAAGACATGGGACAATTCAAAAACTTCAATCAATGTGAAAGCTATTGAGTTATCCATACTATTAGTGTGTATATATATACACACACATATATACACACACATATATGTGTATTTTTTTTTTTTTGAGACAGAGTCTCACTCTGTCGCCAGGCTGGAGTGCAGTGGCACCATCTCGGCTCACTGTAACCTCCACCTCCTGGGTTCAATCGATTCACCTGCCTCAGCCTCCCGAGTAGCTGGGACTACAGGTGCACACCAGCATGCCCAGTTAATTTTTGTATTTTTATTTATTTATTTATTTATTATTATTATTATTTTTTGACATGGAGTCTCACTCTGTCGCCCAGGCTGGAGTGCAGAGGTGCTATTTCAGCTCACTGCAAGCTCCGCCTCCCGGCTTCATGCCATTCTCCTGCCTCAGCCTCCTGAGTAGCTGGGACTACTGGCGCCCGCCACCGTGCCCGGCTATTTTTTGTATTTTTAGTAGAGATGGGGTTTCCGTGTTAGCCAGGATGGTCTCGAACTTCTCAGGTGATCCACCCGCCTTGGCCTCCCAAAGTGCTGGCATTATAGACATCAGCCACCGCGCCCGGCCGAAGAAAAAGATTAAAAATTATTTCAACACAAAAAGTAAAAAACAGACCAGGTGTGGTGGCTCACACCTGTAATCCCAGCACTTTGGGAGGCCCAGGTGGGAGGATCACTTCAGGTCAGGGATTTGAGACCAGCCTGGCCAACATGGTGAAACCCTGTCTCTACTAAAAAGTCCAAAATATCAGCTAGGTGTGGTGGCAGGTGCCTGTAGTCCCAGCTACACAGAAGGCTGAGGCAGGAGAATTGCCTGAACCTGGGAGGTGGAGGTTGCAGTGATGTGAGATGGGGCCACTGCACTTTAGCCTGGGTGACAAAGTGAGAGCCTGCCTCAAAAAAAAAAAAAAAAAAAAAAAAAGGTAAAAAACAAAACACAAAAAACACAGAAAACACAAACCCCTTATTTCCTCCCCTCAGCAAAGTCTAGGTCTTTACCAGACATCCCCACATCCTTGGCTAATGCCAAAAACTCAGAAATAATTGTTCTCCCTTATCATACACACACACACACCCACACACACACATATTTTTGAAACAAAGGCTGGAGTGCAGTGGTGCACTGCAATCTCAACCTCCCAGGCTGAAGTGATCCTCCTGCCTCCACACCCAGCTAATTTTTGTTATTTTTTTGCAGAGACTTGTATTCACCATGTTTCCCAAGCTGATCTCAAACATCTGGCCTCAAGCAATCCTCCTGCTTTGGCATCCCAAAGTGTTGGGATTACAGGTGTGAGCCACCACATCTGACCCTTTTATCTCATATGTGATATAGATATATAGATATAGATATAGATATATTTTTTTGAGACCGTTTCTTGCTGTGTTGCCCAGGCTGAAGTGCAGTGGTACAATCACAGCTCAATGCAGCCTCAAACTCCCAAGCTCAAGCAATCCTCCTGCCTCAGCCTCCCAAGTAGCTGGGACTACAGGGATGCAGCACTGCATCTGGCTTATTATTTTTATTTTTAGTAGAGATGACGTTTTGCTGTGTTTGTCAGGTGGTCTTGAACTCCTTAGTTCAAGTGATCCTCCCACCTTAGCCTCCCTAAGTGTTGGGGTTCCAGTCATAAGCCATCACACCTGGTCCCTTTATCATATTTTTAAAAGAAGCGATGGACACATACAGGCACAGTCCTGTAGTCCCAGCTTCTCAGGAGGCTGAGGTAGGAGAATCACTTGAACCCAGGAGGCAGAGGTTGCAATGAGCCGAGATTGCACCACTGCACTACAGAAGCCTGGATGACAGAGCGAGACTCTCCAAAAAAAAAAAAAAAAAAAAAAAAAGGCCAGGCGCGGTGGCTCACACCTGTAATCCCAGCACTTTGGGAGGCCAAGGCAGGCAGATCATGAGGTCAGGAGATCGAAACCATCCTGGCTAACACGGTGAAACCCTGTCTCTACTAAAAATACAAAAATTTAGCTGGGCGTGGTGGCGGGCGCCTGTAGTCCCAGCTACTCGGGAGGCTGAGGCAGGAGAATGGCGTGAACCCAGGAGGTGGAGCTTGCAGTGAGCCGAGATTGTGCCACTGCACTCCAACCTGGGCAACAGAGCGAGACTGTGTCTCAAAAAAAAAAAAAGAAAAAAGATAGTGACAAAAAGAATGTACAGTTGGACCTGTATATTCTGTGGGTTCCACATCTGTGGATTCAACAAACTCTGGATTGAAAATATTTGAGGGAAAAAAAAAAATGAATGATGTGCCAAACATGGTAGCTAAAGACGGTAATCTCAGCACTTTGGGAAACTGACGCGGGGAGGATTGCTTGAGGCAAGCTCGATACCAGCCTGGGCAACATGGTGACAAAAAAATATAAAACTTAGCCAGGCGTAATGGCGCACACATGTAGTCCAAGCTACTCACGAAGCTGAGGCAGGAGGATCACTTGAGCCCAGGAGTTCAAGGCTGCAGTGAGCCATGATCATGCCACTACACGTCAGCCTGGGTGATACATAGAGTGAGACCTCAACTCAAAAAAATATATAAAAGATGGCTGCAAATGTACTGAACATGTGCAAACTTTTTTTCCTCGTCACCATTCCCTAAACAGTGTAACAACTACTTACACAGCATTTACATCATATTCGGTATTATAAGTAATCTAGAGATGACTTCAGCTATATGGGAGGATGTGAGTAAGTCATATGCAAACACTACACCATTTTATATTGGGCACTTGAGCATCTGTGGATTTTGTTATGTGCAGGAGGTCCGACTTTACGTATGAAATATGTTAGACGCAGTCACCTACGAGAAATTCTTGATGGCTTGTTCTTTCATCCCTCTCAATCACTCACCTAGGTCCACTGAGTCCACCTATGAATCACACACACCTGATTTTCCCCAAATGTGCTGTTACTCTCAGGCCACTTATTACCACATGTTAGCAGGTATTACCAAGTATAACTGCGGGCCCTGCCTGCCTCCAATCTGTGACATACCACAATTCTTTCTTCACAGCCACCCAGAGTGAGCTGTGAAAAGCAATGTCACATCCCTTCATTTTACCTACTCCTAGTCCACTAGGCTCGAAGTGGCCCTCGAAATGCTAAGTTCTTTCCCATCTGACAGTCACCTCAAATGGTGCCTCCATGCCTAGAAGCTGTCTTCACCACCAATCCTATATGTCCACGGACTTATTTTCCTTCAGGAATTGGCTAAAATCTCACCCCTGCAGTGTCCCCTGACTAGGTCTTCTGAAGTAATTCCCCACTGCTCCCCTTCTTTATATCAGGCTTTTTTCCTTCTCAGTACATTTATCACTGTATCTGTGTAACATGTTTGTAAAAGGCCATCATTGTTTAGACTATGAAGTCTAAGATGGTAGAGATTATGTAAGTGCTTTGGTTTATCACCGAAGTTTTTAGTAAGTATATTGCATGGGACAGAAAAGGCCCTCCATAAGTATCTGTGAGGTGGAAGAAGGAGAAGAGGAAGGACAGCATCTAATTAAGGACTCTTTCTGTGACAGAGCAGAGATGAGTTGGACACCCATCACCTCAGGCTGAGACTGCAACAGTACCTCCTGATGAGCCTCCCCTCATGTGGCCTCTGACTCTGGGACACCACCCTGAATCTGTCACCTGTGGAGTCAGCTCTCCCAAGATGTGTGGCACCCACAGTGCCCCAGACATCAGCCAGATTTAGGATACTACCAGATCATCCAGAAGTGTATGGCCTGGAGGTTTGCCCATTCAGGACATGAGTCCTCAGCTCCAAGAAGGATGAAACGCAGACTTGTCACAGCCTGAGTAATCCAGAGACATAAAGACCAAAAGGAAGATCAGGAGGCTGGGCCGGGGGCAGTGGCTCACGCCTATAATACCAGCACTTTGGGAGGCCGAGGTGGGCAGATCACAAGTTCAAAAGATCAAGACCATCCTGGCCAACATGGTGAAACCCAGTCTCTACTAAAAATACAAAAAATTAGCTGAGCGTGGTGGTGTGCACCTGTAGTCCCAGCTACTCTGGAGGCTGAGGCAGGAGAATCACTTGAACCTGGGAGGCAGAGGTTACAGTGAGCTGAGATGGCACCACTGCACTCCAGCCTGGCGATAGAGTGAGACTCTGTCTCAAAAACCAAGGGGCACAGAAACCACTGCAGGCAGATACAAAGTACTTGCATTGCTGGAGACTTTGCAGATGAAATAGTTTAGTGACCTCTTTTGCTAACAAAGATTTTCAGTGAAGGGAATGGAAGGAAAAACTTTGAATGTGGAAACAAAAACCAAAATACTAATGCTGAGCCAGGAAGCTGAAATACGAAGAAATCAGAAACAGGGCCCCCAGAAAGGTTGGGGGTTGGGGAGAGTCACAGAGAAAGACTCTAGCCCTCTATTCTGTGGCAAACAGGTCATCACCAAGGATGGGGGTTAGGTGCAGATGTCACAGCTCAATACTGCCAGAAGTGGGCAGTTCTGATGCCACTTGCACCACAGCACAGAAAACAAAGAGAAGGGAAAGCATTCAGCACACTGACAGAAAAGCTGACCAAGCAAACACACAAAGAAAACCACCTCCCCAACATAATTTATGAATACTGACACAAAAACCCTTTAAAAATTCAAGACTCCAGCAGCACGTTACAAAACTTCTACATCTATTATACTCCTATGTTAACTGCTCAAAGGAGAAGAATTGTGTGACCACTTTAGTATGCTCTAGAAGGGAAATAGAAGATATTACCGATTTTTATTCATCAGGAAAGACAACATGACTATTTGTTAATCCAGATAAAACTGATTTGAATCAAAGCAGAATCTAGCATTAAGCTCATCAAAACCTAGAAACTTTTCCATTTAAGTCAGAGACTAGATACCAACTCTTTAAACTCTGAGCTTCACACAATTTTGGATATACTATCCATGATGAATACAACTACATGATGTAACACAACTGTTACAGATGATTAAAAAATTGGCCGGGCATAGTGGCACATGCCTGTAGTCCCAGCTACTCAGGAGGCTGAGGCACGAGAATCACTTGAACCCAGAGGATGGAGGTTGCAGTGAGCTGAGATCGCACTGCCCTACAGCCTGGGTGGCAGAGGGAGACTCCATCTCAAAAAAAAAAAAAAAAAGAGAGAGATAAATTTTTTTTTTTTTTTTTGAGATAGAGTCTTGCTCTGTCGCCTAGGCTGGAGTGCAGTGGCGCAGTCTGGGTTCACTGCAACCTCTGCCTCCCAGGTTCAAGTGATCCTCCTGCCTCAGCCTCCCAAGCAGCTGGGATTACAGGTGCGAACCACCACGCCCAGCTAATTTTTGTATTTTTAGCAGAGACAGGGTTTCACCATGTTGGCCAGAATGGTCTCGATTTCTTGACCTCATGATCTGCCCACCTCAGCCTCCCAAAGTGCTGGGATTACAGGTGTGAGCCACCGTGCCCGCCCGGCCAAAAAAGATCAAAGAATTTAAGAGCATGACAGGTTCATCTGGAACAACTATGCAAGACCATGAGGCAGGATTAACCTGATCAGGTAATAGTAATAATGAAAACCTAATTAAATGTAATACACATCCCAACAAGATTTTCTCAATGAACACTGACAAGCTGAGAATAAGTGTTCATCTGGAGAAATAGATCGCTAAAGCCAGCTAAGACTTTTTCTTTTTTTTAAATGACAAGGGGAACTACTATATATCAAAGTACAGTAACATGGCATTTACTCAGAGACAGAAAAGATCAAGGGAGAGCCCATAGAGGCCAGTATATAAAGACAGCTATTTAGCCCATGACAAATATGATATTTCCAATAAGCAGAGGATGAACCCCACCCATATATAAAACGAAATTCCAGATAAACTGAACTAAAAAGAAAAAAATTTAAGTGCTGTGATCCCAGCACTTTGGGAGTCTGAGTCAGGAGGACTGCTTGAGCGCAGCAGTTCGAGGTATATAACAAATACCACAACACACTAAAGTGTTTGGATAATCTACCTATATATGATACAGAATCTAAAACAGAAACAAAGACATATTTGAAAAGAAAAAGAAATTATAAAACTTCTGTATAGAGACTACATAAAGGTAGACAATATATGGTCTGGGATATGATATTTCAATATTAACATCCAGAACATAGAGAATTCCCACAAACAAGAAAAAAATGAGAAAATATATGAACTCACAAAAGAAAAAATACAAACAGGCCATAGATTTATAAAATATGTCCAACTTGGTCCGTTGTGCGGAAAATGTGAACTAAATTGAACATATTGTATTTATCCCATCAGATCTGCAAACCTTAAAAAGACCATTACAAATTGCTGTTGATAAAGAAGAAAAAGAGTTGTCATTTACTTCAGCCAACTCTACGTAGGCTGAAGGATTTTTAATTTTTTTTTTTTGAGACAGGGTCTCACTGTCAACCAGGTTAGAGTGCAGTGGCATGATCACAGCTTACTATAACCTCAAACTCCTAGCCTCAAGCAATCCTACTGCCTTGGACTCCCAAATTGCTGGGATTATAGGCATGAGCCCCTGGTGCCTGGCCTATTTTTAAAGATTTATATATATATATATATATATATATATATACATATACATATATATATACACACACACACACACACATCTATTTTTTACATATATATATATATATATATATATATTTTTTTTTTTTTTTTGAGATGGAGTCTCACTCTGTCACGCAGTGGCATGATCTCTGCTCACTGCAACCTCCATCTCCTGGGTTTAAGCAATTCTCCTGCCTCAGCCTCCCAAGTAGCTGGGATTACAGGCACCCACCATGCCCAGCTAATTTTTGTATTTTTAGTAGAGATGGGGTTTCACCATTTTGGCCAGGCTGGTCTCAAACTCCCGACTTCAAATGATCTGCCTGCCTTGGCCTCCCAAAGTGCTGGGATTACAGCCATGAGCCACCGTGCCTGTCCTATTTTATTTTCTTTATAGAGACAGGGTCTCAAACAACCTCCCACCTCAGCCTCCCAAAGTGCTGGGATTACAGGTGTGAGCCACTGTGCCTGGCCTTAAAGGATTTGAGATGGCAATTTGTCACTACCAGATTTTTAGTTTACAACATTGGCTGATCTTGTAGTTCCATATTTAGAAATCCAACCTACAGAAAAACCAACTTGTTCGTGCAAAAAAAAAGTATGCAAGGAAGTTTTCTGCAGTAAATTTAATGTCCACCAAAAGAAGAAAAATCAAATGTGGACCACACTGAAGCTGTTAAGAATAAAGCAGAGGTCGGGCACAATGGCTCATGCCTGTAATCCCAGCACTTTGTGAGGCCAAGGTGGGTGAATCACTTGAAGTCAGGAGTTCAAGAACAGCATGGCCAACATGGTGAAACCGTCCGTTACTAAAAATACAAAAACTAGCCTGGAGTCATGGTGCACACCTGTAATCCCAGCTACTGCAGAGGCTGAGGCTGGAAAATCACTTGAACCCAGGAGGCGGAGGTTGCAGGGAGCTGAGATCACACCACTGCACTCCAGCCTGAGCAACAGAGTGAGATTCCATCTCAAAAAATAAATAAAATAAAGCAGACCAGACAGACACGGTGGCTCATGCCTGGAATCCCAGCACTCTGGGAGGCTGAGGTGGATGGATCACTTGAGCTCAGGAGTTCAAGACCAGCCTGGGCAACATGGTGAAACACTGTCTCTACAAAAAAACAATTAAACGGGCATGGTGGTACATGCCTATAGATCCAGCTACCTGGAAGGCTGAGGTCGGAGGACAGCTTGAGTCCAGGACGCGGAGGGTGCAGTGAGCTGAGATCATGCCACTGCACTCCAGCCTCGGTGACAGAGACCCTGTCTCCAAAACAAAAAGAAGCTGACTTGTCTGTATTATAACACCCCCAAAATGTGTATATATATTCACATACATTCACGTAAGCCTATATAAGAAAGTCTGGCTGGAAATACACACCAGGGTTACCAGTGATTATGAGGGGAGGGCAGTAGACAATGCGTGTAACAGACTAAGGGAGCCCCTACTGTCAACACAAGTATCACCTGCCACCAGCAACAGGTTCACTTTCAACCAAGTAGGACACTGCTGACTGTGGAGCCAGAGAAAAACTTCGAGTTTGGTTCTGCAACTGCTCATCACAGCATCCCACCTGGGGTATCCCAATGTCTACTGCTTTTCCAAGATACTGGTCCCTGACTCATCAGTTGGCCCCTTCCCTGTGGGGGCTTCCCATGTCTGGTTCTCACCTGGAATGGTGTCTTGAGGAATTCCTCTCTCCACTGGCCAGAAATCTTCTGCCTCCTCTAACTGAGATACCACATCTGGTTTGGAAAGCTGATGTTCTGCTCAAAGGAAAAGAGACAGGGCTTGTGGGGGTCTGTGTTCAGGAGAAAATGCTATCCTACTGCAGCACAAGCCGTCTCCAGCTTCTCCCCTGCTAAGGCACATGACTTCTGGCCTAGAGCAGTGAACACAACTCCATCCATCCCTGTTGTTGGCTTTCCTAGACTCCTTTGCCAAGCAGCTAAGGGGTCCAGTTCTGGTCAGCCAGACACAAAGGGAGATCGGTCAGCTGGGAAAGCTTTTGCTTTCTGGTTAAACATGACAGCTGTGAAAGGGCTACCCCTTCTCCTTGTTTCTGCCTTGAACACAGATGCAATGCTTGGAGCCACAGCTGTGCAATGACTAGGGGGAACATGGAAAGGTTCACAATAACCAGAGTTTGAAGGGACAGGCTTTTTTTTTTTTTTTTTGAGACGGAGTCTTGCTCAGTTGCCCAAGCTGGAGTGCTGTGATCTGATCTCAGCTCACTGCAATCTCCTCCACCTCCCATGTTCAAGCAGTTCTCCTGGCTCAGCCTCCTGAGTAGCTGGGGTGCTCGGCTAATTTTTGTATTTTTAGTAAAGACAGGGTTTCATCATGTTGGTCAGGTTGGTCTAGAACTCCTGACCTCAACTGATCTGCCTGCCTCAGCCTCCCAAAGTGCCAGGATTACAGGCGTAAGCTACCGTGCCTGGCAGGGACAGGCTCTTTGATGCTACTCCTAAGCTGTTGGGACACTGGCATCGCATTGTCTGGAATTTCTGTGGAGTTTCTTTTTTTTTTTTTTTTTAATAGAGACACGGTCTATGTTGCCCATGCTGGTCTCAAACTCCTGGGCTCAAGCAATCCTCCTGCTTCAGTCTCCTAAAGTGAGCCACCATGCCTGGCCGGAACTCTTGTTGCAAGAACAATAAGCATCCACTACTGCAGCTGAAAACATCCCTGACAGACCCATCTCCCTGGTATTCAGGGAGGGATGGACTAGGCAATGATTCAGAAGTCATACTGAAAAGCTGCCCTTTTCCTACTGGTGCCCCTGCAGTGTGAGCCCAAGCAGACACATACTTCAGAGGTGCTACATTTGTGCTACAAAGCACAGATCCTTCTTGACCTGGAGGCCAGCCTTACCCACTGAGACCAGGTTCCTGTAGTTCTCCAGCATCACTTCCCTGTACAGGGACTTCTGTTTGAGGTCCAGCAGTCCCCACTCTTCCGGGGTAAAACCCAGTGTTACATCTTCAAAGGTCACTGGTTCCTAAAAATCCAGATTCTTGTTCAGCCACAGGCCATCCGCATCCACGACAAAAGAAAGACAGGGGAGGCTGACCAGGCCAGTGAAAGCACAGAATGGTCTACAAGATGACCCAAGGGCATTTTGGGAGTCTCATCCTGAGTTCCTGTCTTTGTCTGAAACCCCAAGCAAACCCAAGCTTGACTCTATTCAGGTTACAATAAGGAGAGCAACACATGAGATCTCTGTAGCATATGAAAATCTGTCCATTTTATTTATTTATTTATTTATTTAATTTATTTATTTATTGTTTTGAGACAGAGTCTCACTCTGTCTCCTAGTGGAGTGCAGTGGCGCAATCTTGGCTCACTGCAGCCTCCACCTCCCAGGTTCAAGCGATTCTCCTGCCTCAGCCTCCTGAGTAGCTGGGATTACAGGCGCATACCACCATGCCCGGCTAATTTTTGTATTTTTAGTAGAGATGGGGTTTCACCATGTTGGTCAAGCTGGTCTCGAACTCCTGACCTTGTGATCTGCCTGCCTCGGCCTCCCAAAGTGCTGGGATTACACATGTGAGCCACCGCACCCGGCCCTATTTTTCTTTTCTTTTTTTTTTGAGACGGAGTCTCTCTCTGTCGCCCAGGCTGGAGTGCAGTGGCGCCATCTCGGCTCACTGCAAGCTCCGCCTCCCCGGTTCACGCCATTCTCCTGCCTCAGCCTCCCGAGTAGCTGGGACTACAGGCGCCCGCCACCACGCCCGGCTAATTTTTTGTATTTTTTTAAGTAGAGACGGGGTTTCACTATGTTAGCCAGGATGGTCTCAATCTCCTGACCTCGTGATCCACCTGCCTCGGCCTCCCAAAGTGCTGGGATTACAGACGTGAGCCACCGCGCCCGGCCCCCTATTTCTTATTCATTTGAAAATTCTGACTTTGGGAGTGGTGCGTATGCCTCCTAGGGAATTCTCTGAGCTGCACCATCACACCCAAGCCGTCAGCCCCTACCCAGGGCCCTGATGCTTCTTTCTATCTCCTTCACCTGTCAGGGATCCATCCTCACCTGTCTTTTCTACTTGTTATTGAACTCTGCTGCTGTCACCTCTTGCTTGATGCCAATTTATCTGCTGAAATCTAAACATAAGCCTGATCCCTGCATAGACCTTTGGGAGGCCGAGATGGTCGGATCACCTTAGGTCAAGAGTTCCAGACCAGCCTGGCCAACATGGTGAAACCCCGTCTCCACAAAAAACACACACAAAAAATAAAAATAAAAAAAAAATTAGCTGGGTATGGTGGCACACGCCTGTAGTCCCAGCTACTCGGGGAGGCTGAGGCAGGAGAATCACTTGAACCCAGGAGGCGGAGGTTGCAGTGAGCCAAGATCGCGCCACTGCACTCCAGCCTGGGCGACAGAGGGAGACTCCATCTCAAAAAACAAAAAACAAACAAACAAAAGACCTGTCAATTACTCTTCCCAATATAAAGGATACAAGCAAGAGCCTTAACCTGGCCTTCAGAAGCCCCTACAATCTGGTCTCTATTCTAACTACACCCTTGGAAAACCAAGCAACCTGCGGTTCCACCATCACGCAGGATCTCTCATGCCCAACCAATCTCTACCCCCTCCCCGAGGTGCTCTGGAGGATGGGGGTATCTCAGGGAAGGTGGTATCTCACCACCATCCGCATCCTCCCAGGTGCAGTAGCGGACTCAAAAGCTGAAGGAAGCCTCTACTCACACAGGACCAGGCCGTCGGAAGCCTGGAGGCCATAGTTTCCTCCTTCTCAATGTGTCTCTGGTGGAAGTGGGCAGAGTCCTGAGGAAACCGAAGTTGGGAGGGGAGGGAGAGGCTTAAGGTGTCCGCTGGGGAGCTACCGCAGCCTCCGCCCAGGAACGGCTCCCTCAGCGGGAAATGACAAGTCCACCCAAACTGGAAAACGCCCAGAGTGAGTCATAGGACTCCCACAGGACTGGATAGGACCAGTTTTCCCCTCCCCGAGAGGACACCGAGCCTCCTCTGTCCCGCGCATCGGAGGGGATCGCCTCCCTGGCCCAGACCCCACGCTTCCGGAGGCGATCTGTTCTCTCCACCGCGGCGCCCCGAAAGCACTGTCTCCCCTCGGGGTTCCGGGTCACCGACCCCATCCCACAGAGCGGCGGGAGGACTGCAGGCACGGCCGGCTCAGGGTACCCGAGCTCGGCGGAAAATGCAGAGGCCGCGCTCGCCCCCAACTAACGGTTCTGGACCCGCCCAGCGCAGCCCCCGACGGACGCAGGTTTCGCGCGGCACTCACCCGGCGCGCGCCGCACAATGGCGCCCGTCGGCCGGCGGCGAAGTGCGTCAGCCCGCCGTCCCGAACTACAACTCCCAGACGCCCCCGCGGCGCGCCAGCTTGCCTCACCCAGCGGCGGCCATCTTGACTGGCCGGTTAGGGGCGGCAGGCGAAGCCGGGGACAGCAGGAGGAGGATACTCGTCGATGTCCCTCGGCGGTCCAGCTAGGCAAGGGGAGGCCTCTGGTGAGGGACGCTAGGCCGCAGGGCCCCACACTAATGTGGGCGGCGACCCGAGCTGGGAGAGAGTCGTGCCCTGCCACGAAGGCGACCACTCTTGGGGCAGAGCAGAAGCTGGAGAAAGGAAAGGCGCTGGACAGGGGTCAGGCCGGAAGTGCTGGAATGGGTGATGCTTGGTTGGGTGGCGGTGGGGGCGGGATTAATTATGACGTCCCTTGGGAAGAGGAAGGGCGGGTAGGGCCGGAAGTGCAGGGGGCGGGCCTAACTGGCCGTCCATCTGGGTGGAGGGGCGGGGACAGGGAGGGCGGGGAGAATGTAGGAGGCGGGGCTAGAGTCCACGCAACTTTTGGGGAAGGAGGGGGACTGGAAGACGGAAGTCGCGGGGGGAGTGGGGAGAGGTACTGAAGTTCCACCAGTTTCAAAGTCGAGAAAGAAGGGGAGGACTGGGAGAGCCGGAAGTGTGCAGGAGTTGGGACTGACGGCACTTATGTTTCTGGGAGATGGGTCCTGCCTGAAAGTGAGGGTGGACAGGGCCAAGTGTCCACTCAAGGTCAGGGAGGGGAGGGAAACTCGGAGGACCGGAAGTGTGATGGGAACGTGGCCAAACGTCCACCCTAGTTCTGGGGATTAGAGGAAGGGAGTAGGAAGGTCAGGGGTGTGCAAGGGGAAGGAGGGAAGACTAGGTGGACCACAAGTGTGATGGGAATGAGGCCAAACGTCTACCCTAGTTCTGGAGAGATGATCAGGGCTAACTGTACCCCAGGCATTGGGGAGGAGGAGCAGGATCCTCTGCCTAGTGTCCCCCTGTGGTCCAGTTTGCTCCTGGAAGCTGAGGTGCTCATGTCTAGGGAGAGGAAACCTAAGTCTGTAGCTGTCCAGGACCTGGTGTGTGCCACCCATCCTTGGGCCCAGGGTGCTCTCATCTTCCTTGGGAGCTCAGGACAAGGAGGTATTCTCTTGGCTTCCTCAAGGACCGACATCTGGTGTTTTCTTATCTTCCTTAGGTCCCAGGTCCCAGTATGGTCTTGTCTTCTTGGGACCTGAGGGCCCTAATGATCTCTCTCAGTGCTCAGGACCCTGTGTCCTCTTTCTTGATATTTCCTGGCAGGTCTCAGCAGCCCTCTGCCTCCCTCTGGTGGTCGTGTACACTGCCTGCTAAACTTGTTCCACGGGTTGTTGGTTTTTTTGGTCACTGTGGAGGATCCAACCTCAGGCTACACATTGTTTAATTGTTGCTGTTAGTGTGTTGATTTTGGCATAGGAGTATTTACTCAGAGACTGTGCAGATATCTTATAGTCTAATAATATTTCATTGGATTTTTCGTGTCTATTATAGATACAACACCATCCCCAATTAATAAGTAATTTGATATCTTCTTTTTCCATATTTCAACTTTAAAAAATTAACATTGTATAGTCCTAGCTAGTATGACAGAGCTATGTTAAGTAGTCATGTTTACTAATAGTCTTGTTTTGTTCTGGATTTGAATAGGATACGTCTAGCCCTTCATAATCACAAGGAAGCAAACCCCCTTGGAAATTCTTTTTTTTCTTTCTTTTTTTTTTTCTTGAGACAGGGTCTTGCTCTGTCACCCCGACTGGAATGCATTGGTGCGATCACAGCTTACTGCAGCCTCCACCTCCTGGGCCCAAGTGATCCGCCCACCTTAGCCTCTCAAATAGCTGGGACAGGTGCACACCACCACACCTGGCTTTTTTTTTTTTGGAGACAGAGTCTTGCTCTGTCGCCCAGGCTGGAGTGAGGTGGCACAATCTCGGCTCACTGCAACCTCTGCTTCCTGGGTTCAAGCGATTTTCCTGCCTCAGCTGCCCAAGTAGCTTGGACTACAGGTGTGTGCCACCATGCCTGGCTAATTTTTGTATTTGTAGTAGAGACGGGGTTTCTCCATGTTAGCCAGCCTGGTCTCGAACTCCTGACCTCAGGCAGTCTGCCCACCTCAGCCTCCCAAAGTGCTGAGATTATAGGCATGAGCCACCCCGCCTGGCCTCTTTTGTACTTTTTTGTAGAGACAGAAACCTCACTATGTTGCCCAGGCAGGTGGAAATTCTTCTAATGATTTCTTTCTATTTATGTGGTATAGGATAAAACCTGATTTTTGATTAAAAGAATTTGTTTTTGAGACAGGGTCTTGTTCTGTTGCCCAGGCTGGAGAGCAGTGCTGCAGTCATGGCTTACTGCTGGCCCAACCTCCTGGGCTCAAGTGTTCCTCCCATCTCAGCTTTCCAAGTAGCTAGGACTGACTACTGGTGTGCATCACCACACCTGGCTAATTTTTAATAAATATTTGTGTAGAGATGAGGTCTCAGTGTGTTGTCAGGGCTGGTCTTGAACTCCTGGACTCAAGCAATCCTCCCGCCTTGGCCTCCCAAAGTGCTGGGATTGCAGGCGTGAGCCACCATGCCTGACCAAAGATGTTTTGTTTTTTTTTTTTTGTTTTGAGACAGAGTCTCGCTCTTTCGCTCAGGCTGGAGTGCAATGGCGTGATTTCGGCTCAACTGCAACCTCTGCCTCCCGGGTTCAAGTGATTCTCCCTGCCTCAGCCTCCTGAGTAGCCGGGCGTGCCACCATGCCCGGCTAATTTTTGTATTTTTAGTAGAGATGGGGATTTGCCATGTTGGCCAGGCTGGTCTCGAACTCCTGACCTCAGAGGATCCGCCCACCTCGGCCCCGCAAAGTGCTGGGATTACAGGCTTGAGCCACTGTGCCCAACCTAAAGATGGTTTTATATAAGCATATTATTGAAGATTGATTTATGAGAGCCATTTTAATTCAACTTTTAATAACTGCATACTCTTTTCCTGTTTAGCAAATTAAATATGCTGTTTATTGTAATTTGTAAAATAAAAATGACTTCTGAAGAAATGTTAACTATTAAACATGTAAAATGTTGAAAAAATTTATTCATCGTTGTTGGATTTAGACAGTGCCTCGATTGCTTGTTCAAAACCTTCTGAGCCAGATGTATTTTGGAATTCATGATCATTTGGATTTTAGTAGGATGGTAATGTATTTACACCATACAGTGTGTAAATCCCTAAGAGGTGTGGGGTAGCACCTGCCATCAAACACATGAGTATATCTGTAGCAAAATACAAGAAGATTTACACTAGGTGGAAGAGAGACAAAATATAAATAGCCTTGTTCATATAAATTTTGCAGACTCATAACAGGGAGAAATTTTCTGTTAGAAAATATCTGGAATTTTGAATTACATAGAAGGCATTATGGATCATAAGTGAAAATGTGTGTTGTAGAAATAGTAGTTATTTCATTCAATTGCAAAGTTTAATTTTTACTTTTTCTCTCTTAATATAGTCTGCATAGGGCCAGGTGCGGTGGCTCACACCTGTAATCCCAGCACTTTGGGAGGCTGAGGTGGGTGGATCACCTGAGGTCAGGAGTTCGAGACCAACCTGGCCAACATGGTGAAACCCCGTCTCTACTAAAGGGGGCTCCATCTCAAATATATATATATTCCACATAGTCAGGCATAGGTTTATTGAGATACTGAGTTATTTAAATATATTAATATTTTTCCATGTGCTTTTTTTTTTTGAGATGGAGTTTTGCTCTTGTTGCCCAGGCTGGAGTGCAATGGCACTGCAACCTCCGCCTCTGCCTCCCGGGTTCTAGCGGTTCTCCTGCGTCATTCTCCCTAATAGCTGAGATTACAGGCAGATGCCACGACGCCCAGCTAATTTTTATATTTTTAGTAGAGACAGGGTTTCACCATGTTGGTCAGGCTAGTTTCGAACTTCTGACCTCAGGTGATCTGCCCATTTTGGCCTCCCAAAGTGCTGGGATTACAGGAGTGAGCCACTGCCCCTGGCCCCATATGCTTTTTTAAATCAATGGTCTACTGTTGGTTTAAATTAAACAACATATGGCCGGGCGCAGTGGCTCACGCCTGTAATCCCAGCACTTTGGGAGGCCAAGGTGGGCAGATCATGAGGTCAGGAGATCGAGACCATCCTGGCTAACATGGTGAAACCCCGTCTCTACTAAAAATACAAAAATTAGCCGAGCATGGTGGCGGGCGCCTGTAGTCCCCGCTACTCGGGAGGCTGAGACAGGAGAATGGCATGATCCCAGGAGGTGGAGCTTTCAGTGAGCCGAGTTTGTGCCACTGCCTTCCAGCCTGGGTGACACAGCGAGACTCCATCTCAAAATAAATAAATGAATAAATAAATAATAAATAAACAACATATGACTAAGAATAAAATATGTAAAGCTATAAGTTGGCCCAAACCATTATGGCAGCTGGACCATTATGGCAGCTAGTGGTGTTCAACTGAGTCCTAAGCCAGCTGTGCAACTGAATCATGGACCCAGGATTTGATCTCCACTCATCATTCTCTGTCTCTGTTTCATCACACAGAGCATCTCAAATTGTTCCATGTAAAGGGGGATACATTTTAAAATCATTTTTAAAAAGAAGAAAGATGTGTCTTTCCATCTTTGAAATGTGAGCTTTGAGGACACCTCTCTGAACTTCTGAGAGCTTGGGAATGTAAGGTTACAGAAGTATGGATAAATTAATGTGCATTTGAACTATAAATTATTAATATCATAGCTTTTTTCCCAGAAAAGAGGCTCTTTGGTTACTGCTGCTCATTCATTCTTTGCCTGTTTTCCCCAACATCAAAGGTAAACTCACCATCAAGATAATCCACACTGGACATAACACATGGGGGAAAGGCTAAGAATTTGGGCTCTGAGCAGAGGCCGATCACAAACAACCTCCAGAAAACGGCCTGCCTCAAAGAGGAATGCAGGAAGTCCACAGAATGCCGGACAAACCAGTGAGGCAGGTTTGGAATAATCTAGTACATGCCTTTGCACCCTGTATCCGTTAAGGCATGTTTGGTTGGAAATAAATAAAAACCCAAATAACCAACGCCGTTTTCCCACAAAGAAAATCTGCAAGTATAGGTCTTTTCTGGTGCTGGTTAAGCTGCCCACTGAAGTCACGGAGGATGAGGCTCACTCTTTCCCTCTTGCTGTCCTTAGTGTGGGGCATCTTTTCTTTAGGCCATTAGGATGTAGACAAGGAACAAGCCAGCCACACACCTCCTGCTAGTCCTGAACACAACCCATCTCAATATTTCCTGCCTTAGGAAATCGACCTTTTCTTCTCTGATGAGAACTGACTCCTGTCTCTCTTCTTGAGTCTTTTTCTTGTTTATTCCTCCATTCAATAACCGTGGAGGATACACACATCGAAAATGACAGAAATCTGCTCTCAGCAATGCTGAACATTTTCCAGATATTCTTGTTACTACAAATAAAGTATGAGGCCAGGCTCATACCTATAATCCCAGCACTTTGGGAGGCCAAGGCGGGAGGGTCACTTGAGCTCAGGAGTTCAAGACCAGCCTGAGCAACGTAGCAAAACCTCATCTGTATTAAAGCAAAAAATGTAGCTGGATGTGGTGACACACTCCTGTAGTCTTAGCTACACAAGAGGCTGAAGTAGGAGGATCATGAGCTAAGGAAGTTGAAGCTGCAGTGAGCCCTGATTATGCCACTGCACTCCAGCCTGGGCGACAGAGCTTGACCTTGTCTTAATAAATCAATCAATCTGATATGAAATAGACCTGAGTGCTGTAATGATTGGGAAAGGAAACCTAAAAATGCATTTATTAACATTAACATACTTTAAAAACCCAATTGAAAACTTTAAAAATCAAGATTACAATAAGCTAGGCAGAATACAAAAGATGGACAAATCAACACCACAAAGCAATGCACAAAATCTATACCTGCAACAAGTATATTGAAATGGAGGTTCCTGTCACAATAGAATCATAAAAACAAAATGTCTGAAATTAGTTTGTTGGGAAATGTGAAGATAAGTTTTGGAAGAATTACAAGTAAACTTACATAAATGAAAATGCTTATCAAGTTCAAGGATAGATGGCCAATGAGTAAAGTGTCAGTTACCCAAATTCATCACTAGATACAATGAAAGAGCACATAGGATTATAACAGAGCCTTTTGGGAGGCTTGACCCTTGAACTTTCTTTTGTGCTTCCTCCTCCTCCAGTGTGAGAAAGAACTGATTGCTATTCTTCACATAACCAATTGGCTTCAAACTCATCTTAAGGAGAAACGCCTGCAGAAATGACTAGTTCAGGCATGTTCTTTGCTTTTGCCAATAAATTTGGACTTCAGAGCCATCAATAGCATACAGTTCTTATCACGGAGTTATTTAGGGGCCATGGCGAGGAAATCATTTTGTGGTTCAGCAAGTTGGCACAGTTTATTTTGAATGGAAGTGTGTGATTAATTCTGGGCACCTATTTTCACCCAGAGAGGACCCATGCCACACTCTATGAACAGAGAAAGAGAGACAGCATCCACATCTGCATGGATCACTTGAGTCCACCACATCCCAGAGTGTGCTTCCATGTCACACTCTTGGACTTGTGGAATATCTCCTTTCCATCGTTGCAGCCCCTTGGCTGTGCCTCTGAGGCTACCAGGCCCTTCCTTCTGACTGCAGTGGCCTCTGCTCTGCATGAGATGTCTGCCTTGCAGGAAGTGTCTCTGAGTCAGGGCAGCAGGGGCCATCCTGAGCCAGCAGAACTGGTTACCTGTGATGGCTGCTCCTAGGAGTCCCCAAACTGTGGCTTAGCATGACCAAACGAGACTTGAGAGCAAAAGCTGGTGGGGAGCAAGAAAGGGTTATCATGTAAGGTGTAGTTTTGGCAGAAGTGACAGTATGCCACCATTCATGATCTTAAATTTCACTGACTGGGCACAGTGGCTCACATCTGTAATCCCAGCACTTTGGGAGGCTGAGGTGGGTGGACTGCTTGAGGTCAGGAGTTCAAGACCAGCCTGGCTGATATGGTAAAAACCTTTCTCTACTAAAAATACAAAAATTAGCCAGGTGTGATGATGCATGCCTGTAATCCCAGCTTCTTGGGAGGCTGAGGCATAAGAATTAATTGAACCCAGGAGGCAGAGGTTGTAGTGAGCTGAGATTACACCACTGCACTCCAGCCTGGGTGAGAAAGCAAGACTGACTCAAAAAAAATGTTTGTTTGTTTGTTTTTCATTAAGTCCAGGCTGGGCACAGTGGCTCATGCCTGTAATCCCAACACTGTGAGACCAAGGTGGGAGGACTGCTTGAGCCCAGGAGTTCAAAACCAGCCTGGGGAACATACTTGCCCAGTTTTTTGTGTGAGATTCCATCCCTACGAAAACAAAACACTAGTTGCGTGTGGTGGTGTACACCTGTAATCCAGGTACTCGGGAGGCTGAGGTGGGAGGTTCGCCTGAGCCTGGGAAGTTGAGGCTGTAGTCGCACCACTACACTCCAGAGACTCTGTCTCAGCACAAATAAAACTAAAAATTACAAAATAAAAAATGTAATTAAATCCAGATGTAAGGGCTTCTACGGTTGACCCCTGGGCTCAAGTATGAGCTGTAACCAGTCACTGTCCCTCCTTTGGCTCAGCCCTCCCCAGTGTATGGCCTTGGTTCTTTCTGAGGCACACGTCTTTGCAGTCCTAAGATGGTGATTACAGTTCCAAGTCTAGCATTTAGCCGTGCAACATTTGGCTGAAGAAGTTGGCATCAGGAAGTGTATTTGCTTTCTATTGCCACTGTAGCAAATTACCAAAACTTTGTGTCTTAAAACAACAACAAATTTATTGTCTCACAGCTCTGGAGGTCAGAAGTCCAAAATGGGTCTTACTAGGCTAAAATAAAGATGTCAGCAGGACTGTGGTCCTTCTGGGGGGTCTAGGAGAGAATCCATTTCTTTGCCTTTTCCAGTTTCTAGAGACTACCTGCCTTCCTTGGCTTATGGCCCCTTCCTCCAATTTTAAAGCCAGCAGTGTAGCATTTTCAAATCTCTCATTCCATCATCACATCATCTACTCTGATTCCTGCCTCAAGTTATACAAAGACATTTGATTAAATAGGGCCCGCCCCAAGTAATTCAGAATAATCTCCCCATCTCAAGAATCTGGCCAGGCATGGTGGCTCATACCTGTAATCCCAACACTTCGGGAGGCTGAGGCAGGAAGATTGCTTGAGCCAAGGAGTTTGAGACTGGTCTGGGCAACAGAGCAAGACCGTGTCTTAACAACAACAAAAATAGCTGGGTGTGGTGGCATGCATCTGTGGTCCCAGCTACTCAGGAAGCTGAGGCAGGAGGATCGCTTGAGCCCAGGAGTTCCAGGCTACAGTGAGCCATGATCACACCACTGCACTCCAGCCTGGGTGACAGAGTGAGACCCTGTCTCTAAAACAAAAACAGATCCTTAATGGCATCTTCAATGTCCCCTTTGCCATGCGAAGGTAACATATGTATAGGTTCCAGGGTTTGGAATGAGGACATCTCTGAAGGAAAGGGGGCATTACTCTCCCTACCACAAAGAAGTAATACAACATTTTGGCCGGACGCAGTGGCTCACGCCTGTAATCCCAGCACTTTGGGAGGCTGAGGCGGGCAGATCACGAGGTCAGGCATTCGAGAACAGCCTGGTCAACACGGTGAAACCCCTTCTCTACTAAAAATACAAAAAATTAGCCGGGTGTGGTGGTGCGCGCCTGTAGTCCGAGCTACACAGGAGGCTGAGGCAGAAGAATCGCTTGAACCTGGGAGATGGAGGTTGCAGTGAGCCGAGATCGCGACACTGCACTCCAGCCTGGGCAACAGAGTGAGACTTTGTCTCAAAAAAAAAAAAAAAAAAAAAGTAATACAACATTTTCGGAAGACTTCTCTGTTGTTGACTCGCTCTGACCCTGTTAGCCAGGATTGACACATGCATCCATGTCCTGGCTGGGAGAAAAGCTGGAAAAGAGTGTAACTGGTTTTTTTGGCATCTGTAGAAGGCGCCAGACTGTGCTGCAATGAAGGTGGGTGGCACAGCCACAGTAGCTGGCACAAAAGTCTGCTTGGGTGGAGCCCATCTACCCCAGAGACCTCTCCTCACATTAAGTTATAAGGCCACAAACCAGATCCGGATGGAAGTTTCCGGACTTGCTGCCAGCAAAGATCTGGAACTGAGGGTCAACAGCTCATGCCTGCAATCCCAGCACTTTAGGAGGCTGAGGCAGGAGGATCACTTGAGGCCAGGAGTTAAAGACCAGCCTGGGCAACATAGTGAGACTCCATCTCTACCAAAAAAATTTAAAAATTAGCTGGGCATGGTGACATGTGCCTGTAATCCCAACTACTCAGGAGTCTTAGGTGCGAGGATTTCTCGAGCCCGGGAGATTAAGGCTGCAGTGAGTTATGATCAGGCCACTGCACTCCAGCCTGGGCAACAGAGTGAGACCCTGTCTCCTAAAAAAAAAAAAAAATGGAACTGAGTGAAGTCCCAACATCCAGGGAGCAGCTACCAGGACATGGGGACCCTGGTGGAGGATTGAATGGGGTGCTGGAAGGGAAAGATGGCATTTCGCTCAGGTAAGGGAGAAGTGTGAGCTCTCCCTTGGGTATAGGAGGGAAGCCAGAATTTCAAAACGTGACAGAGAGAGAGAGACAGAGAGACAGATTGTGAAATTGAGAGAAAAGTCTTTTTCACGTGAGGCTGCGCGGTGGCTCACGTCTGTAATCCCAGCACTTTTGGAGGCTGAGGTGGGCAAATCACCTGAGGTCGGGAGTTTCAGACCAGCCTGACCAACGTGGAGAAACCCCATCTCTACTAAAAATACAAAATTAGCCAGGCGTGGTGGCACATGACTGTAATCCCAGCTACTGGAGAGGCTGAGCAGGAGAATCACTTGAACCCGGGAGGCAGAGGTTGTGGTGAGCTGAGATCGCGCCATTGCACTCTAGCCTGGGCAATGCCCATCAAAAAAGAGTGAAACGCCATCTCAAAAAAAAAGAAAAAAAAAGATTCATTTGTGAGACCTTTCCACTCATCCCTTTCCTCAGATACACCCCAGAACACCCTCAGAACACCCCAGATACCCTTTTGGGCAGCTATGGGTGAAGCTGCCCCTCAATCTCAGCTCCAGTGGATGGCCCACTGGCCTCATTCTGTCTCCGTTGCTGCAGTGATTAATCCAGGGGCATGCAAGCACTCTGGTCCAAGCCAGTCAGTGCAAGGCACCCTCCTGTCCATGACAAGTGTCAAAGCAATGAACATGGACGGAGAGTGAAGCCCAGGACTTTGATTAAAAGTTAGGAGAGTGTGTTTGGCTGAAAAATGTCCCCCAAAGATGTCAGGCCTGAATTCTTGGAACCTATGAATGTTGCGTTATGTAGAGACAGGGGCTGCATATGTATTTAAAGATCTTGAGAGGGGAGATGATCCTGGATTGTGCATGTAATCACATGTATCTTTACAAGAGGGAGGCAGGGACAGATGTGACCACACATAGGCAGAAAAGGAGAAGGTGATGTGACCGTGGAGGCAGAGACTGGAGCTGTGCAGTCACAAGTCAAAACATGCCAGCAGGCCGGGCGCAGTGGCTCATGCTTGTAATCCCAGCACTTTGGGAGGCCGAGGCAGGCAGATCACCTGAAGCCAGGAGTTTGAGACCAGCCTGGCCAACATGATGAAACCCCGTCTCTACTAAAAATACAAAAGTTGGCTGGGCACAGTGGCTCATGCCTGTAATCCCAGCACTTTGGGAGGCTGAGGCGGGTGGATCACAAGGTCAGAAGTTCAAGACTAGCCTGGCCAAGATAGTGAAAACCCGTCTCTACTAAAAATACAAAAGTTAGCCAGGCATGGTGGCAGGCGCCTGTAATCCCAGCTACTCAGGAGGCTGAGGCAGGGAATTGCTTGAACCTGGGAGGCGGAGGTTGCAGTGAGCCAAAATCACACCACTGCACTCCAGCCTGGGTGACAGAGTAAGACTCCCTCTCAAAAAAATAAAAAAATAAAATAAAAATAGGCCGGGCGGGGTACCTCACGCTTGTAATCCCAACACTTTGGGAGGCCAAGGGGGGGTGGATCACGAGGTCAGGAGTTTGAGACCAGCCTGGCCAATATGATGAAACCCTGTCTCTACTAAAAATTTAAAAATTAACTGGACGTGGTGTTGCACGCCTGTAACCCCAGTTACTGGGGAGGCTGAGGCAGGAGACTGGCTTGAACTCAGGAGGCAGAGGTTGTAGTGAGCTGAGACGTGCTACTGCACTCCAGCCTGGGTGATAGAGCAAGACTCTGTCTCAAAAAATAAAAAAATAATAAAATTAAATTAAAAATAAAAATACAAAAATTACCTGGATGTGGTGACATGCGCATGTCATGCCAGCTAGTCGGGAGGCTAAGGCAGGAGAATCGCTTGAACCCGGGAGGGGGAGATTACAGTGAGCCAAGATCACACCACTGCACTCCAGCCTGGGCAACAGAGTAAGGCTCCGTCTCAAAAAAAAAAAAAAAAAAGCCAGCAGCCACCATAAGCTGGAAGAGGCAAGGAATGAATTCTCTCCTGGAGCCTCCAAGGCTTGAATTTGGCCCAGGTATGGATTTCATGCTTCCGGCCTCCAGAAATGAGAGAATCTATTTGTCTTACTTTAATATTTCTCTTATCTCTTGTTTTAAGACACTGAGTTTGTAGTAATTTGTTACAGTGGTGATAGGAAACTAATACAGAAAAAAAAAGCCCAGTCTCTTGAAAGAAGTTGAGCCATATTGGCCGGGCGTGGTGGCTCACACCTGTAATCCCAGCACTTTGGGAGGCTGAGGCGGGTGGATCACCTAAGGTCAGAAGTTCAAGACCAGCCTAGTCAACATGGTGAAACCCCCGTCTCTACTAAATATACAAAAATTAGCCGGGCGTGGTGGTGGGCGCCTGTAATCCCAGCTACTCGGGAGGCTGAGACAGGAGAATCGCTTGAACCCGGGAGGCAGAGGTTGCAGTGAGCCGAGATCGCGACATTGTACTCCAGCCAGGGCAACAAGAGTGAAACTTCATTCCAAAAAAAAAAAAAAAAAAAAAGAAGAAGCTGAGCCATAAGGCTGTCAGTGGGAGCCAATTTAAGAATAATCAATACTGCAGACCACTGAGGGGAAGGGTGGAAGGAAATTGAGTATTTGGAGACATTGTTGAGCTGCTGGCTCATACTGATCCTGAAGCTATTCTGGCTAACTCTCCAGGCATGTGAGTAAACATTATCTGATGACGTGGGTTAGCTGCTACCAGCCCAGCAAGCATCCTGACTCATAGCACAGCAGTGGCAGAGGCATTTGTTTTGTCTTTGTTTGGAGACTGTTTAAAATGGCAGCATAAGTCCTTTGGATCCCATCATCCCATCAGCTTGCATATAGGTCTTCTTTCCTTCTTTCTTTCCTTCTTTCTCTCTTTCCTTCTTTCTCTCCTTCTCTCTTCCCTCCTCTCTTCCCTCTATTCTTCCCTTCTTCCTTTCCTTTCCCTTCTCTCCCCTCCCCTCCCGTCTCCTCTCCTTTCCTTTCCTTCCTTAGATGGACTCTCACTCTGTCGCCAGGCTGGAGTGCAGTGGCGCAATATCGGTTCACTGCAACCTCTGCCTCCTGGGTTCAAGTGATTCTCCTGCCTTAGCCTCCCGAGTACCTGGGACTTCAGATGCTCGCCTCCATGCCCAGCTGATTTTTGTATTTTTAGTAGAGACGAGGTTTCACCATGTTAGTCAGGATGGTCTCCATCTCTTGATCTCACGATCCGCCCACCTTGGACTCCCAAAGTGCTGGGATTACAGGCGTGAGCCACTGTGCCCGGCCAGCTTGCATATAGTTTTAAAACTTTTATTTATTTCTTTCTTTATTTATTTTTGAGACAGAGTCTCACTCTGTCGCCCAGGCTGGAGTGCAGTGGCGCAATCTCGACTCACTGCAACCTCCACCTCCTGGATTCAAGCAATTCTCCTGCCTCAGCCTCCCAAGTAGCTGGGACTACAGGCGTGCACCGTCTCACCTGGCTAATTTTTGTATTTTTTTAGTAGAGACGGGGTTTCACCATGTTGGCCAGGATGGTCTTGATCTCCTGACTTCGTGATCCGCCCACCTCGGCCTCCCAAAGTGCTGAGATTACAAGCACGAGTCACCACGCCCGGCCGTTTTAAAACTTTTAAAATTAAAGTTTAGTCCAGTCACGGTGGCTCACACCTGTAATCCCAGTACTTTGGGAGGTCAAGGCATTAGGATCACTTGAGATCAGGAGTTCAAGACTAGCCTGGCCAACATGGTGAAACTCTGTCTCTACTAAAAATACAAAAACTAGCCAGGTGTGGTGGTGCTTGCTTGTAATCCCAGCTCCTCAGGTGGTTGAGGCAGGAGAATCACTTAAACCCAGGAGGCAGAGGCTGGAGTGAGCAGAGATCACACAACTGCACTCCAGCCTGGGCAACAGAGTGAGACTGTTGTCTCAAAAAATTAATTAATTAAATTAAAGTTTATATGTAACCTTTATATACATAAACTATATAAGCTTTAAACATATATATACACATAAACATATATATAGGCATAAAGTCCTCAACTTCACAACTTGATGAGTTTTTTTATATATGTCTAAATATATAAATATATAATGTCCATATATAAAAATCCATCACACAGGTCAACAGAAAATATATTTCCAAAACCCTGTACCACTTCCTGGTTAATATCTCCCAGAGTTAACCACTATCCTGATTATCATCATAAGTTTTTTTTCTGTCCTCAAACTTCATATAAATGGAATCATATAGTCTATGGTTTTCTGTGTCAACATAATGTGTTAGAGATTCATCCAAGTTGCTGCATGTATCAGTAGTTAATGTTTGGTAAATTGCTGAGTAGTATTCCACTATGGATGTACCACATTTTGTTTATACATTTTATTATTGATGGACTGCTGGGCTGTATCCAGTTTTGGCCCCTTATGACTAATGCTTCTATGAGTGTCCTTTTAGATGTCTTTTGGGGACATGGCTCATACTTCCATTGTAAGAAATTACTATTATGTTCTCTTGGGCAGTTTTTCCAGAAAGAATACAAATTTTGAATGCTAACAGGTCTGAAAATGCTTACTCTCTCCTCATATGTGTGAATGATATATTTGCTGAGCATCAAATCCTGAAATCAGAGTCTTTGTGTTTCTGGAATCTTCACTTATCTTCTAGTGTCCAGGGTTTCAGAAGAGAAACCAATGCTGCTTATACATACCCTGTGCTCTTTGTAAGGGATTTGCAATGAAACTTGTGAAGTTTGCACTAGTTTTGGAGTATGGGTACTTCACCAGACTATGATGTCTTTTTAACCCTGCCAAGACATTGGACATGCCCTTAGAAATGTGAAGATACGTACAACTCATTTTTTTTATTTTTTTGAGATGGAGTTTTGCTCTTGTCACCCAGGCTGGAGTGCAATGGCACAACCTTGGCTCACTGCAACCTCTACCTCCCGGGATCAACTGATTCTCCTGCCTTAGCCTCCCAAGTAGCTGGGATTACAGGCATGTGCCACCACACTCAGCTAATTTTTCTATTTTTACTAGAGACAGGGTTTCACCATGTTGGCCAGGCTTGTCTCAAACTCCTGACCTCAGGTGATCCTCCTGCCTCGGCCTCCCAAAATGCTGGGATTACAGGTGTGAGTCACCGTGCCTGGCCAACATACAACTCTTTATGATGCTTCTATTCAAGTAGATAGAAGAATGCTATTGGCAAAGTATTAGCAAGTTAGTATAAAGCTCTCTGATTTGTTTGGAGTGATAATATTTGGATTATGCAGAAAAAAATTGATAGCATATCCTTCAGCCCTCATCTAGGACTATCATAAAATTATACACATAAGGATCCCCATGATGCTAAAAGGTGTATGATTCCTGCACCATTCTTCAAGGTTGACGGTTCTTTTATTCATACGTGATGTAGAAAAATAGATACGCTGTTGCCATATGATTCCTGCACCATTCTTCAAGGTTGACGGTTCTTTTATTCATACGTGATGTAGAAAAACAGATACGCTGTTGCCACTGATAACATTTATGGGCAACCCGCTTGGGTCCCCTTCCACACTGTGGAAGCTTTGTTCTTTCGCTCTTTGCAATAAATCTTACTGTTGCTCACTCTTTAAAAAAAAAAAAATTTACATGTGATTACCTATGACAACCATTTCTCTTCTTTTCTTTTCTTTTAGACAGGGTCTCGTTTAGTCACCCAGGCTGGAGTGCAGTGGTACCATCTCAGCTCACTGTAGCCTTGACCCCCTCAAGCAGTCCTCACTTCCCAAGTAGCTGGGACTACAGGAATGCACCACCACGCACAGCTAATTTTTGTATTTTTATTAGAGACGGGGTTTCTCCATGTTGCACAGGCTGGTCTTGGACTCCTGAGCTCAAGTGATCCACCTGCCTTGCCCTCCAAAAGTGCTGGGATTACAGGTGTGAGCCTCTGTGCCCAGCCATGATTATCTATGGCAACCATTTTTTTTTTTTTTTTTGAGATGGAGTTTTGCTCTGTTGCCCGGGCTGGAGGGCAGTGGTGTGATCTTGGTTCACTGCAACCTCCACCTCCTGGGTTCAGCTATTCTCCTGCCTCAGCCTCCTGTGTAGCTGGGATTACAGGCATATGGGAGACATTTCTTTTTCTTTTTCTTTTTTTCTTGTTTTTTTTGAGACGGAGTCTTGCTCTGTCACCCAGGCTGGAGTGCAGTGGCACGATCTCGGCTTACAGCAAGCTCTGCCTCCTGGGTTCACACCATTCTCCTGCCTCAGCCTCCTGAGTAGCTGGGACTCCAGGCGCCCACCACCACACCCAGCTAATTTTTTTTTTTTGTATTTTTAGTAGAGACGGGGTTTCACGGTGCTAGCCAGGATGGTCTTGATCTCCTGACCTCGTGATCCACCCGCCTCGGACTCCCAAAGTGCTGGGATTACAGGCGTGAGCCACTGTGCCCAGCCGCATATGGCCAGACATTTCTATGAGACATTGTTCATCAGGCCTAGACCCTGAGTCCCCATTAAATGGTGTTTCTATGGCAAATTAGGGACATATGTAGAATAGAACTGCTTATCCCTGCTGATCTGTGGCTGCAGGGAGTCACAAGTTTGCAGTCTTGTTACATTCAGATACTTAAGAGTTAAAAAATAACTGGTGGCTTTTGCCTCCTTTATCCCTGATGTCAAATAAAATGGAATTCCAACCAATAGCTTTTCCACATTGATCTTTTTTCAATGAGTTTTTCTAATTTGTTTGAATTTCCTGGTGTCAAATAAGGTAAAAGCCATGGTTGAAAGCTTGCCAATACTGACTGCATTCATAGTGTTCTCCAGTATGAGTCCTCTTACGTTCAATAATATGAGAACAACTCCTGAATGCTCTTCCACGCAAATTACATGTATGGGGTTTTCCTCAGTATGAGTCCTCTGATGTCACATCATAAGGGCTAGGCTACGTCTGAAGCCTTTCCCACGATGACTGTATCCATCACTTTGCTCTCCAGTGTGTCTTCTGTGATTTTTGAGTAGTGGAGGAGCAAAGTGTAAAACCTTTCCCTGAATGATTCCCTTCATAAGGTGTCTCTATAGATTCTTAGCTATAGGGTAAAAGTGTTCACTTCTTTAGAAGAATTTCCTAAATTCACTGCAAATATATAATTTCCCACAAGTATAAATTGTCTCATATTGAATAAGGTATAATTTGTGTCTACAGCCTTTGCTACAGCGATTACATTTATAGTATTGTTCTCCTGTATAAGTTCTGAAACATACTGAAAGAAATATTTCTTAATAAAGACTCTCCAACACTCAACACATTTGTAAGGTCTATTTCCTGAGAGAGTTTGCTCATACATCAGTGGGGTTGAGCTCTGTTTAAAGACTTCTTTACACATACTACATTTATATGGTCTCTCTCCAGTATGACTTCTCTGATGTCAGAAAGTATTTACCATAAACAGGGATTTCTCACATTCAGAACATCTGGAGGGTTTGTCAACTGTGTGAGTGCTCTCAAAACAAAGATGAGAGGAGCTCTGAATACACTTTTCCACATTCCTTACATTCAACTCAACTCTCTCTAACATGAATTCGCTTACATTGACTGAGACTTGTGCTACACTTAAAAAATTTACTACGTATATTTCATATATAAGGCTTTTCTACACTGAACTGTTTGCAAGTCTAAGAAGTTGAGTGTTTTGACCAAAAGCATTCCCAAAATCATAATTTTCAGGGGTTTTTCCCTGTGCATTTATGGTTTATTAAATCTGAATGTTGTTTTACAATGAGTCATGTATGTAGTGGTATTCATTGATAAGAATATTGTTTAGTGGGCCAGGCACGGTGGCTCACGCCTGTAGTCCCAACATTTTGAGAGGCCAACGTGGGTGGATCACAAGGTCAGGAGTTCAAGACCAGCCTGGCCAAGATGGCGACACCCCTGTCTCTACTAAAAATACAAAAATTAGCCAGGTGTGGTGGCGGGTGCCTGAATCCCAGCTACTTGAGAGGCCGAGGCAGAGAATTGCTTGAACCCAGGAGGTGAAGGTCGCAGTGAGCCAAGATCATGCCATTGCACTCCAGCCTGGGTGACAGAATGAGACTCTGTCTCAAAAAACAAAAACAAGGCCAGGCGCGGTGGCTCATGCCTGTAATGGCAGCACTTTGGGAGGCCAAGGAGGGTGGATCATGAGGTCAGGAGATCGAGACCATCCTGACTAACACGGTGAAACCCCGTCTCTACTAAAAATACAAAAAATTAGCTGGGTGTGGTGGCGCGCGCTTGTAGTCCCAGCTACTCTGGAAGCTGAGGCAGGAGAATGGCATGAACCCGGGAGGCAGAGCTCGCAGTGACCTGAGATCCTGCCACTGCACTCCAGCCTGGGTGACAGAGCAAGACTCTGTCTCAAAAACAAAACAAAACAAAACAAAAAAGAATATTGTTTAGTGGAAGAAGGCTTGAATTCTACTTAACATTAGCTGTGCATTTCTTATTCTTGCAACCTCATTCCTGAATCAGTGTTCCTCAAGCATCATTTGTTTGACTCATCTCTCCTGGTCCTCCTTCTGCTTCTCTAAGTGGACCTTACAGTCCTGGTTTCTTCCAAATGTGAAGAAATGAAGCTCATTCTTTGTGAATCTTTCCACTTTCAGGATGGCATTTTTGTTGTTGTTGTTTTTATTTTGTTTTGTTTTGTTTTGAGACGGAGTCGTCCTCTGTCACCCAGGCTGGAGGGCAGTGGCGCAGTCTCGGCTTACTGCAACCTCTGCCTCCTGGGTTCAAACAATTCTCCTGCCTTAGCCTCCCAGGTAGCTGGGATTACAGGTACACGCCACCATGCCCAGCCAATTTTTGTATTTTTTTTTTAGTAGAGACGGGGTTTCACCGTGTTGGCCAAGCTGGTCTCAAACTCCTGACCTTGTGATCCACCCACCTCAGTCTCCCAAAGTGCTCGGATTTCAGGCATGAGCCACCACGCCTGGCCTGGCATATGGTTTTCAGACAAATGTCTTCCTTCCTGGTTATCTCTTTGCTTTTGATGATAGTTTCACAATCCAAAAAAAAAAAAAAACCAGATACATTTGTACATCCCCTACAGTTGTTCACTGAATAAATTATGGCTTGTTCAATCAATTAAAAAACCATAATTTTAAGAGCTGGAGAGAAAATGCTGGTATTAAGCACATCGAAAGCATGTTGATTTGTTTCCAAATCTGTCTTGCCAGGAGCGACTGAGCAAATAAGAATAAGCCCAGTCTCTCCAGGTGGCTGATAGGAAAATAGATCAATCTCTGCTAGTAGTCATTTCTCACTCTCTTTTCTTTTTCTTTCTTTCTTTTTTTTTTTTTTTCTTTTGAGACGGAGTCTCGCTCTGTCGCCCAGGCTGGAGTGCAGTGGCACGATCTTGGCTCACTGCAAGCTCTGCCTCCTGGGTTCACGCCATTCTCCTGCCTCAGCCTCCTGAGTAGCTGGGACTACAGGCGCCCGCCACCATGCCCAGCTAATTTTTTGTATTTTTAGTAGAGACGGGATTTCACCATGTTAGCCAGGATGGTCTCGATCTCCCAACCTCGTGATCCACCAGCCTCAGCGTCCCAAAGTGCTGGGATTACAGGCGTGAGCCACCGCGCCCAGTCTCCTCACGCTGTTTTCAAGATGCTCTTCTGGACCCCAGTGCTTTGGGGGCTTGTCCTGAGCCCTCTTCTCTCATCCACCAGTATGGTCTGTTTTATTCTGCTGGCTTCAAACACCATCTGAACATTGATGAATCACAATTTGTAGCTTCATTCCAGATTCTTTTCTGAGCATGGACATATTTCACCATATTCATACTGCCTGCTGGGAGTGTCTATTCATTTTACAACCATACCTTGTCAGTACTGAGTTCTACTCTCATGCTCTACCTCCTCTTCTCCCAGGTTTCTCCTGTCCATGGATTGCATCACAGTTGCTCATGCCAGTAGCCATGGACCCTTCCACTTCCATTTTGAATCAATCACCAAATTCTGAGCCCACCTTAAACATACATTGAAATGATCCCCTTTTTACTTCCATTGACTCATCCGGTTCCAAGTCATGACACTTCTTGACTGAACTACACAGTAGTGCTTTCATCATCATCTCCTCTTCTGTTCATGACACCATCCCAACACTCAACCAGTGCAACCGTTCAAACATGGAAATCAGGCCAGGTGTGGTGGCTCACCCTTGTAATACCAGCACTTTGGGAGGCCAAGGCAGGAAGATCACTTGAGTTCAGAAGTTCGAGACCAGCCTGGACAACACAGTGAGACCCCCGTCTCTACAAAAAAAGTTTTTTTTTAATTAGCCGGGTGTGGTGGTGTGCACTTATGATTTCGGCTACTTGGAAGGCTGAGGTGGGGGGATTTCTTGAGCCCAGGATTCCAAGGTTGCAGCAAGCTATGATTGCACCACTGCACACCAGCCTGGGTGACACAGCAAGACCCTGTCTCTTTTATTTATTTATTTATTTTTTTTATTATTTTTATTTATATATACTTTAAGTTTTAGGGTACATGTGCACAACGTGCAGGTTAGTTACATATGTACACATGTGCCACGTTGGTGTGCTGCACCCATTAACTTGTCATTTAACATTAGGTATATCTCCTAATGCTATCCCTCCCCCCTCTCCCGACCCTGTCTCTCTTAAAATGTAAACTAGATCATTTAATTCTCTTGCTTAAATTCAACGAGTGACTTCTCATTGCTCTCAAATATTTATGCTTTTTTGTAGAACATCCACATTCACTATGCTGATTGCTACATAAAGGCAGATTCCAAATCTGTTTGCTAATTTCCTTGGCAACAGTACCTAGCATGGCATCACCGTGACTGTTTCTTGGCCAATTGTTTGAGGTGACTTGTATCCCTCACCATTCGACTGTTATGTTGATGACTTCCAAGTCGAGATCACTAACCCTCAGCTTCTGAATTTCCAAAGCCTGTGACTAAATGCCTGCTGGAGATCTTCCCCCACACATCAGGCAGTGCCCTTCTAATGGTGCAAATTAGATCATGTCACTCCCGAGGTTAACTCCACCCCTTCTGGTTTCCTGTCTCCTTCAGGGTGAAGC
Organism: Homo sapiens; assembly: GCF_000001405.40. Classification (NCBI taxonomy): domain Eukaryota; kingdom Metazoa; phylum Chordata; class Mammalia; order Primates; family Hominidae; genus Homo; species Homo sapiens. The sequence continues at coordinate 58,162,727 of NC_000019.10, read as the reverse complement.
CCAAACTCCTAATCAAGGTGCACAAGGCCTGGCACATGTCAGCCAGATTTCCCCTGACTCTTCTGCTCTCTCCCCTTGCCCATCCATTCTGTCTTCACTGCCTGCTATTGTTTTTTTTTTTTCCTTGGGGAACGAGTCTCGCTGTCACCCAGGCTGGAGTGCAATGGCGTGATCTTGGCTCACTGCAACCTCCACCTCCTGGGGTCAAGCAATTCTCGTGCCTCAGCCTCCCAGGTGGCTGGGATTACAGGCACGCGCCACCATGCCCAGCTAATTTTTGTATTTTTAGTAGAGATGGGTTTCACCATACTGGCCAGGCGGGTCTCAAACTCCTGACCTCAAGTGATCCGTCGGCCTCGACCTCCCAAAGTGCTGGGATTACAGGCATGAGCCACTCACTGTGCCTGGCTGGTTTCTTGATTGTACCAAATTCTCTCCACCTCAGAGCCTTTGCTAGTGCTCTCCTTCTACCAAAATGCTCTTCCTCAGTATGTTGGCTCCTTCTTTTACTTGAGAAGTCAGATTAACATTGACCTCCTCAGAGAGGCCTTCTTGGACTGTGTAGTGAGCTCAGTAATGGTTTCCAAAAGATGTCCACATCCTCATCCCTAGAACCTCGTGAATGTTACTTCACATGGCAAAAGAATTTTTACAGATGTGAATAAATTAGGAATCTTGAGATACAGAGATTATCCTGGATTATCTGAGTGGGCCCAGTGTATTCACAAGGATACTTAAATGTGGAAGAGGAAGATAGAAGAGTCAGAATCAGAAAACGAGTTTTGATGATGGAAGCAGAGGTTGGAGTGACTCAGGGCCATAGACCTAGCAATGTAAGTGTCCTTTAGAAGCTGGAAAATGGAAGGCATGTATTCTCCACTCATGCCTCCCAAAGGAAAGCCAACCCATTTTGGATTTCTGACCTCCAGAACTATAAGATAATAACTTTATTTTGTTTTAAGCCACTAAATCTGTGGTAATTTGTTACTGCTAGGAGTCAGCAAACTATAGTTTCCAGGTCTGGTCCCGTCTGTTGCCTTTTTGGGGAGGGGATGGCTTATGAACTAAGAGTAGTTTTTATATTTTTTAAAATTCTTTTTTTTGTTGTTTTGGCTGGTCAAACGAAGCAGTGGGAGTGGAGAAGAACAAAGAAATCTGTAACTGGTTGTGATCAATTAATTGTAGTTTTTACATCTTTTAATAATTGAAAATAAAGGAATAATTATATTTTGTGATGTGAAAATTATATGAAATTCAAATTTCAGTGTCCATGAAGTTTTTTGTTTGTTTGTTTGTTTGTTTGAGACGGAGTCTCACTCTGTCACCCAGGCTGGAGTGCAGTGGCACGATCTCAGCTCACTGCAACCTCCACCTCCTGGGTTCACTCCATTCTCCTGCCTCAGCTTCCCGAGTAGCTGGGACTACAGGCGCCCACCACCACGCCTGGCTAATTTTTTGTATTTTTAGTAGAGACAGGGTTTCACCGTGTTAGCCGGGATGGTCTCAATCTCCTGACCTCGTGATCCGCCCACCTTGGCCTCCCAAAGTGCTAGGATTACAGACGTGAGCCACCGCGCCTGGCCCATAAAGTTTTTTTATTTTTATTTTTGTAGGGATGGGGTGTCACTTTGTTGCTCAGGCTGGTCTTGAACTCCTGGGTTTAAGTGATCCTCCCACCTTGGCCCCCAAAAGTGTTGGGATTACAGGTGTGAGCCACCACACTCAACTGTCCATAGGTTTTACTGAAATACAGCTCTGCCCATGTATTATGTATAGTCAATAGCTGCTGTTGTGCTACAACAAGGTTGACAGTTGCAACAGAGACCATATAGTCCCCCAAACCTAAAATATTTACTGTCTGGTCCTTTACAGAAAAAGTTGTCTTCCCTTGTTGTAAGCTGCTATGTTTTTGTTTTTTGTTTTTGTTTTTGTTTTTGTTTTTGAGACGGAGTCTCGCTCTGTCGCCCAGGCTGGAGTGCAGTGGCGTGATCTCGGCTCACTGCAAGCTCCGCCTCCCGGGTTCACGCCATTCTCCTGCCTCAGCCTCTGAGTAGCTGGGACCACAGGCGCCTGTCACCACGCCCGGCTAATTTTTTGTATTTTTAGTAGAGATGGGGTTTCACTATGTTAGCCAGGATGGTCTCAATCTCCTGACCTCGTGATCTGCCTGCCTCGGCCTCCGAAAGTGCTGGGATTACAGGCGTGAGCCACGGCGCCTGGCCCGTTTTTGTTTTTGTGACAGTCTCACTCTGTTGCCCAGGCTGGAGTGCAATGGTGCAATCTTGGCTCACTGCAACCGCTGCTTCTGGGGTTCAAATGATTCTCCTGCCCTGGCCTCCCGAGTAGCTGGAATTACAGGTGCGCAACACCATGCTTTGCTAATTTATTTTAGTAGAGACAGGGTTTCACCACGTTGGCCAGGCTGGTCTTGAGCCACCGTGCCTGGCCTAAGCAGCTATGTTTTGGGGTAATTTCTTACAAAGCAGTGGATAATTAACACAGAACCTCTTCCTGTTCCTTGACTTGGGACTAAAACACATGAGACTAGCTTTAGCAAACAGGATGTTAGCTCATGTGGTGTGAATAGAGGTGTGAGGTATGCCCCCCAATAAACCTTTTGCAGTTCCAACTCCTTCTCAGTATCTACTGATCTTTTTTTTTTTTTTTTTTTTTTTTTTTTGAGACGGAGTCTCGCTCTGTCGCCCAGGCCGGACTGCGGACTGCAGTGGCGCAATCTCGGCTCACTGCAAGCTCCGCTTCCCGGGTTCACGCCATTCTCCTGCCTCAGCCTCCCAAGTAACTGGGACTATAAGTGCACACCACCAAGCCTGGCTAAACAAAAAAAATTTTTTTTTAAATTAGCCAGGCATGGCCAGGCACGGTGGCTCACGCCTGTAATCCCAGCACTTTGGGAGGCCGAAGCAGGCAGATCATTTGAGGTCAGGAGTTCGAGACCAGCTTGACCTACATAGTGAAACCCCGTCTCTACTAAAATACAAAAATTAGCCCGGCGTGGTGGCAGGCGCCTGTAATCGCAGCTACTCATGAGGCTGAGGCAGGAGAATCGCTTGAACCCAGGGGGCAGAGGTTGCAGTGAGCCGAGATCGCACCACTGCACTCCAGCTTGGGCGACAGAGTAAGACTCCCTCTCAAAAAAAAAAAAAAAAAAAAATTAACCAGGCATGGTGGTGCATATGCCTGTAATCCCAGCTATTTGAGATGCTGAGGCAGGAGAAATGCTTGAGCCCAGGAAGTTAAGGCTGTAGTAAAGTATGATTGCGCCACTGCACTACAGCCTGAATGACAAAGCGAGGTGAGGTTCTGTCTAAATAAATAAATAAATAAGAAGGCTTACTTACAGACTCTTGCTGGTGGCCTGAAAAAAGGAAGCTACTGTGAGCTCTACAGCTGCAAAGAAATGGATTCAGGCGGGGCGCGGTGGCTCAGGCTTGTAATCCCAACACTTTTGGAGGCCGAGGCAGGTGGATCACCTGACGTCAGGAGTTCGAGACCACCCTCAACACGGAGAAACCCTGTCTCTACTAAAAATACAAAATTAGCCAAGCATGGTGGTGCATGACTATAATCCCAGCTACTCAAGAGGCTGAAGCAGGAGAATTGCTTGAACCTGGGAGGCAGAGGTTGCGGTGAACCGAGATCGCGCCACTGCACTCCAGCCTGGGCAACAAGAGCTAAACTCCGTCTCATAAAAAAAAAAAAAAAAGAAAGAAAAAAAAGAAATGGATTCAGCCAACTGAATGAACATGAAAGTAGATACTTCTATAATCAAGTCTACAGATGGGAATGAAGCCAGCTGACAGCTTGATTGCTACCTCTGGAGATCCTAAACAGAGGGCCTAGTTAAGCTATGCCCAGACTCTTGACTCACAAGAACACTGAGATAATAAATACACGTGGCTTTCCCCACGAGGCGGAGCCCGCAGTGAGCCGAGATCGTGACACTGCACTCCAGCCTGGGCAACAGAGCACAACTCCATCTCCAAAAAAAAGAAAAAAAATGTGGTTTTTAAGCTGGTAATTTTGTGGTAAGTTGTTACACAAAAACAGTGAACAGGCCAGGCGCAGTGGCTCACGCCTGTAATCCTAGCACTTTGGGAGGCCGAGGCAGGCAGATCACGAGGTCAGGAGTTTTGAGACCAACCTGGCCAATATGGTGAAACTCCGTCTCTACTAAAAATACAAAAAATAGCAGGGTGTGGTGATGCGCCCCTATAGTCCCAGGTACTCGGGAGGCTGAGGCAAAAAAATTGCTTGAACCCAGGAGGCGGAGGTTGCAGTGAGCTGAGATTGTGCGTGTCTGGAAATGGTGGGTTCTTAGTCTCACTGACTTCAAGAATGAACCCACAGACCCTTGCAGTGAGTGTTACAGTTCTTAAAAGCAGCGTCTCTGGAATTTGTTTCTTCTGATGTTTGGATGTGTTCGGAGTCTCTTCCTTCTGGTGGCTTCATGGTCTCCTTGGCTTAGGAGTGAAGCTGCAAACCTTGGTATTGACTGTTACAGCTCATAAATGCAATGCGGACCCAAAGAGCAAGCAGCAGCAAGATATATTGCAAACAGCCAAACAACAAAGCCTCAACCATGTGGATGCAGACCCCAACACGTTACCACTGGGGGCTCGGGCAGCCTGCTTTTATTCCCTTATCTGGCCCCACCCACATCCTGCTGATTGGTCCATTTTACAGAGAGCTGATTGGTCCATTTTGACAGGGTGCTGATTGGTGCATTTACAATCCCTGAGCTAGACACAAAAATTCTCCAAGTCCCCACTAGATTAGCTAAACACAGAGCACTGATTGGTGCATCCACAAACTCCTGAGCTAGACACACAGTGCTGATTGGTGTGTTTACAAACCTTGAGCTAGATACAGAGTGCTGACTGGTGTATTTACAATCCCTTAGCTAGACATAAAGGTTCTCCAAGTCCCTACTAGACTCAGGAGCCCAGCTGGCTTCACCCAGTGGATCCCGCACAGGGCCGCAGGTGGAGCTGCCTGCCAGTCTCGCGCCTTGCGCCCGCATTCCGCAGCTCTTGGGCAGTTGATGGGACCTGGCGCTGTGGAGCAGGGGGCGACGCTCGTCGGGGAGGCTCCGGCCGCGCAGGAGCCCAGGGCGGGGGTTGCGGGGAGGCTCAGGCATGGCGGCCTGCAGGTCCCGAGCCCTGCCACGCGGGGAGGCAGCTAAGTCCCGGCGAGAAATCGAGCGCAGCGCCGGTGGGCCAGCACTGCTGGGGGACCCAGCGCACCCTCCGCAGCTGCTGGCCCGGGTGGTAAGCCCCTCACTGCCCGGGGCTGGCGGGGCCGGCTGGCCACTCAGAGTGCGGGGCCCGCCCAGCCCACGCCCATCCGGAACTCTAGCTGGCCCGCAAGCGCAGCGCGCGCAGCCCAGGTTCCCGCCCGCGCCTCCTCCCTCCACACCTCCCGGCAAGCTGAGGGAGCAGGCTCCGGCCTCAACCAGCCCAGACAGGGGCTCCACAGCGCAGTGGCAGGCTGAAGGGCTACCCGAGCATGGCCAGAGCATACGCCGAGGCTAAGGAGGCACCAAGAGCGAGCGAGGGCTGCCAGCACGCTGTCACCTCTCAGTGCCACTGCACTCCAGCCTGGGCAGCAGAGCAAGACTCCGTCTTAAACAAACAAACAACAACAGAAAACAACAGAGACATGCAAAGCTTAGAGAACATGAGTATCTGCTGGGTGAACGTGGGTGGCGGTGACCTTCTCACACTGATGGTAGAAGACGTATGAAAGGAAATTTCATAATATATAACTAAAACTATTTTAAATATTTATGCCATTCTCGCTAGCATCTAGGAATTGTACTTGTAGCAGTTCTTCCGAAATGTGCTTCAGTAATTAAACAGTGGATTTGCATTGAAGGTTTACCATGCAGAGCACACAGGTATTAGCTAATACAGTCCTCATACATCCCTGTATGTTATACTCTACTCTGATGGTTAAATGACAAAATTTTAGAGAAATGAAATCTTTTGACTCAGTTTATGTAACTAGAAAGCATATGTGCTAATAAGCAGATGCTAATTGGCTTGAATCCATTAGTCACTCATTTTTATTTTTTTCTTGTGAGACAGGGTCTCACTGTGTCACCTGGGCTGAAGTGCAATCACAGCTCACTGCAGGCTTGATCTCCTGTGCTCCAGTGATTCTCCTGCCTCAGCCTCTCAAAGTGTGAGATTACAAGCATGAGCCTCCACGGCTGGCCCATAGTCACTCAATCTCCTGTTTAATTACTATCGAAATAAATGCAATAATGGATACTTGGATCAAGCACATATTGTCGAATATTAATTATCTAACCCAGGGCCTGGGTACGTGGGTGTTCACACAATTTTTTTTTTCTTGTGAGACAGGGTCTCGCTCTGTCGTCCAGGCTGGAGTGCAGTGGTACAATCATTCCTCAACATCCCCGGGCTCAAGGGATCCTCCCGCCTCAGACTCCTGAGTAGCTGGGACTACAGGCGCGCGCCACGAAGCCCGGTTAATTTTTTAAATTTTTTTGTAGAGACGAGTTCTCACTATGTTGCCCAGACTGGTCTCAAACTCCTGAGCTCAAGCGACCCTCCCTTCCCAGCCTCCCAAAGTGCAGAAAGTACAGGCGTGAGCCACTGTGCCAGGCCCACACAATCGTTTCAAATTTTCTGCATGTTTGAAAATGTTCTTAATAAAATGTGGGGGTAAGATAAATGCAATATTTATCAATTTTGCAGTTCTTACCTCTTTGGCTGAGGGAATTGCTTGCTCCTCAGGGACTCTTTCTTTCTCTTTTCTTCCTTCCTTCCTTCCTCCCTTCCTCTCTCTCTTTCTCCCTTTCTCCCTTTCTTTTGAGACTGAGTTTCGCTCTTGTTGCCCAGGCTGGAGTGCAATGGCACGATCTAGGCTCACCGCAACCTCCGCCTCCCGGGTTCAAGCGATTCTCTTGCCTCAGCCTTCCTGAGTAGCTGGGATTACAGGTGCCCGCCACCACGCCCGGCTAATTTTTTGTATTTTTAGTAGACGGGGTTTCACCATGTTGGCCAGGCTAGTCTTGAACTCCTGACCTCAGGAGATCCGCCCACCTCGGCCTCCCAAAGCGCTAGGATTACAGGCGTGAGCCACTGCGCTCGGCCCTCCTCAGGGAGTTTCAAAACTAACTGTCACAAAGCCACTGGTTTTCTCTGTATTAATAAAAAAAACCTGGCAAGAACGCCCAGGATCCGAAAGTGAGCTTCAGTCTCAAGACAGTCAGCGACCGCCCTCCGGGCCAGCGTCGGGGCACTGAGGGGCCTCTGGAAAGTGAATCACAGGGAGCACCGCGGGGTTTCAGGATTTTGGCTGTCCGCTGCCCAAGCCTTGGCATCACGGGCGTCTTTCCCTCTCACGTTGGGGTCCCTTCAAGGTCGGCGCCAGGTATCCTCCCAGAAAACCTGCACACCGCAACGCCCAGCACCCCCACAGCCTCCCTGCTGCCACTGGGGGGCGCCATCGTCGCGGCTAACGCAACCCGAGGGCGGAAGCGGTGGAGCGCCGCGCCGCGGGGTTTTCTGGGAGATGTAGGCGGTGGAAGCACACTCATGCGCAGCAACGGCGCCGCAGTGGGCGCTCATGCGCAATGGAGGGTCCGGCGTCCGCCTTGGCGGGTGGGAGTGATGACCTGCACTCCCCAAACCACTGCGGGATAGAACGGGGCCGAGTGCTCTCAGGGGTGGCCGCTACCGGGGCGGCCCGAGACACGGCTGCGGGTTCCAGCCAACAGGCCCGGAGTCGCGGCCTCGGCTCCGCCGTGGGTGCACGGGCTAGGGCTGCGGGGACTCCTGTGGGCTCCGCGTCTGCGGCTGGGAGGAATGGGGATCGTCCCCAGATCCCGCCTTCCGGGCAGGGCCTCCGCTGCCTGCGATCCTGCCCACAGTCCAAGGATCCTCCTCGCCTCTCGCGGACTGCGGTGTCAGCCGCCCGAGCCGTTCCCCGGACACCTGGCCAGGTGACGGCCCCCGACCTCCGCCTGGGGCGGGGGGGGGGGTGGTCTGCGAGTCCCCCTCACCCCCAGCAGACGTTCCCGAGCTCAGAAGGAAAAAAAGGACGAGGAAGGGGCTGCTTATGAGTGTGTCGGTGTTGATTTAGTAGTTGTGGAATGTGAGCCCTGGGGAAATAAGTGGAAGAGGCATGGACCGTGTGGCTCCACTGGGGCGTTCGCGAATGCCTCCTGGAGGAGGAGACCAACCAGAAAGAAGAGGCAGCGTCCAGCAACTGGACAAAGGCCAGAGGGCCTTTCTGGCAAGAGGACTGGGGTGAGCAGAAGCTGATCCGGCTCTTTATCCCTGGGCGCAAGTGCTGTGTGGCATAGGTCAGTGAAGGCCTGAAAGGGATGTTGAGCCAGCAGCAAAAGGCCTTGAGTGCCCCATTAAATAAGTTACAGCTGTGGCTGACGCCTGTAATCCCGGCACTTTGGGTGGCCCAAGCGGGCGGATTGCCTGAGCTCAGGGGTTGTAGACCAGCCTGGCCAACATGGTGAAACCCCGTCTCTACTAAAAATACAAAAATTAGCCGCGCGTGGTGGCACGTGCCTGTAATCCCTGCTACTTGGGAGGCTGAAACAGGAGAATCGCTTGAACCGGGGATGCAGAGTTTGGAGGCTGCAGTGAGCTGAGATCACGCCACTGCACCCCAGCCTGGGCGATAGAGCAAGACTGTCTCAAAAAAAAAAAAAAATCACATATGTTGGCCAGGCAGGGTGGATCACGCCTGTAACGCCAGCACTTTGGGAGGCTGAGGATTACTTGAGCCCTGGAGTTTGAGAGCAGCCTGGGTAAAATAGTGAGACCCCATCTGTACTAAAAAAATTAGCCAGGCATGGTGGTGTACACCTGTAGTCCCAGCAACTGGGGAGGTCGAGATGGGAGGATTGCTTGAGCCCAGGAGGTCAAGGCTGCAGTGGGCTATGATCATGCCACTGGACTACATCCTGGACAGCAAAGCAAGACCCCATTTCTAAGAGAAAAAAAAAGTGCCATTTTGTAAATGACTTCTGGGATGCTTATCTTGATGTAGAAAGTCTCCTACCCCAAGAACAAACAGATAATTCCTGAACAGGGATTGGCAAACAATGGCCTCAGTGGGCCTTCTGTTTCTGTAAAGTTTTATTGGAATGCAGTCACACTTGTTTGTTTAGTATTATCTATGCTGCTATCTGGAAGAGTTGGGTAGTCATGGCAGAGACCTTATGGTCTGCAAAGCTGAAAATATTTATTATTGGGCTTTTCACAGAAAAAGATTGCCTACATGTGACCTACAAGAATATACACTTGTGGCCAGGCGCAGTGGCTCACGCCTGTCATCCCAGCACTTTGGGAGGCTGAGGTGGGTGGATCACCTGAGGTCAGGAGTTTGAGACCAGCCTGGCCAACAAGGTGAAACCCTGTCTCTACTAAAAATACAAAAATTAGCCGGGTGTGGTGGTGTGCGCATGTAATCCCAGCTACTCTGGAGGCTGAGGCAGGAGATTCACTTGAACCTGGAAGGTGGAGGTTGCAGTGAGCTGAGATCTTGTCACTGCACTCCAGCCTGGGGGACAGAGTGAGACTCAGTCTCAAAAAATACAAAAAAGAATATACACTTGTGCCAGCACAGTACTTAGCACTAAGGATTTCTCTTTGCCACTGAATGGAAAAAACACCCTTGTTATTATTAATGATGTTATGCTTTATTGTTAACTTTATTACTAGATTATTACTTTTACTCATCTCTTCTTGCATACTCTTCTATTCTTCTGATATTTGTGTCTGTATTAGTGCCTATTTGAGCCCATCTGCTTAATATGGTACATTTTAGTATCTAATAAAGGGTGCCTGACTTTTTTTTTTGAGACGAGAGTATAGCTGTCACCCAGGCTGGAGTGCAGTGGCACGATCTCAGCTCACTGCAACCTCCGCCTCCAGGATTCAGGCAATTCTCCTGCCTCAGCCTCCGGAGTAGCTAGGATTATAGGCACCCGCCACCACCCCCGGCTAATTTTTGTATTTTTAGTAGAGACAGGTTTCACAATGTTTGCCAGGCTGGTCTTGAATTCCTGACCTCAAGTGATCCACCTGCCTCGGCCTCCCAAAGTGCTGGGATTACAGTTGTGAGCCACCGCGTCCGGTCTCCGACTGTTCTTTTAACCAGATACTGTTGGACTTTTCTCCATATGATCTTTAAGTTGTTTTATTCTGTGAGCTGGGGGCGGGGGGAGTCTTTGAATTGGAATTGCTATACTTTTGTTTAGTAGTTTTGTGAAGATTTTTTTTTTTTTTTTGAGACCGAGTACTAGGATTGCAGGCATGAGCCACTGTGCCCAGCCAATTTTTATATTTTTAGAGATGGGGTTTCACCATGTTGGCCAGGCTCATCTTGAACTCCTGACCTCAGGTGATCCCCCCAGCCCGGCTTCCCAAAGAGTTGGAATTACAGGCATGAGCCACTGTGCCTGGTCTGATACGGCCTTCATGGAGAAATTAAAAAAATACTTTCCATTCAGGAATAATATGTCAGTGTGTTCTGAACTTAACTTCAGGTCTGTTAATGAGGTTTTTGTATTTTCTTCATGAAGATCCTTTATTGCTTTTGCTAATTGATTTCCAAGTTGCTCCAACCATCACTATTGTGAGTGACAATTTAATCACTATTATGGCTTAGAATTTTTTTTCTAATTTTCATTTCAAAATTGTGAAGTATTTCAACCTGCGGAGAGGTTCGGAGAGTAATAGAATAATCTATAAATAATAAAGATGACACCCATGTATCATCGAGATTTTACCTGTGTTAACATGTAGTCAGATTTTCAGGTTTTGATTTGTTTTTTCCTATCAAGCATCACAGGTGTAACTGAGGTCTCCTTTGTCTCCTCCCCAACTCTTTCCCCTCAGTTGCCACTTTCTTGAGGTTGGACAATCTATCTGGTCCATGTTATTGTTACTTTACTACTTATGTATCAATCTCTGTATAACATATAGATTTTGTGTCTTTTATTTCCAGGTAAGTTGTATCATGTGGATAAGTGCACAGTTTACTTTTCGAACTGTTTTTGGAGAACTGTCTATCTTGTATATAAGTTAGTCCTTTTTTTTTTTTTTTTTTTTGAGACGAAGTCTCCCTCTTGTCCCCCAGGCTGGAGTGTGATGGTACGATCTCAGCTCACTGCAACCTCCGCCTCCCAGGTTCAAGTGATTCTCTTGCCTCAGCCTCCCGAGGAGCTGGGATTACAGGCGCCTGCCACCACGCCTAGCTAATTTTTGTATTTTTAGTGGAGACGGGGTTTCACCATGTTGGCCAGGCTGGTCTCAAACTCCTGACCTTAGGTGAGCCCAGTCCGTTTGTTTTAACCACCCCCTATTGCTCCGTTGCACATACCACAGTTTCTCTCTTCCCTGTCAGTAAATATTTAGGCTTCCCCATGCTAAAGTTTAAGAGAACCACTGAAAGAATGAAAATGTGTAGTTTTCATTTTCAACCGGCTATTGTTACTACAGAGGAAAGTTACTGGCTTTGTTTACATTTCTTAGATCTAGTCATTTTAACAAATTAGGCCTCCCAAAATGCTGGGATTACAGGCGTGAGCCACGCACCCAGTAAATAATTATATTGCCAATGAATAATGAGTGTACTTATTCTGAATTTTAACATTATTATCTCAAAAAAAGATTATAGATAAAGAAATATTTTAGGAAATTATGCAGTAAATAAAAGGAAGGCTCTATAACAAAAGAATGATAGCATCGGGTTAAAAATCAGAGGAGACCATAGGAGAAAGTAAATGCCTGCGCGTCCGCCCCGAGGCAAGTCCACGCCAGGGTAATGAATAACCCGGTACCCGCGGCCGCCCCAGCGTTGGGCGGGGGAAGCTCGGGGACTCCGCGCACGCGCACATCCTTGTCCCGGCAGCCGCGCAAGCGCAATCGCCCGGAACATGGCTGCCGCCGGCCGCCAACCGTAAGTGCCGACGCATCCCTGAGCCCTGCGCTGCCTCCGTTTCCTGCGGAGGGAAGTCTTGGCGGGTGGAGGTCCGCCGGGTCCTTGTGGGGCGGCGAGGGGCGCGTCCGCGGGTGGGTTTCACCTGGGTGGTGGGCATGTCGGGCCCGCTAGGGCGAGGGTCTGGCCAGGGGCGTAGTTCTCCTGGTGGGTGGGGACGCTCCGTGGCGATTGGGGTCACTCCTCTGAGGACGAGGTCGCTCCGGGGCTGGTCTGGACGCCCCCGCTCTTTCCTTAGCGTCACCCGTGAGTTCCGCGCTCGCATCTCTAGCCCGCCCTCCCATAGAGACTGTTTTGCCACGCCTGCTGGGTGTCCTGGTCCGTCTCCGGGGGTAACCCCCGAGTCTGCAGCTTTTCTGTCAGGTGTGAGGGGCAGTGTAGGCTTGGGTCGGCCTCCGGCTGAATTGGCGGCCGTGAGCCAGTGGGCTGAGCCGCTTCCCCTTGAGTCTCGAAGGTGTTAGATCACCTGTGTGTTTTTCCATTTGATATTTGCAAAATCATGTTTTACTGCAATTCTCAGTGAGGGCCGCATTTTTGCACGTGTTTAGTGACCATTTTGCTGTCTTTTCCCTTGGTTTAGTGGCATATTTCCTTTGTGCAGTCTTCCAGTCTCAATATTTTATGACATAAAATGTTGGTTTAGATAGAGAAGCTGAAAGACTTGTGCAGTGAACGACCCGGTTAACGTCTGCTGAACTTACTGTATCCCTTATCTTTCCTTCTGTCCATCCTTTCAGCCATTCATTAATCCACCTATTTTTGGAAACATTTCAAAGTAAGTTGCAGATATCACAACACTTCTCCCTCAAACACCTCACTATGCTTACCATGAATTAGAGTTCAGTAGTGCTTTTTTAAATTTTTTGAGCCAAAATTGACTTTCAGTGAAATGCACAGATATTCCCTGTACCATTGATGAATTTTGACAAATGCAACCTAAACCTTTATTAAAATTACCATCAGCCTGAAAAGGTCCTTTATTTTTTGCCAAGTTAAAAAATTTGGCTATAGGAACTTGGGCTTGTTGAAGTACGTTTTGAATACCCAGTTTTTGTCTGTTTTTTCTTTTTTCCCACAGCAAGTGACTTTCCTCCATTCTACTGCTTGTTTACCTCTCTCTTCACCCAACTTTTCATTTTGAAAAGTTCCGCATTTGCATAGAAGTTGCAGGAATAGTTTAACACTTCTAAAACCATCCAGATTCTAAAATTATTAACACTTTTTGCCACATTAGCTTTATCTTTATCTTCTCCCTGCCTGAGACACATGCATAGGTGTTACCAGAAAGGGGGTCCCGAGCTATAACCCAACAGAGGGTTCTTATATCTTGGGAAAGAAAATTCAGGGCGAGTCCATAGAGTAAAGTGAAAGCAAGCTTATTAAGAAAGTAAAGGAATAAAAAAATGGCTACTCCATAGATAGAGCAGCCCCAAGAACTGCTGGTCGCCCATTTTTATGGTTATTTCTTGATTATATGCTAAACAAGGGGTGGATTATTCATGCCTACCATTTTTAGGCCATATAGGGTAACTTCCTGATGTTTCCATGACATTTGTAAACTGTCATGGTGCTAGTGGGAGCAGGACCAGAGGTCACTCTCGTTGCCATCTTGGTTTTGGTGGGTTTTAGCCACCTTTACTGCAAGCTGTTTTATCAACAAGGTCTTTATGACCTGTATCTTGTGCAAATCTCCTGTGTTATCCTATGACCTAGAATGCCTTAACTGTCTGGAAATGCAGCCCAGTAGGTTTCAGCCTTATTTTACCCAGTCCCCATTTAAGATGGAGGTTTGCTTTGGTTCAAACGCCTCTGACATAGGGTTTTCTTTTTATATTTTACACACACTTGTACACACAGCAGGTGTTGCAGAGGCAGGTGTGATACAGACATATATTTACATACACTTAGTTTTTTTGGCTGAGTTACTGGAAGTATGTTATAGATATCATACCTCACTCTGAAATACTTCAGCCAGGATCTCATAAGAAAAGTAACGTTCTTATTTTTTAATTTTGTATTTTTTATAGAGATGAGATCTCACTATGTTGCCCAGACTGTTCTTGAACTCCTGGTCTTAAGCAGTCCTCCTGCCTTGGCCTCCCAAAGTGGTGGGATTACAGGTGTGAGCCACCACACCCAGCCAAAAAGAACATTTGAACATTTAAACAAAACTAGTGTTATTATCACACCCAAGTATACTTTTTTTTTTTCAAAAAACTAATTGTTTTTTATTTGTAATTTTTTTTTCCTGCCAATCTGAACCTGGAAAAGAAGAAACAGGGAAATTTTTTACCTTCCTCTCTTTTTTTTTTTTTTTTTTTAATTGATCATTCTTGGGTGTTTCTCGCAGAGGGGGATTTGGCAGGGTCATAGGACAATAGTGGAGGGGAGGTCAGCAGATAAATAAGTGAACAAAGGTCTCTGGTTTTCCTAGGCAGAGGACCCTGCGGCCTTCCGCGCAGTGTTTGTGTCCCTGGGTACTTGAGATTAGGGAGTGGTGATGACTCTTAAGGAGCATGCTGCCTTCAAGCATCTGTTTAACAAAGCACATCTTGCACCGCCCTTAATCCATTTAACCCTGAGTGGACACAGCACATGTTTCAGAGAGCACAGGGTTGGGGGTAAGGTCACAGATCAACAGGATCCCAAGGCAGAAGAATTTTTCTTAGTACAGAACAAAATGAAAAGTCTCCCATGTCTACTTTCTGCACAGACACGGCAACCATCCGATTTCTCAATCTTTTCCCCACCTTTCCCCCCTTTCTATTCCACAAAACCGCCATTGTCATCATGGCCCGTTCTCATTGAGCTGTTGGGTACACCTCCCAGACGGGGTGGTGGCTGGGCATAGGGGCTCCTCACTTCCCAGTAGGGGCGGCTGGGCAGAGGCGCCCCTCACCTCCCGGACGGGGCGGCTGGCCGGGTGGGGGGGCTGACCCCCCCCACCTCCCTCCCGGACGGGGCGGCTGGCCGGGCAGAGGGTCTCCTCACTTCCCAGTGGGGCAGCCGGGCAGAGGCGCCCCTCATCTCCCAGACAGGGCGGCTGGCCGGGCGGGGGGCTGGCCCCCCACCTCCCTCCTGGACGGGGCGTCTGGCCAGGCGGAGGGCTGACCCCCCCACCTCCCTCCCGGACGGGGCGGCTGGCCGGGCGGGGGGCTGACCCCCCCACCTCCCTCCCGGGCGGGGCGGCTGGCCGGGCAGAGGGGCTCCTCACTTCCCAGTAGGGGCGGCTGGGCAGAGGCGCCCCTCACCTCCCGGACGGGGCGGCTGGCCGGGCGGGGGGCTGGCCCCCCACCTCCCTCCTGGACGGGGTGGCTGCCAGGCGGAGACGCTCCTCACTTCCCAGACGGGGTGGCTGCCGGGCGGAGGGGCTCCTCACTTCTCAGACGGGGCGGCTGCCTGGCGGAGGGGCTCCTCACTTCTCAGACGGGGCGGTTGCCAGGCGGAGGGTCTCCTCACTTCTCAGACGGGGCGGCTGGGCAGAGACGCTCCTCACCTCCCAGACGGGGTCGCGGCCGGGCAGAGGCGCTCCTCACATCCCAGATGGGGCGGCGGGGCAGAGGCGCTCCCCACATCTCAGACGATGGGCGGCCGGGCAGAGACGCTCCTCACTTCCTAGATGGGATGGCGGCCGGGCAGAGACGCTCCTCACTTTCCAGACTGGGCAGCCAGGCAGAGGGGCTCCTCACGTCCCAGATGATGGGCGGCCAGGCAGAGATGCTCCTCACTTCCCAGACAGGGTGGCGGCCGGGCAGAGGCTGCACTCTCGGCACTTTGGGAGGCCAAGGCAGGTGGCTGGGAGGTGGAGGTTGTAGCAAGCCAAGATCACGCCACTGCACTCCAGCCTGGGCACCATTGAGCACTGAGTGAACCAGACTCCGTCTGCAATCCCGGCACCTCGGGAGGCCGAGGCTGGCGGATCACTCGTGGTTAGGAGCTGGAGACCAGCCTGGCCAACACAGCGAAACCCCGTCTCCACCAAAAAAATACGAAAACCAGTCAGGCGTGGCGGCGCGTGCCTGCAATTGCAGGCACTCGGCAGGCTGAGGCGGGAGAATCAGGCAGGGAGGTTGCAGTGAGCCGAGATGGCAGCAGTACCGTCCAGCTTCGGCTCGGCATCAGAGGGAGACCGTGGAAAGAGAGGGAGAGGGAGACCGTGGGGAGAGGGAGAGGGGGAGGGGGAGAGGGAGAGGGACTACCTTCCTCTCTTGACCAGGTACCACCTACTTTTTTTTTTTAAAGATGGAATCTTACTCCGTCACCCAGGGTAGAGTGCAGTGGAGCGATCTCGGCTCACTGCAACCTCTACTTCCCAGGCTCAAGTGGTTTTCCTGCCTCAGCCTCCCAAGTAGCTGGAATTACAGGTGTGTGCCACTATGCCCAGCTAATATTTGTATTTTTAGTAGAGACGGGGTTCCGCCATGTTGGCCAGGCTGGTCTTGAACTCCTGACTTCAAGTGATCTGCCCACCTTGGCCTCCTACAGTGCTGGGATTACAGGTGTGAGCCACTGCGCCTGGCCCCAGATACTTTATTATTGATACAGAATTCCTGTCTGATATAGTTTGTATGCAGCTGATACAGTTTGTATGGTTTTTGGGTATTTGTTTTGATCCAGGATCCAATCCAGGATCCTGTGTTACATTGACTTGTCATGTTATTTTAGTCTTCCTCAACCTTGAATGGCACTCTCCTTTCTTTTTTTTTTTTTTTCATGAAATTGATATATTTTTAAAAGACCCAGCTGGTGGTTGTGTAGATTGTCACTTGATGTTCAGTTGACATTCCCAATATTAAATTCAGACTCTCGTCTTTGGCAGGGCATTGTCTAAGTGACATCATGTTCTTCTTGGTGTGTCGTGTCAGGAAGCATGTGAGGCTGGTGGTGATCAGGTTTTTGTCATGTGGTTAAAGTGCTCTCTGCCAGGATCCTCCGCTTTTTCCCCTCTGTAATTGATAAGCCATTCTAGAGATGGTACTTTGAATGTTCTTTTAATCTTATGTTCATGGTGTATTACTCATTTTGATATAGTAAGATGTTTCAAATCTTTTTCTTTATGTTTTGTGCCTTTTGTGAGTTGAGAAATTCTTTGGCTTGGCGCAGTGGCTCGCGCCTATAATCCCAGCACCTTGGGAAGCTGAGGCGGGTAGATCACTTGAGGTCAGGAGTTCAACACCAGCCTGGCCGACATGGTGAAACCCCATCTCTACTAAAAATATAAAAATTAGCTGGGTATGGTGGTGGGCACATGTAATCCAAGCTACTCAGGCAGCTGAGGCAGGAGAATCACTTAAACCCAGGAGGCGGAGGTTGCAGTGAGCTGAGATCATGCCACTACACTCCAGCCTGGGTGACAGAGTGAGGCACTGTCTCCAAAAAAAAAAAAAAAAAAAAAAAAGGAAGAAAAAAGAAATTTTTTTTGGCTTGATGTAGTGGTGGCTCACGCCTTAATCCCAGCACTTTGGGAATCTGAGGCTGGAGGATCACTTGAGCTCAGGAGTTTGAAACCAGCCTGGGCAACACAGTGAGACCCAATCTCTACAAAACATTTAAAAAAAAAAAATGGCCAGGCGCGGTGGCTCACGCCTGTAATTCCAGCACTTTGGGAGGCCGAGGCGGGCGGGTCACGAGGTCAGGAGATCGAGACCATCTTGGCTAACATGGTGAAACCCCGTCTGTACTAAAAATACAAAAAATTAGCCAGGCATGGTGGCAGGCACCTGAAGTCCCAGCTACTCGGGAGGCTGAGGCAGGAGAATGGCGTGAACCCGGGAGGCAGAGCTTGCAGTGAGCAGAGATCGCACCACTGCACTCCAGCCTGGGTGACAGATCAAAACTCTGTATCAAAAAAAAAAAAAAAAAGAAAAAAAATTATCCAGGTGTGATGGCATACTCCTATGGTCATGGCTCCTGAGCCCAGGCATTCAAGATTACAGTGAGCCATGATCATACTACTGCATTCAAGCCTGAGCATCAAAGCAAGACTCTGTCTCTTTAAAAAAAAAAAAAAAAAAAAAAATTCTTGGCTGGGCGCCATGGCTCATGCCTGTAATCCTAGCATTTTGGGAGGTCGAGGCAGGCAGATCACCTGAGGTCAGGAGTTCAAGATCAGCCTGGCCGACTTGGTGAAACCCCATCTCTATTAAAAATATAAACAATTAGCCGAGTGTGGTGACGCGTGCCTGTAATCCCAACTACTCGGGAGGCTGAGGCACGAGAGTCACTTGAACCCAGGAAGCGGAGGTTGCAGTGAGCCGAGATCGCGCCACTGCACTCCAGCCCAGCTACAGAGCGAGACTCCGTCTCAAAAAAAAAATATATATATATATATAGATAGATAGATAGATAGATAGATAGATATAGATGTAAAATTAGCTGCGTGTGGTGGCAGGTACCTGTAGTCCTGGCTACTCAGGAGGCTGAGGCAAGAGAATTGCTTGAACCCAGGAGGCGGAGGTTGCAGTGAGTTGAGATCACGCCACTGCACTCCAGCCTGGGCAACAGAGCAAGACTCCATCTGAAAAATAAAAAAATAAAAAATAACAACAACAAAAAAACCCACAATTTTTTTCTACTCTGATAACTCAAAGATATTCTTGTAGTTCTATATTTATTTATTTATTTATTTTTTGAGACTGAGTCTCGCTGTTGTTGCCCGGGCTGGAGTGAAATGGTGCAATCTCGGCTCACTGCAACCTCTGCCTCCCGGGTTCCAGCAATTCTTCTCCCTCAGCCTCCCGAGTAGCTGAGATTACGGGCGCCTGCCACCACGCCTGGCTAATTTTTGTATTTCTAGTAGAGACAGGGTTTCACTATGTTGGCCAGGCTGGTCTCGAACTCCTGACCTCGGGTGATCCACTTGCCTCGGCCTCCCAAAGTCCTGGGATTATAAGTGTGAGCCACTGCGCCCAGCCTAGTTCTATTATTTCTAATCATTCAAAAAAATTTTTTCTCACATACTATTTAGGTCTTATAAGCCTGTGTGTGAGCGTGAGTGAATTTGGAATTGTAATTATTTTTCCATCTGAAAAGACAGCACGAGATATACTTACTTTTGCTAATGTGTGAGGCCACCTTTATCACCTTTTAAATTATTAAATGCCTCCAAGTCTGTTTGGGGCTCTGTCCTTCCTGTACCTTCACTGGGTTGCTTGCTTACTGGAACTTTAAGGAGGAGCCTTGACTTTGGCAAAACAACTACTCCTAGCTCTTTTTCCTCTCTTCTTTTTGTTTTTTAAGGAGTTGTCATGGATATTTCAGGAAGCTGTCTTCTTCAGTGTGAATTTTGTCACGCATCAGTAAAATTATTCCAGAGATTTGCTTGGAAGGCATTGCTTTTACAGGTCTAGTGAGAGTTGTCCTGGTTTCAGTACCCAGCCCTTTCATCTGTGTACCTGGTCTAGCTCCTCTCTTACTCAAATGCCCTCTCAGGTCTTGAGTAAACTTTTTCAAGTTTTCACCACAAAGATACTATATAATTTTTGTTAATTTTTGTTTTCTTTTTTTTGAGATAGGGTCTTGCTGTCTCACCCAGGCTGGAGTGCAGTGGCACGATCACAGCTCACTGCAGCCTTGAGCTCCTGGGCTACCAAGTAGCTGGGACTTCAGGTATGCACCATCACGCCTGGCTAAAGGCATTTCACTACATTGTCTAAGCTGGCCTTGAACTCCTAGGCTCAAGTGATCCTCCTGCCTCAACCTCCCAAAGTGCTGGTATTACAGGTGTTATCCAGTGCACCCGGCTGTGGCTGGGCTTTCACTGTGATTAGGTAATGGGGTTGGGGTTGGGGCTTGCATAGTTTGAACTTCCTGCTGGCACCAAGGAGGAAACTCCCAGACTTTCTTGTTGGCTTGCCCAGATGAGAGGGAGAAGGAGAAAGGGGTTGGGGCTTGAAAGCTGTCAGCAACCATCCAAAATGGAGTCAGACTCTTTATCACACTTGTAATCACATGGCTGACTTTGTCAGGATGGGATTAAAGTTGGTAAATGATTTATTTTTGTTAATGAGTTGTGAACAAGTAAAGTAAACATTATTATGGGTGTCCCACAGAGATGGCTGGAGCCGTGTGGATGGGCATAAATGGCTAATGTCCAGCAACCATCGATGTCAAGTATCCACACACCTGGCCTGAATGGATCCCTCTGCCTTTCAGAGGTGAGTACCAGGGAATGGAAGTCTACATGAGCTCAGCACATCCCTGCAAGGACTGTTATTTCCTTTATAAAGTCCTAAAATACCAGAAATGTGGCAGATGGGGTCTAGACTAGTGGTTCTGACCCTTACAGACTCGACACATACTTACTCTTTTAAACAGCTTTATTGAGATATAATTCACATAGCATACAATTTACCCTTTTAAGTGTACAATTCATTGTTTTTTATTATATTAACTAGCTTGTATATCCATTGCCACAGTCAATCTTCGAATGTTTTCATCACCCCTGAAAAAGAAAACCCATACCATTAGCAGTCACTCCCCCATCTTTCCCAGCCCTAGGTAATCTCTAATCTACTTTCTGTCTTATAGATTTGCCTGTTATGGACATTTCATATAAATAGCCTGCAGTATGTGGTCTTTTGTATGTGGCTTGTTAGACTTAGGAAAATGTTTCATGTTATAGCATGGGTCTTTTTTTATTTTATTTTATTTTTGAGATGTAGTCTTGCTCTGTCACCCGAGCTGGAGTACAGTGGCACGATCAGGGCTCACTGCAAACTGCTTCCCAGGTTCAAGCAATTCTCCTGCCTCAGCCTCCCTAGTAGCTGGGATTACAGGCGAGGGCCACCATACCCGGCTAATTTGTTTTTTTTTTTTTTGAGATGGAGGTTCGCTCTTGTTGCCCAGGCTGGAGTGCAATGGCATGATCTCGGCTCACTGCAACCTCCGCCTCTTGGGTTCAAGCGATTCTCCTGCCTCAGTCTTCCGAGTAGCTGGGACTACAGGTGCATGCCACCATGCCTGGCTAATTTTTTGTATTTTTAGTAGAGATGGGGTTTCACCGTGTTACCCAGGCTGGTCTTGAATTCCTGAGCTCAAATGATCCACCTGCCTCAGCCACCCAAAGTGCTGGGATTACAGGCATGAACCACTGCACCTGGCCAAGAGCATTAGGCCAGGCCGGGCACAGTGGCTTATGCCTGTAATCGCAGCACTTTGGGAGGCCAAGGCAGGCTGATCACCTTAGGTCAGGAGTTCAAGACTAGCCTCACCAACATGGAGAAACCCCGTCTCTACTGAAAATACAAAAATTAGGCATGGTGGCACATGCCTGTAATCCCAGGTACTCGGGAGACTGAGTCAGGAGAATCACTTGAACCCGGGAGGAGGAGGTTGCAGTGAGCTGAGATCGCTCCACTGCACTTCAGTCTGGGCAACACAGCGAGACTCTGTCTCAGAAAAAAAAAAAGAGTGTTAAGCCAGGCGTGGTGGCTCACAACTGTAATCCCAGCACTTTGGAAGGCTGAGGTGGGAGGATTGCTTGAGCCCAGGAGTTCAAGACCAGCCTGGCCCATATAGTGAGACCTCATCTCTACCAAAAAAAAAAGAAAAATTTAGGCTGGGTGTGGTGGCTCACGTCTGTAATCCCAGCACTTTGCGAGGCTGAGACATGCAGATCCCTTGAGGTTAGGAGTTTAGGACCAGCCTGGCCAACATGGTGAAACCCTGTCTACTAAAAATAGAAAAATTAGCCAGGCATGGGGGCATGTGCCACTTAAGAGGCCAAGGCAAGAGAATCGCTTGAGCACAGGAGGTGGAGGTTGCAGTGAGCTGAGATCATGCCACTGTACTCCAGCCTGAGACAGAGTGAGATTCTAACTCAAAAAAAAAAAAAAAATTATGTGTGATGGTGTGCAACTGTGGTCCCAGCTACTCAGGAAGCTGAGGTGGGAGGATCACTTGAGCCCAGGAGATTGAGGCTGTGTTGAGCCTTGATTGCACCTTGCAGTCTAGGCTGGACAAGAGAGTGAGACCCTGTCTCTTAAGAAAGAAAAAAAGGGCTGGGCGCGGTGGTCACGCCTGTAATCCCAGCGCTTTGGGAGGCCGGGGTGGGCGGATCACGAGGTCAGGAGATCGAGACCATCCTGGCCAACATGGTGAAACCCCATCTCTACTAAAAAATGTACAAAAAATCAGCTGGGTGTGGTGGCGGGCACCTGTAGTCCCAGCTACTCGGGAGGCTGAGGCAGGAGAATGGCGTGAACCCGGGAGACGGAGCTTGCAGTGAGCCGAGATCACGCCACTGCACACCAGCCTTAGCAAAAGAGCAAGACTCTGTCTCAAAAAAAAAAAAAAAAGAAAGAGTTTTATAGTTGTAGCTTTTATGTTTAGGCTGATCCATTTTGAGTAAATTTTTATGTAATGTGCACGGTTTATAATCTGTTTTGCAGTGTACTCTAAATTTACTGGTAATATTAAATATCCATATAATTCTTTAAATTCTAAAGCCCTAAGTCTATGTAAAGAATCAATACAATTCTGGGGGCACTAATTCATTTCCCCCAGAACCGATCCAGTCTCATGAGAGCAAGAACTCACTACTGTGAGAACAGCACCAAGCCATTCATGCGGGTTCCACCTCCATGACCCAAACCCCTCCTGGTAGGCTGCATGCCCCAGCACCACCACAGTAGGGATTAAATTTCAGCATGAGATTTGGTGTGGACAAACCATATCCAAACCGTAGCAGTGGAATAGCTGGATCATATGACAGCTCCATATTTTCCTTTTTGAGAATCATCAGACTGGTTTCCAAATTAGCTACACTGTTTTATATTTGCACCGGCAGTGAAAAGTTTCCAGTTTTTCCATATCCTTGCCAATACTTGTTATTGTTTTTGTTTGTTTTTAAATATTGAACATACTAGTGAGTGTAAAGTGGCATCTCACTGTGGTTTTGATCAGCATTTCCCGAATACCTAATGATATTGATCATCATTTCATGTGCTCATTGGCCATTTGTATGACTTCTTTGGGGAAATATCTATTCAGAACTCCTATGGGGTGAATGTAGTGTCCCCTCAAAATTTGTATGTTGATGCCTTATCCCCACTGTGATGGTATTTGGAGATGAGGCCTGTGGGAGGTAATTAGGTCACGAGGGTAGAACCTTTTTGAATGAAATCAGTGCTCTTATAAGAGGAGACAGGAGAGCTCTCAGGAGCTCCTGCTTCCTGCTGTACCCTGTGAAGGCACACTGAGAAGGTGGCCATCTGCAAACCAGGAAGAGGACCCTCACCAGAACCAATCATGCTGACACACTGATTTTGGATTTCCTAGCCTCCAGAACTGTGAGAAATAGATTTCTGTTGTTTAAGCCACCCAGTCTATTTGTTGTAGCAGCCCAGACTAAGACAAGATCCTTCGCCCATTTCTAAAAATTGGGTTTTTGTCTTTTTATTATTGAAATGTAAGAGTTTTCGATATTCTAGATACACATAATATAAATATTTTCTCCCATTTGGTGGGTTGTGTTTTCACTTTCTTGGTGGTGTTTAAGTTTTATTTCAACAAAGGAAGTATCTGTTATGGATGAAATGGACATTCCTTTTGTTCCTCAAGGCGAGTTAGCCTCCCTACCCCCAAGAGAGACGTAATCACAGCCTTGGTTGGTGTCTTGCCAAGGCATCGTTATATTTTTATTTCTAAGAGAATATTTTGTGTGTCTGAAGAAATTCCATAAATGATATCACCCTGTATATGTCTGATTTATCTCATCTTTTATTTTCTTTTTTTCTTTTTTCTTTTTTTTAAATTTTGAGACAGTCTTGCTCTGTCTCCTCCGCCTCCTAGGTTTAAGCGATTCTTGTGCCTCAGCCTCCCGAGTAGCTGGGATTACAGATGTGCACCACCATGCCTAGCTAATTTTTGTATATTTACTGGAGATGGGGTTTGGCCGTGTCTGCCAGGCTGTTCTCAAACTCCTGGCCTCATGTGATCAGCCTGCCTCAGCCTCCCAAAGTGCTGGGATTACAGGTGTGAGCCACCGCACCCAGCCTATTTTATTTCTTTTAACTGTACGTGTGCATCTTCCCTTCACAAACGTGCGGGGAGGTGCTTTCAAGTCCCTTGTTTTCACAGGATGGCCACAGACCATGCCAGGCCCCAGTCTATCCAGAAGATTCAGAACAGGAAACATGTCATGCGGCAGGGCAGCTTCAGGAGCCCTTTCCACGGGAGGGGTCCTTGTAGCATCCAGGGGTGACAGCTGGGAGCATGGTCCTCCTGACTGGCTGGCCCCTCCACATCACTGCTGAATGCTGTGTACATAGCAAGTGTCTAAGGCCTTGGCCTGGACTTGAAAGTAAATGATTCTGATGTTTCCTTTTTTCTGATGTTTAAGGTGTGATGTTCACATTAATTTCCTATGACCCTAATTATTAAGAATTTTCCTTAGGAGTCTGAGGTTTCCTTAAAGTACTTTTTGAATTTTTGAGATAAAGGATCTATTACTTGAATCTGAGAGTATTTTGATCATGAGTCTTGGTGAGATTTTTTTCATATTACTTTCTGAATGTATTGGGATAAGGTGTAAGGGCGCTGTCTTCTACTTTAATCTGATAATATGGGGAATTGTGTTAATAGATGTTCCAATGTTTCCTAGTCCTTACATTCCTAGGATAAATCCAACTTTGCCATTTTGTTAACCTTACACTGTTAGTTAAACCCCTGTCTGACAATTAATATCACTTATGTGTTCATTTTTGCTTTTTAAAAAATTTTATTTATTTATTGAGACAGGGTCTTGCTCTGTCAGCTAGGCTGGAGTGAAGTGGCACTCTCTCCGTTCACTGCAACCTCTGACCCCCAGGCTCAAGCGATTGTCCCACCTCAGCTTCCCAAGTAGCTGGGACCACAGGTGCATACCAGTACGCCTGGCTTTTTTTTTTTTTTTTTTTTTTTGTATTTTTTGTAGAGATGGGGTCTCACTGTGTTGCCCAGGGTGGTCTCAAACTCCTGACCTCAAGCAGTCCACCTGCCTTAGCCTCCCAAAGTGTTGGGATTACAGGTATGAGCCACCATGTCTGGCCTTTTTCTTGCTGTTTTTTAATGGTCTCTTTCATTTGTCTTTTCAAATGACAGACTTGGTTTTCTTCATTTTCTCAACTGGTTTCTTGTTTTTAATTTCCATAATTTCTGCTGCGATTTTTTTTTTCCCCTGAGGCAGTCTTGCTCTGTCACCCAGGCTAGAGTGCAGTGGCACGATCTCGGCTCACTGCAACCTCCGCTTCCTGGGTTCAAGTGATTCTCCTGTCTCAGCCTCCCGAGTAGCTAGGACTACAGGCACCTGCCACCATGCCTGGCTAATTTTTATACTTTTAGTAGAGACGAGGTGTCACCTTGTTGATCAGGCTGGTCTCGAATGCCTGACCTCAGGTGATCCACCTGCCTCGGCCTCCCAAAGTGCTGGGATTATAGGTGTGAGCCGCCGTGCCCAGCCTCTGCTGTGATTTTTATTAACACTTTCCTTCTACCTCCCATTGGTTTAGTCCATAGTTCTTTCCCATAAGTTGTAAATTGAACAGTGAGATCACTAGTCTTCGGTCTTCTTTTCTTTTAGTCAATTATAATCAAGTTAATGGTGAGCCCTAAAAGTACAACTACATAAAAAGTCCCATTTTTTACATGTTTAAACTGTTTTTTTTTTTTTTTTATCTGTACTTACAAGGTGTTGAAGGTGGGACTTACTCCTGAATCTTCTTTCTAGTGGTGGAATAAGGTACATATCACTTTGAGTTTATGGCTTGTCCAATGAGTTTACAAGCAGTAGGTTGTTTATTGTTGGAGGATCATCAGTCATACAGTGAAGCCAACAAGACCATTCTGAGGGCACCATGCGTTACCCACATCCCAGAATGTGTTATTGCCATTCATTTCAATGATACATAGAACCCATCAGCGATGGCCTAAAGAAAATCTGTGGGCAGCCTTGGAGACCACCATGGCTGTTGACTTGCTGCCATCTGTAGCTTCAGGACCCACAGTAACTTCATCTTTAGTCCCTTTTTTTTTTTTTTTTTTTTTTTTGGAGACAGTCTTACTCTGTCACCCAGGCTGGAGTGCAGTGATGCGATCATGACTCACTGCAGCCTTGAACTCCTGAACTTCTGGGCTCAAGGGATATTCCTGCCTCAGCTTCCCAACTACCTGGGACTAAAGGCGAGTTACACCACCACACCCAGCTAACTTTTTTTTTCTTTCATAGAGACACAGTCTTACTATGATAATCAGGCTGGTTTCAAACTCCTGGCTTCAAGTGATATCCCTGCCTCAGCCTCTAAAAGTTCTGGGATTACAGGTGTGAGCCACCATGCCTGACCTAGCCTTCTTTTTAAAATATAGGCATTAAAGACCAGCATTTTCAATCTAGGAACTATTAGCTGCATTCTGCATTCTCATTTGCCACATGTTTTGAGATGTGCTGTTTTCATCATTGTGTAGTTGTAGGTGTTTTCCTTTTCTTTTTTTTCTTTTTTTTTTTTGAGATGGAGTCTCGCTCTGTCACCCAGACTGGAGTCAGTGGCATGATCTCGGCTGACTGCAACCTCTGCCTCCCAGGTTCAAGCGATTCTCCTGCCTCAGCCTCCCGAGTAGCTGGGAGTACAGGCATGCGCCACCATGCCTGGCTAATTTTTGTATTTTTAGTAGAGATGGGGTTTCACTATATTGGCCAGGCTGGTCTTGAACTCCTGACCTCGTGATCCACCTGCCTCTGCCCCCTAAAGTGCTGGGATTACAAGGCATGAGCCACCGTGCGTGGCCTGTTCTAGGTGTTTTGTAATTTCTATCAGGTTTTCTCTTTGATCTGTCAATTACTGAGAAACAAGTTTTTATTTTTCCAAATAAATAGGAGTTTGCTTTACTCGCTGTTTTATTATATTTGGTTTTCTTTCTGTTACTGGCTTTTAACTTGCTGCCTCGAAGTCAAGAGGCTGTAGTCTGGGCTTTGTTGAACTTTTTCTTTGACCTAGTCAGTGTTAGCAAATATTCCACTTGTGCTTAGAAAGAAAGCATTTTATTTTAATTTGTACGTAGATTTTCATCCAGCTGTGTGATCAGATTGGGTAACTACATTCTGTCCTGCATAACTCTTTTCCATTCTTCTGCGTTTTCATTTCTAAAAGAGGTTCATTAAAACCTCCCACCTGCCGGGTGCAGTGGCTCATGCCTATAATCCCAGCACTTTGTGGGGCCGAAGCAGGCAGATCACCTGAGGCCAGGAGTGCGAGACCAGCCTGGTCAACATGGTGAAACCTGTCTCTACTAAAAATACAAAAATTAGCTGGCGTAGTGGTGGGCACCTGTAATCCCATCTCGGGAGGCTGAGGCAGGAGAACTGCTTGAACCCGGGAGGTAGAGGTTGCAATGAGCCGAGATCGTGCCACTGCACTCTAGCCTTGGCGACAAGAGTGAGACTCCGTCTCAAAAAAAAAAATTAAATAGATAAAATAAAACCTCCCACTATGGCTGGTTGCAGTGGCATGTGCCTATAGTCCCAGCTACTCATGAAGCTGAGGCAGGAGGATCGCTTGTGCTCTGGAGTTTGAGGCCAGCCTGGGCAACATACTGAGACCCCCATTATAAAAATTAAACAATTACATTAAAACATTTTTTAAAATTTAAATATAATCTGAGCTACTTGATCAGAAAAAAAAACCTCAAAAAACAGATAAATAAAATTTCCCACTATCCTTAGATTTGCTGTTTTCTTCCTACAAACCTAGCTGGCTTTGCTCTGTGTTTTTTTGTTGTTGATTGTTTGTTTGTTTGTTTTTTGAGATGGAGTTTTGCTCTGTTGCCCAGGCTGGAGTTCAGTGGGTCAATCTTGGCTCACTGCAACCTCTGTCTCCCAGATTCAAGCAATTCTTCTGCTTCAGCCTCCTGGAGTAGCTGGGATTACAGGCATGTGCCACCATGCCTCGCTAATTTTTGTGTTTTTGTAGAGACATGGTTTTACCATGTTGGCCAGGCTGGTCTTGAACTCCTGACCTCAAGTGATCCGCCTGCCTCAGCCTACCAAAGTGCTGGGATTACAGGCATGAGCCACCGCGCCCGGCCTGCTCTGTGTTTTGAGGCATGTTGTTACTGTTACATTGCCCTGTGATCCTCACTTGAAATTTTTCTTTGGTTTGTAAAGAGCCACAAAACCCTTCTTTGTTTGGCATTCACCTGTCCCATCCTTTCACTTTTGGCTTTTATGTCCTTTTGCTTTAGGAATACCTGTTACAAACATGTTTTTTAATACAGTCTAATGCAGTCTTTATCTGACCCATCAAGGCCATTTATATTTATTGTAATTGTTGATACCTTACTTTACACTTTGTATTTAGTCTGTCCTTTTTGTGCTGTTTTTTACCCCTTACCAGCTTTCTGGATTGATCGGGTTTTTTGTCTGTTTGTTTTTGTTTTTAATTCTGACCTCCCTCTACAATGTTTTTCAACTTCAGTACTATGGACATTTGGGGCTGGATCATTTTGTGTTGTGGAAGTCCATCCTGTGCATTATAGGATATTTAGCAGCATCCGTGGCTCCTAGGAACATCTGCCCCCTAGTCAGACTGACAACCAAAATCATCTCCAGATATTGCCAAGTATCTTCTGGAAGTAGAAACATCCCTGGTTAAAAACTACTGCTCTGTGGGCTTAGATGTTTTATACTACATTTATTCTTTTAATTCTGACTTGAGCAGGTCTAACATGAATCATGAGAAACTTGAGGACTTCAGAACACTTGATTCTGTTGCCCCATTCCCACCTCATTGGCCACTGTTGTCTAGTATATTAGTCTATCCCATTAATTCCAAGTCGTGATTTCTGCATTTCATGTGGTCAGCATTGGATTTGATTTAAATATACATTCATCAGTTTTTTTTTTTTAAGAGATGACATCTCACTGTGTTGCCCAGACTAGTCATAAATGCCTGGGCTCAAGTGATCCCCCCACCTCGACCTCCCAAAGTGCTGGGATTACAGGTGTGAGTCACCACACCTAGCCCACATTCATCATATTCATCAATTCCTTTGTTTTTCCTTCCTTCGTTCTTGGGGTTTTTTTGAAGAACAACATTTTCTAATTCCTCTGGCTAGTATCCTTGGAAATGAACTCTGCTTTTGCTTTTCTGAATTTTTTTTTTTTTTGAGACAGTCTCACTGTTGTCCAGGCTGGAGTGAATCATAGCTCACCGCAGCCTCAACCCCTGGAGCTCAAGCAATTCTCCTACTTCAGCTTCCCAAGTAGTTGGGACTAACAGGCGCATGCCACCACACCCTGCTAATTTTTGTATCTTTTGTAGGGACGGGGTTTCACCATGTTGCCCAGACTGGTCTCAGACTCTTGGGCTCAAGTGACCCATCCACCTTGGCCTACCAAAGTGTTGAGAGTACAGGTATGAGCCACCACATCCAGCCTCTGAAACAGTCTTTATCTCACCTTTGCTCTTGAACAATAGTGTGACTGATAGATTTTTTCCTTCAGTGCTTTGAAAGTAGCCTTCCGTTACCTTTGGGTTTCCAGTTTTTCTATTAAGTGATCTATTGTAATAATTTTCGTCATTCACTGGTGGTTTCTCTTCTCTCTGCTGGCCTTTAAGACCATCTATTGGCCAGGCGCGGTGGCTCACGCCTGTAATCCCAGCACTCTGGGAGGCTGAGGCGGGCGGATCACGAGGTCAGGAGCTCGAGACCATCCTGGCTAACATAGTGAAACCCTGTCTCTACTAAAAGTACAAAAAATTAGCTGGGCGTGGTGGCAGACACCTGTAGTCCCAGCTACTGGGGAGGCTGAGGCAGGAGAATGGCGTGAACCTGGGAGGCGGAGCTTGCTGTGAGCTGAGATCGCACCACTGCACTCCAGCCTGGGTGACAGTGCAAGACTCTGTCTCAAAAAAAAAGAAAAAAGAAAAAGACCATCTATCTACGTAGGTATGGATTGATGTTCGTTTATCCAGCTTTCTGACTCTGAGATACCTACCAGTGGAACTGCTGGGTGGTAGAATATACCTAATTTATGTTTTCTTTTTTTTTTTTTTTTTTCAGACGGAGTCTCGCTCTGTCCCCCAGGCTGGAGTGCAATGGTATAATCTTGTCTCACTGCAACCTCTGCCTCCTAGGCTCAAGCGATTCTCCTACCTCAGCCTCCCGAGTAGCTGGGATTACATGCATGCGCCACCGCGTCCAGCTAATTTTTGTATTTTTAGTAGAGACATAGTTGCCCAGGCTGGTCTTGAACTCCTGACCTTAGGTGATCCACCTGCCTCAGCCTCCCAAAGTGCTGGGATTACAGGCGTGAGCCACTGTGCCTGGCTTAATTTTTGTATTTTTAGTGGAGGTGGGGTTTCACCATGTTAGTCAGGCTGGTCTCGAACTCCTGAGCTCAGGTGATCCACCCACCTCAGCCTCCCAAACTGCTGGAATTATAGGCGTGAGCCACCGCGCCTGCCCCCAGTTTATGTTTTCACAGCTGCCACTAAGGTACCCTGCCAAGCACGCTGACCACTTTCCAAGCCCTCTTCCCTTGTGACCTACCAAAGCTTTATATTATTGTACTTCATTTTATTTTTACTCACGTGAAATGTGTATATTTTGTGTTCTTAAAGTCGCAGTTTGGAATTGCCTGAATGATAGAATGAGAAAATAAATATTGATGTTTTCAGGACATTTCTTTTTTTTCTTTCTTTTTTTTTTTTTTTTGAGGCAGAGTCTCGCCCTGTTGCCCAGGCTGGAGTGCAGTGGCGCTATCGCGGCTCACTGCAAGCTCTGCCTCCCGGGTTCATGCCATTCTCCTGCCTCAGCCTCCCAAGTAGCTGGGACTACAGGCGCCCGCCACCACGCCTGGCTAATTTTTTGTATTTTTAATAGAGACGGGGTTTCACCGTGTCAGCCAGGATGGTCTCGATCTCCTGACCTTGTGGTCCACCTGCCTCAGCCTCCCAAAGTGCTGGGATTACAGGCGTGACCCACTGCTCCCAGCCAATGTTTTCAGGACATTTCTATTTTCCCTTCACGAAGTGCTCTTTGATTACTTTGCCCATTTTTTTTCTTTTTATGTGCTGTTCTGTAAGAATCCTCTGTAGTTCTTGGGCAGTAATTCTTTGTGCTTTTAAATCTTATTTTCTCTCTGTAAGAATCCTCTATAGCTCTTGGGCAATAATTCTTTGTGCTTTTAAGTCCTATTTTCTCCCTATCTGCCACTTGCATTTTGTCTCTTATTGTGTCTTTTATTGGATGGAAAATTTGAATGCTGATATCAGACTTCTTAATCCTTGTCTGTTTTTTATTTTTTGGTTTTTGTTTTTTGTTTTTAAGACATGGTCTCTTTTGCCCAATCTGGAATGCAGTGGCACAATTACAGCTCACTGCAGCCTCAGCCTTCTGTGTGGGCTCAAGTGATAACTCCCACTTCAGCCTCCCAGAGTGCTGGGATTACAGGCATGACCCCCAATGCTTGGCCATATGGTTTTTTGGTTAAGTTTTGTTGATCAAAGTCTGCCACACTTATGAAGGCATACTACATTATTTAAACTTTGACTTTATGTTGCAGCCTGTATCCTTCTGAAATGTAAATACACGCGCACACACACACACACACACACATATACACATATACATGTATATATATTTAAATTGCCTAGAATGTAGACATATATGTATGTATGTATTCTGAGGCAAGGGTCTATTTTCATTTTACCTTAAAAAATAGAAAGAAGGCTGGGCACAATGGCTCATCCCTGTATTTGCAGCATTTTGGGAGGCTGAGGTGGGATAATTGCTTGAAGTTTTTGAGATTGAGGCTTCAGTGAACCAAGATCACACCACTGCACTTCAGCCTGAATGACAGAGCGAGACCCGATCCCACCAAATGAATGAACGAATGAATGGACAACCAGTTGTCTTAATATTGTGAAGTCTGAATGGACAAGGATGGTGACAGGAAGATTGATATGCATGAAGACACATGCAACCATTTACAGAATGCCCTTCATCCCCTAGCCTTGGAGACTGCTTTGTACATGATCCAGTTTTTTTTTTTTTTTTTTTTTGAGACGGAGTCTTGCTCTGTGGCCCAGGCTGGAGTGCAGTGGCACGATCTTGGCTCACTGCAAGCTCCGCCTCCCGGGTTCGCGCCATTCTCCTGCCTCAGCCTCCCGAGTAGCTGGGACTACAGGCGCCCGCCACCACGCCTGGCTAATTGTTTGTATTTTTTTAGTAGAGACGGGGTTTCACCACGTTAGCCAGGATGGTCTCAATCTCCTGACCTTGTGATCTGCCCACCTCGGCCTCCCAAAGTGCTGGGATTACAGGCGTGACCACCGCGCCTGGCCGACATGATCCAGTTTTTATAACAACCATGCAGGGCAGTCTTTGACAGTTTTTGTTTTGTTTTGTTTTTTGAGATGGAGTCTCACTCTGCCGCGTAGGCTGGAGTGCAGTGGTGTGATCTCAGCTCACTGCAACCTCTGCCTACCAGGTTGAAGTGATTCTCCTGCCTCAGCCTCCAGAGTAGCTGGGACTACAGGCATGTGCCACCACGCCTGGCTGATTTTTTTTGTATTTTTAGTAGAGACGGTGTTTCACCATGTTGGTCAGGCTGGTCTTGAACTCCTGACTTCAAATGATCCACCTGCCTCCACTTCCCAAAGTGCTGGGATTACAGGAGTGAACCACTGTGCCCCGCCAGGTCATTGACAGTTCTAAGACTTAGACCCAGAACTTTTAGGTCACCAAGCCTGTGCTTTGTCCTATCCATGAATGCAGAACTTTGATGACAGAGCTGGGGTGAGAACTGTTCCTTCAGTGCTGTTGTAAGCTCATTGTGAAGTCAGAGCTTTGGAAATGTGTACTGATGGGCAGTGTGTGACAGGGACAAGAATGCAGTGGCTGGGATGGAATTCTAGGGGGAGCAGGGATGCTTGGCCTCTGGTCTCTCACATCTCAAACTAATCCTTTTGGTGATGATTTATCCCGAGGTCCATTCCTCCTGCCTGCTCTCTAGGAAGATGAAAATGCTACATGGCTCTTTTTGAATCTGTTCTTGGTTCCATTCCTTGGCTACGATTTTACCTCTTCCTTGTATAAATTTGAATTTAAAAGAGAAAACAAGTAAAAAAATACACATCTTTACACCTAGCCCATCATCATTGTCTGTTTCTCTTACAGATAAAGCTTCATATACCTAAGTCTGCATTTTTCTTCTTTTTGCAGTTTGGGATATGAGATTGAAAATGACGACTCGGAATTTTCCTGAGAGAGAAGTACCCTGTGATGTAGAAGTGGAAAGATTCACAAGGGAAGTTCCCTGCTTGTCCAGTTTAGGTGATGGTTGGGACTGTGAGAACCAGGAGGGACACTTGAGGCAATCAGCTTTAACTCTGGAGAAACCAGGGACTCAGGAAGCAATTTGTGAATATCCTGGTTTTGGGGAGCATTTGATTGCAAGCTCAGACCTTCCACCGTCTCAGAGAGTTCTGGCAACAAATGGTTTCCATGCACCTGACTCAAATGTTAGTGGTCTGGATTGTGACCCCGCCTTACCCAGCTATCCTAAAAGTTATGCAGATAAGAGAACTGGTGACAGTGATGCCTGTGGAAAAGGCTTCAACCATTCCATGGAAGTTATTCATGGAAGAAATCCAGTGAGAGAGAAGCCCTACAAATACCCTGAAAGTGTTAAGTCTTTTAATCATTTTACCTCTCTTGGTCATCAGAAAATAATGAAAAGAGGCAAGAAATCGTATGAAGGTAAGAATTTTGAGAACATCTTTACTCTGAGCTCATCGCTTAATGAAAACCAGAGAAATCTCCCTGGAGAGAAACAATATAGATGTACTGAATGTGGCAAATGCTTCAAACGGAACTCTTCTCTTGTTTTGCATCACCGAACTCACACCGGAGAGAAGCCTTATACTTGTAATGAGTGTGGAAAGTCCTTCTCCAAGAACTACAACCTGATTGTGCATCAAAGAATCCACACAGGAGAGAAGCCCTATGAATGCAGTAAATGTGGGAAAGCTTTCAGTGATGGCTCAGCTCTGACACAGCACCAGAGAATTCACACAGGCGAGAAACCTTATGAATGCCTAGAGTGTGGAAAAACCTTCAACCGAAATTCATCCTTAATTTTGCACCAAAGAACTCATACAGGGGAAAAACCATATAGATGTAACGAATGTGGGAAACCCTTCACTGACATCTCCCACCTTACAGTGCATCTCAGAATCCACACCGGTGAGAAGCCCTATGAGTGTAGCAAATGTGGAAAGGCTTTCCGGGACGGCTCGTACCTCACCCAGCATGAGAGGACTCACACTGGAGAAAAGCCCTTTGAGTGTGCAGAGTGCGGGAAATCCTTCAACAGAAACTCTCACCTCATTGTGCATCAAAAGATCCATTCTGGGGAGAAACCCTATGAATGTAAAGAATGTGGCAAGACTTTCATCGAGAGTGCGTACCTCATCAGGCATCAGAGGATTCATACTGGCGAGAAGCCCTATGGCTGCAACCAGTGTCAGAAACTTTTCAGGAATATCGCTGGCCTCATTAGGCACCAGAGGACTCATACTGGTGAGAAGCCCTATGAGTGTAATCAGTGTGGCAAAGCCTTCAGGGACAGCTCCTGTCTGACCAAGCACCAGAGAATTCACACTAAGGAGACCCCATATCAGTGTCCAGAATGTGGGAAGTCCTTCAAGCAGAACTCTCACCTGGCAGTACATCAGAGACTCCATAGCAGGGAGGGTCCCAGCCGGTGTCCTCAGTGTGGAAAAATGTTCCAAAAGAGCTCATCCCTTGTTCGACATCAAAGAGCACACCTGGGAGAGCAACCCATGGAAACATAATGGTTGGGGGCCACATGAGTCTTCCAGTTCACTCTCACTCCTGTGTTTAGGAGGCGTGTCTTAGATCTGACTCCTCTCTGGTCAGTAGAAAAGAATCCTTTAAGCTATCCAGTGAATTGATGAATGTGAGACATTGCTGAGCCACACTGTTAAGTCTGCTCATTGGGGAACTCCAGAGACAACTTAGGATGAGGGCAGAAAAGTCTTTGGGGATGATTCAGTCTGTACCAGACATGACAACACACACACTGGAATGAAATGTGCAAACATGGGGGTGACACCACAGAGAGAACCTGTGAATGCATTCAGAACATGATTGGAATGAAGAGCCCTGTAGTAGGGAGTTTCCACCTTGTACGTAAGCAAACACTGAATCAACTTTTTTTTTTTTTTCGGACAGAGTCTCACTGTGCAGTGGCATGATCTCCACTCACAGCAACCTCTGCCTCCCAGGTTCAAGCAGTTCTCCTGCCTCAGCCTCCAAAGTAGCTAGGATTACAGGTGCCTGCCACCATGCCTGGCTAATTTTTTCTATTTTTAGTAGAGACAGGGTTTCACTGTGTTGGCCAGGCTGGTCTTGAACTCCTGACCTCATGATCCGCCCACCTCAGCCTCCCAAAGTGTTGGGATTACAGGCATGAGACACTGCCTGGCCTGAATCAACCTTTTTTAAGTGTAATCAGAAAGAGAGGCTTTGGCAGGGGCTCTTACTGTGTTTTCTGTAACAACAAAGGTGTACAATGAGAGAGTCCACACAGTGCTGTACTGCACACACCACAGAATGTGTGAGATTTTCCTGTTTGAATGTATGTCTGCATTATACTCCTGCAATAATGCTGAGGACTCGTTGCAGGAGGGCAAACTAGGTGAATAAATTACCTGTGAATGAACAATGAAGTCGTTCCTCTTAAGACTGAAACAAGCAGGCCAGATGTGGTGGCTCACGCCTGTAATCCTAGCACTTTGGGAGGCCGAGGCGGCCAGATCACAAGGTTAGGAGTTCAAGACCAGCCTGGCCAGCATGGTGAAACCCCATCTCTACCAAAAATACAGGAAATTATCTGGGCATAGTAGTGTGTGCCTGTAATCCCAGCTACTTGGGAAGCTGAGGCAGGAGAATTGCTTGAACCTGGGAGGTGGAGGTTGCAGTGAGCTAAGATCGCACCACTGCACTCCAGCCTGGGTGACAGAGCGAGACTCCATTTCAAAAAAAAAGACTGAAACAAGCTTGTGCTAAGATGGAAAGGGCTGCTTCTAACAGATGTGGTTTGTTGCTTTAGTTGTTGAAGCAAAAATACTGAGTTGTTATGTTTATGTTATCACCCCACCACTACCTCCATGGTTGTTCATTTAGGATGCTTCTAATTCAGCCACTGTGAACCATTATAAAGGTTTTATTGCCATGTTGAAAATGTTTATAATATGGCAAAAAGGGGCATCAAATAGAAGATTTACTATTATTCCAGCCATGTAAAAATATGTGCACATATGGATGTATGTTGAAAGTGGATGATGGAGAAATAAAATGTGGTTTTCTTTGGGGACTGGAATTTTGTATCATATTTTTTTCTCTGTTACAGATACTTGTTGGCATAATAATTTGGTAATAAATTAAAAAGTGAAGCCAAAAGGAGGTTAATTTGGGGTTTCTTTGGACCTTTAGTAGTAGGGACTGGATCAGGGCAACAGGGAAGCTGTAAGTGTGGATGGAGGGGCATTGGGCAGTAGCGTCTCTGGAATCAGCATCCCAAAGCCCAGGGCATGAGAATAACTTCCTTCTTTGGGACTTGGGTTATAAGGGGTTGTCAGTGTAGAAGAGAGAGTGAGTCCCAGAGAATGGAGAACAGGAAGCCTGTAGAAAATTTGGGATGACTTTGGAGTGGCCCTTCCGAGGCAGTGCAGTACTGGCCGAGTGAAAGCCAGTCAAGGTGGATGACACAGCCTTGAAGCCCCATGAGTGGATCCCCTTGGGATTTTGCCTCTAGACAATTTCCTCTCCTGGGAGAAGGGACAGGTGTGACGATAGTGAAGATTAGTGATGAGTCAGTCCAGGACTGGGGTCAGCCAGGCCCATTGTATTAGCTGGATCAAGGTTCATGTGTGTGTGACCTGGTGTCTCCATGGTGCTGGTATTCTGAGGTCCGGACCCTCAGGCCAGCTCGTGGGGAGCTTCAAGCAGCCATGCCTCCTTCTCTGTGTGTGTTCTCTTTTGTCTGGCATCAGCTGTGGCCTCCATGGCACTTGCTGTCTCCCATGAGGCAGCCAACCTTGGTATGCCTCTGATAGCTGTGTCATGGGAAGGGTGGGCAGCCAGTCCTGAGAGAGGAATGAGTAGATAGGTAATGGAGGCACGGAGTGAAGAAGGGAAGAGTGGCCCTGAAAGAGCATTTAGAGAAGTAAAGCTCCCCCACACACATTGGGATATGGTGATCTCATGGTGAGAGGTGCAGGGGCATGGAGGACTAGCGGGGACCCTTGTTGAACCCTCTGGAGTCAGGATGGGATGGTGCTGTGTCCCAGGGTGTGGTGATGGATGAAAGGGGACCAGGCTGACTTGTCTTCTCCAGAGAGTTGCGTTTGAGTATAGCTCACATACAGAAAAGTGCACTGCAGACTCTCCTTGACCCAACTTAAATCAGGATCCCCTGAGCCCTCTGACCTTGGGCTTCTCCCTTTCCCTATAGGATCCAGTTTGAGCAAGATGTTTGGATGTGCATAGTAGCTCACACCTGTAATTTCACCACTTCAGGAGGCTGAGGCAGGAGGATTGCTTGAGCCTAGGCATTTAAGACCAGCCTGGGCAACATAGCAAGACCCCCATCTCTGCAAATAGTAATGTAAAAATTAGCCAGGTGTGATGGCATGTGCCTTTAGTTCCAGCTTATCAGGAGGGAGAGTCAGGAAGAAGGCAGAAGAATCTCTTAAGCCTGGGAGTTTGAGGCTACAGTGAGCCGTGATCACACCACTGCACTGTGGGCTGGATAATGGGGCAAGACCCTGTCTCAAAACAGAATCTGATATGGTTTGGCTCTGTGTCCCCACCCAAGTCTCATGTCAAATTGTAATTCTCTTGTTAGGGGAGGGACCTGGTGGGAGATGAATGGATCATGGGGGCAGATTTCCTCCTTGCTGTTCTCATGATAGTTCACATGAGACCTGCTTGTTTAAAAGTGTGTAGCACTTCCTTCTTCATTCACCCTCTTTCCTGCTCTGCCATGGTAAGACATGCTTACTTCTTCACCTTCTGCCATGACTGTAAGTTTCCTGAGGCCTCCCAGCCATGCTTCATGTACAGCCTGTGGAATCGTAAGTCAATTAAACCTCTTTTCTTCATAAATTACCGAATCTTAGGTAGTTCCTCACAGCAGTGTGAGAATGGACTAGTATAGAAAGTTGGTAACAGGAGTGGGGCACTGCTATAAAGATTCCTGAAGCTACTTTGGAACTGGGTAATGTGCAGATGTTGGAACAGTTTGAAGGGATCCGAAGAAGACAGGAAGTTGAGGGAAAGTGTGGAACTTCCTAGAGACTTAAATGGTTGTGACCAAAATGCTAATAATATGGACAGTGAAGTCTGGGCTGTGGTGGTCTCAGATAGAGATGAGGAACTTACTGGTAACTGGAATAAAGGTCACTCTCGCTGTGCTTTAGCAAAAAGACTGGCAGCATTGTGCTCCTGCTCTAGAGATCTGTGACAGACACAACTTGAGCTTGAGAAAGATTATTTAGAGTATCTGGCAGAATAAATTTCTAAGCAGCAGTGTTGGAGAGGTCGCCTGGCTGCTTCTTAAAGTCTGCACTCAATTGCATAATCAAAGAAATGACCTAAAACTATAACTTACATTTAAACTGGAAGCAAAGCATGAAAGTTTTGAAAATTTGCTGCCCATTTTCTGGCAGGAATCAAAGGCTGCAGAAATGTACATAAGTAAAGAAGAGCTGAAAGTTAATAGGCAAGATAATGAGCAAAATGCCTGCAGGGCATTTCAGAGACCTTCTCAGCCGCCCCTCCCATCACAAGCCTGGAGGCCTAGGAGAGAAAAATGGTTTTGTGGGCCAGGGTCCAGGGCCCCAGTGCTCTGTGCATCCTCAAGACTTGGCATCCTGCATCCCAGCTGCGTCAGTTCTAACTGTGGCTAAAGGAGGCCAATGTACAGCTTGGTCTATTGCTTCAGAGGGTGCAAGTCCCAAGCCTTGGCAGCTTACATGTGGTATTGGACCTGTGGGTGCACAGAAGGCGAGAGTTGAAGTTTGGGAGCCTCTGCCTAGATTTCAGAGGATGTATGGGAACACCTGGACGTCCAGGCAGAAGTCTGCTGCATGGGTGGAGCCCTCGTGGAGAACCTCTGCTAAGGCAGGGGGATGGGGGAAATGTGGGGTTGGAACCCCCACACAGAGTCCCCACTCAGGCACTGCCTAGTGGAGCTGTGAGAAGAGGGTCATCATCCTCCAGAGTCCAGAATGGTAGGTCCACCGTTAGCTTGCACCGTGTGCCTGGAAAAGCCACAAGCACTCAATACCAGCCTGTGAAAGCAGCCACAGGGGCTGTACCCTGCATTGCCACAGGAGTGGAGTGCCCAAGGCCTTGGGAGCCCAGCCCTTGCATCAGTGTGACCTGGATGTGAGAAATGGAGTCAAAGAAGATTATTTTGGAGCTTAAACATTTAATGACTGCCCTGCTGGTATTCAGACTTGCATGGGACCTGTAGCCCCTTTGTTTTGACCAAGTTCTCCCTTTTGGAATAGGGGAATTTACCCAATGCCTGTACCCTCCATTGTACCTTGGAAGTAACTCACTTGCTTTTGATTTTATGGGCTCATAGGTGAAAGGGACTTGCCTTGTCTCAGATGAGTCTTTGGACTTGCACTTTTGAGTTAATGCTGGAATGAGTTAAGACTTTGGGGGACTGTTGGGAAGGCATGATTGCATTTTGCAGTATGAGAAGAATATGAGATTTAGGGGTGGGACAGGGATAGAATGATATGGGTTAGCTCTGTGTTTCTGCCAAAATCTCATGTCAAATTGTAATTCCCAGTGTTGGGGGACAGACCTGGTGGGAGGTGATTGTATCATGGGGGTGGATTTCCCCTTTTGCTGTTTTCATGATAGTGAGTGAGTTTTCATGAGACCTGGTTGTTTAAAAGTGTGTAGCACTCCCCACTCCACTTTGATATCTGATCAAATTCCTTGTCCCCCACCTTCAATGTCTTCTTCCCTGGGCCTGCCTTTAGGAAAACTTCTCTTGAGTTGGTCTGGCAAGAATTCACCCCTTATCTCTGAGGTTTGCACTTAGTAATTTTTCATCCTCCAGACACCCTGCTGCTTCTCGGCTTTAAGCCCTCACTTGTTCTTGTCCAAGCTGGAGTTGAGTCTGGCCTCCCAAGCCCCTCTGTAGTAGCTTCTGGAATAAAGCCTGCCTCACCATGTGTTTGTATGAATGGAATTAGATGTCTGCCTGTTGCACAACATTGTGTAGGTTAGACTCATCCATGTTGCTGCAGGCAGCTGTGGTTTCTCCTCAGTGCTGTGTAATATTCCATGGTGTGGGCGCACTTGAACATGTGGATCTATTCACTGTGAGCAGTGGTTCTCATCCAGGGGCAATTTTGCCCCCAGGGGACATATGGAGACATCTGGGTGGTCATGATGAAGGGTGGCATCTGGCAGGTGGAGGCTGGGGCTGCTGCTAAACATCCTTCAAGGCTCATAATGGCCCCCACAGCAGAGTTATCCAGCCCAGGTGTGAGCTGTGCCAAGGCTTAAGTGTATACATTTCTTGTTCATACTTTCAAAAGAATGAACCCCATTATTGGGGAAAAGTCTTACATTCCCAGGATGTGTACAGTTATAAGTTACAGATTTATGTCTCTGTAGAAATGTGTGTATCATAAGACACAAATCCCTAGTGGACTGTCAGGAATGCCCAGGCTGGGCACTTCACTTTGGTGTCTGCAGCTCTCAAGTAAAATATGCAGGTG
The DNA here is from genome assembly GCF_000001405.40 of Homo sapiens. Classification (NCBI taxonomy): domain Eukaryota; kingdom Metazoa; phylum Chordata; class Mammalia; order Primates; family Hominidae; genus Homo; species Homo sapiens. The sequence goes on along the minus strand of NC_000019.10, from coordinate 58,121,898 downwards.
TTGCAGTTAGTGTCAGCAGCATCTCTACCTCTTGGTTCTACCTTTCAGATTCTGGGATGGACTCATCCCCTGACCAGTTGTGGCCAGAGAGTAAGCATTCTGAAGAAGTGGTGTCAACTATGATATTGGTATGAGCCCCATGGTTTTGTGTGAATTGTATTCCTCTTGATCTTTATTGAAAAAATTTTCTTAGGCTGGGCACTATGGCTCACACTTGTAATCCCAGGACTTTGGGAGGCTGAGGTGGGAGGATCACTTGAGTCCAGGAGTTTGGGACCAGCCTGGGCAACAGACAGAGACCCTATCTCTACAAAATGAAATGAAATAATAATAAATAAGCTTTTCTCAAATTAGCAGGAATCACTGCTGTAATGAACATGTAGTAGTCCTCCCTACCAAATCCAGGGGGATACATTCCAGTACCATGGTGGATGCCTAAAACCTCTTATGACACCAAACCGTATATACAGTTGTCCCTCTATATCTGTGGGAGATTGATTCCAAAACTGCCCTCAGACACCAAATCAGATGATGCTCAAGTCCCTCATATAAGATGGTGTGTATTTACATATAATCTACACACATCTTCCAGTGTACTTTAATGTCTAGGCTGGGCACAGTGGCTCAAGCCCGTAATCCCAGTACTTTGGGAGGCCAAGGCGGGCAGATCAGCTGAGGTCAGGAGTTCAAGACCAGCCTGGCCAACGTGGCAAAACCCCGTCTCTACTAAAAATACAAAAATTAGCTGGGTGTGGTAGCATGCACCTGTAATCCCAGCTACTAGAGAGGCTAAGGCAGGAGAATCACTTGAACCTGGGAAGTGGAGTCTGCAGTGAGCCAAGATCATGCCACTGCACTCCAGCCTGGGAGACAGAGTGAGACTCCATCTCAAAAAAAAAAAAAAATAGTAATGTTTAGATTACTTATGTTCCCTAATACAACGTAAATACTTTGTAATTTTTATACTGTATTGTTTAGGAGGTAATGATGAGGAAAAAAGTCTGCACACGCTCACTACAGATGCAGTGTTTTTTCAAATACTTTCAATCCAAAGTTGGTTGAATCTACAAATGTGGAACCCACGCATATGGAGGGCTAACTGTATACTATGTTTTTTCTTATACTTAACCTGTGATAAGGTTTAATTTATAAAATATTTTTTAAAGTAAAGGTTACTTGAACACAAGTACTGTGATACTATGATGGTTAATTTAATAACCAAGGTGGCTTCTAAAAGTAACTAATAGGGGGTATACAGTGTGGACACACTAGACAAATGCCTGGTTCCCATCCTGGGCGGGATGGTGTGGTACAGCATGGGATTTAATCATGCTACTCAGAGCAGTGTGCAATGTGAAACTTATGAATTGTTTATTTCTGGATTTTCCATTTAATATTTTCAGACCACAGTTGACCTCGGGTAACAAAGGTGGAGAAGTGAAACTGCCAATCAGGAGAGGCTACTGTAATTCAATCACAGAGGATAGAAACTCCTGACCAAAGAGAATATGAGATGTGGACTAGGTGAGTTCCAGATGGATTCTGGGGTAGCCTGGGCCATTGCAAGTTTGGCTGAAATGAGTGGGACATGAGATAGAGAAGAAGGTATCCTGGATTATCTGGATGGGCCCAATCTAGCACACATGCCCTTAAAAGCAGAGATTGTGGGCTGGAGTCAGATGCTGAGGAAGGAGCGAGTAGAGAGCTGAAGTGTGAGGAATCTACTCCCTGTTCCTGGCTTTAAAACTGGAAAGGGGCTGGGCACAGTGCCTCACACCTGTAATCCCAGCACTTTGGGAGGCCGAGGTGGATGGATCATTTGAGGTCAGGAGTTTGAGACCAGCCTGACCAACATGGCAAAACCCATCTCTACTAAAAATATAAAAATTAACCGGGCATGATGTCATGCACCTGTAATCCCAATTGCTTGGGGGTCTGAGGCAGGAGAACTGCTTGAACCTGGAAGGCAGAGGTTGCAGTGAGCCAAGATCGTACCACTGCACTCCAGCCTGGGCAACAGAACAAGACTCCATCTCAAAAAAAAAAAAAAAAAAACCAAAAAACCAACTTATGTTCATCAGAAAGCAATATTATGCAAGTGAAAGGGCAAGTGACAGAGTGGGAGAAGACCATTGTAGAGCCAACAAAAGATTGGCCTCCAAATATATAAAGAACTCAGCATCTCAATAAGAATGCAACTTAATAGAAAAGTTGGCAAATGACTTGAACCAGCCCCCTCATAAACAAGGAAAAGTCCAAATGGCCAATAAGTGCATGAAAGTGTGCCCAACTTTACTACTAATCAGAGAAACCACAATGAGATGCTACTTCACATCACACTAATGGCAAAAATGAAAACAACAGATAGTACCAAGTGTTGACAAGAATGGGGAGCAACTGGGAATCTTATACACCACTGCAGGGGGCACTGTAAACTAGTGTTATCTCCTAACCTGAACAGGTGCACCCATGAAGAGACAGCTGCAGTCCTAGGCATTCACCCAACAGAAATACAAACCTGCTTATCAAAAGATGCACACACAATGTTCACAGCAGGTTCCTTTGTAGTAACTCCCAACTGGAAACAGCCCAAATATCCACTGACAGGAAGGAAAATGAGCAAATGGTGTATTCACAGTGGAGCATTTTATACGATCACATAAAATGATTATTGTGCCCTGGAGGATTACACAACCAAGTGAAGTGGTTATTGCACCATGGAAGATTACACAACCACATGAAAGGGTTATTGTGGCGTAGAGTATTACACAGCCTTGTAAAGTGGTTATTGTGCCATAGAGTGTTATGCAATGGCGTAAAGTGGTTATTTTGGCACGGAACCTTATGCATGGCAATGGGTTTTTGTGCCATGGAGAGTTACACAACCGCATGAAGGGGTTATTGTGCCATGGAGTCTTACATAACTGCGTAGAGGGGTTATCGTGTCGTGGGGTCTTATACAACCGTGTAAATGGGTTATTTTCGATGGAGCATCACACAACTGAGTAAAATGGTTATTGTGCACGGAGCGTTAAACGACCGCATGAAGGTGTCAGCGTCCATTGGCGCGTTCCACACCCCTGTAGAGGAGTGACTCCAGGCCCCAGTCCCCGACGCCGTGAGAGGAAGGAGACACAGCAGCCTACGAGTGGGACCCGTGTGAACGAGATTCTGCCGAGACCACGCGCGCCCAGGGTGGTGCAGGCTCGCAAGCGGATATACGGCTGGTCAACCTGAGAGACAAGGTGCTCGTCCGCAGCGGCTCAAGGCAGCCCACGTGCGCTCCCGGCGTCTTTCCGTCTGTTAAACCTCACCTACCAGCAGAAGCGAAGGACAAAGAACCCCGAAAGGCAGCACTGCGAGCGCTCCCAGGTTCTGGCTGCCAGGCAGCTGCGGCCACGGCCCCGCCCCGGGCCGGCCCCGGCCCCGCCCTCGTCGCACTAGGCCCCGCCCCCAGCGTCCGGTGTCACCGGAATATCGCATCCGGGAACTCTGCGCGCCCATGCGGAGAGTCGGAGGGCGAGCTGACGAGGACGCTACGGCGGCGGGAAGTGAGTTCCGTCCTCTCGCGGCCTCTCGGGTCTGTTTCCTCCGTTCCCGCCCACCGGTCGCGGAGCCAAGGCCTAGTGAGGGTGGGGTCAAGGACTCCAGAGCGGCTGGGGCTGGGCGGTGGCTGCGTGGTCGCTCTTTCTGTCTGTGAGGGTACGCGGCAGCCCTGCTCTGGGCAGGGGCTTGTTAGGGGCGCTGGCTTGTGGTTCCCGGCGGGGCGGGCGTGAGGAACTCTCTCCGCCAGGCGCGGACCGTCCCGCGTGTCTTCTCCCCTTGGCGTGCGGGGCTGGTACGCGCATCTCCTCGCCGGGCGCGGACCCCCTAACGCCTCTCCCCGCAGGGCGCGAGCCCTCTACTCTCCTTTCGTGGTGGGGCGCGGACCCCTACTCCCTCCTCTTCGTTGGGCGTGGGCCCCCATACCCTTCTCCCCAGTGCGGTGCCAACTCCGAATTTCCTCTCCCTTCGCCCTGTGGAGCACGGACCCTCTAACTCTCTCTCCTAGTGGGCGCAGGCCCCCTTTGGGGCGGGGGCTCATTTCTCTTCCTCTACCCTCCCACTGGGGCGGATCCCTTTTTTTTTTTCGCCTGTCCCTTAACCTCAGCCTCCCCAATATTCTCTTTTTTTTTTTTTCCTGCGGGCACAGATGGCCTTTTCTCACCTTCCCAGGGTATGGACCCCTCCTCTCTTCCTGCACAGGTGCGGACGCCCCTCCCTTCTGCCTCTCCTCACAAGATTTGGGCTTGAACAACCTATTCTGCTTCCCGTGTCTTACTCCCAAGGACGCTTTCCCCACTTTTCATCCTACTCCTCCTAACAACCCTGTTCTTCCTCTCCTTTATCCCAAGAGATGGCTTCCTCCTCTGCCCCTTTAGGGTTGTGTGTTCCTTCCCCTTCCTACCCACTGTGAACATTCCCAGCCAGGCTTCCTCCCATCCCTGCTGGGTTCTGACTCCACTGACTTGCCCTTCCTCCCTTCCCTGCGGTTGTATACTGGGCTGCCCTCTCCACAAACCTCTGATGCCCGAATGCTGACCCCCAGGGACAGGCCTCTCAGACTTTGGGATCCTCAGCTGAGCATCTACTCTCCCCCAAACTCAGTCTTTCTAGTCTCTCCAAGTGGTGACTCCCTCCACCCACAATCCTCTTTGTCCACCTGGATATTTCTCTTTTCCCCAATCCCCACATCGTCTCTGTCCAAAATCCCATGGCTTAACCTTTAAGATATTTCCAGAATTCAGTTAGCTGGGCGTTTTACAATGACATAAATTAAAATTCAAAAGTAGTGTCAGAGGATCTCACATGTCCCCTAAAGCACGCGCTTTTAATCCCAGCTGCTCGGGAGGCTGAGGCAGGAGGATCGCTTGAACCTGGGAGGCGGAAGTTGCGGTGAGCCAAGATCATGCCACTGCACTCCAGCACTGACAGAGCGAGACTCTGTCTCAAAAAAATAGAAGTAAAAAAGATATTTCCAGAATTTAGCCACATCACCACACCTCTACTCTCTGGTACGGGCATCTCCTTGCTCCCGTGCCTCTGGCCTCCTCACGATTCAGTGGAAGCCTGTCAGGTCACATCTGTCCTCTAAACACTCTCCTTACTCAGTAACAGGCAGAATCCTCACATGCCCTAGGACTGGGGCTGCTAGGCTAAGGACTGTTTGCTGCTGGGTTGCAGGTGATGATGATGGAGCTTGCATCAGGTGAAATTCCGTGCCCTAGCTTCTTCCTTCGGCAGTTCATTCTCTGAGGTTGCTTGGCTTTTGAGTTGTGGGCAGTGGATAGAGATTGGGACGGTTTGGGAAAGGAGCTGTAACTCAGAAACTGGATTGCAGGTATGTGCTTCCTCAGTTTGCAGAGCGTTTGATAGTGACAGATTCTGCAGTTCTTTGCCTATTCCCATACCAGAATGCCTACTCTGTGAGGTGGAGGTCTTCATCTGTCTGATCCACTGCTGAATTATTGATACCTAGAACAGGTCCTGGCATACAGTACGTGTTCAGTAAATGTTTGCAGAATGAAAGAAAAAGAGCCATCCTTGTGACCACAGGAAGCTGGCCCTTTTCCCACAGACTTAAGATCACAGAGGGGGTGTGTGATGAATTCACTGCACATTTATCTAGTGTGCCCAGGCCGTTTTTTGGGGGTTTTTTTTAGAGTTTTTTCCTTTGTGATATCCAGTGCCTCGGGCAATATGGAGTATGGGGTGTTTGTGTGTGCATGCGTGCGTGTGTTTGAAATTGGCATGCTTTATGTGCTACAAGACTTTGCAACCTTCTTCTCTCCCCAACCTTGTACTAGGTGAAGCTTTCAGTACACCGGCCTTCACTGCTCTATACTATTCTACCTTGTGAAAATGCCACAGTTTTTTTTGTCTTGCCTTTCCTGTTGATGAACATCTTGGAAGTTTCCAGGTTTTCAGCGTTTCCACCAGTGCTTTAGGGAGGCAAGTTGAATGTGTATCCTTGTAAGGGTTTTTCTAGCCTGTAGGTTTTCAAAATTTTCACACAAGCATTGAGAGAAACATGTACATGATGACTTGCATGCATACTAACTGTAACAAAAGTTTGATGAAACCACGCTTGCTAAATGTGAGATCCTCTGATACTACTTTTGAATTTTAATTTGTCATTGTAAAAAGGATGCCAGTGTGGATCCACCACATCTCTTGGCATTTAGAATTTTTTATTTCAACCTAGTTCTTCTGAATTGTTCTTCAGAGAGGCTGTGGCATTTCTTATACTAACAAAGACATGTTAATGTTGTGGGAACTACCCGTAATATAATGTTAACTAGGAAAAACAAAAAAGGACCCAAGTTATATACACACGTTGACTCCACCTGTTTCAAAATGATTCTCTGTGAAGAAAACAGGAAGTAAATGCACCCAAGGCTCAACAGTGAGATTATAGATTATTTTTATTGTCTTTGTACTTATTTATGTTTTCCAGATTTTCTGCAATGAACATGCATTAATTCTGCAGTGATATCTTTAATATAAAATATTTAAATGGAATTTGAAGTTTTATTTAAATAGTAAGCTCCCTGTTGAATCCAGAATAGAATTATATTTGCCCTATTTTCACTTACTTGTCTTCTCAGAAACAATATTTAGCTCACAAACAGATTAAATAGGATTGAACTTGGATCAGCTGCCAACCACTGGGAGCAGCTAGAGGGCCAGTTGATTCCAGGGTTTGCCCCAGGAACCTGTGAGTGCTTTGGATAGCTCTGCCTTGCCCTGACTCCAGTTCTTAGTGGCTGACACTTCTGGCCTTCCTTTAGTGTCCTGCAACAAAACCTATTGCCTGGAAAGGGCCTTACAAACTAGCATTTTCCCAGTTGGTAACTCCATAGTTGTTTTTTAACAGCTTCTAGCGCTAGCATCATATTTTTCCCCCTTGAACACTTACAACCGTCTCTTGAATGCCTTTTGAGAAACCTGTTATAAGTTCACCTCACCAAGGTGTTAATGAATGATGATCCTGGAATATCTCTCCAGGAGGCATTTATATTTCCCCTGCCTACTTTATATTTTGACAAGTTTCTGAAATACTCTAACAGAAAAGTTGAGAAAAAAGAGTATCATGAATGCCCATCACCCACTCCGAGATTCACCAATTAATATTTTGCCATATTTGTTTTATGTGCCTGTAATATATAACACACTATATATTTATTAATGTATATTTGTGCATACGTGTATATATACATACTTGTTTATATATTTGGGGGCATATGTGTGTATACATGTATTTTTGTATGTATATATGTATGTGTATATTGTGTATATATTTATATAATGTACATTTGTATATTTATCTGTGCGTATATGTATTATGTGTGCATGTGTTTAAGTATATGTATGTCTACATGTATATATATTTATTACAAGTATGACACTTTACTCATAAATATGTTGGCACATACATTCTAAGAATAAAGACATTCTTTTGCATAACCATAATACTGTATCACACCTAAGAAAATGAGCAATAATTTCCTGTTATCATGTGATAACCCATCCTTTTCAAAATTTCCCAATTCCTAATTATATTATGACATTATTATTATCATCTTTTTTTTGAGACAGAGTCTCGGCCTGTTGCCCAGGCTGGAGTACAATGGCATGATCTTGGCTCACCACAACCTCTACCTCCCAGGTTCAAGTGATTCTCCTGCCTCAGCCTCCCAAGTAGCTGGGACTATAGGCACGTGCCACCATGCCGTGCTAATTTTTGTATTTTTAATACAGATGGGGTTTCACTATGTTGGCCAGGCTGGTCTTGAACTCCTGACCTTGTGATCTGCCCACCTTGGCCTCCCTTAGTGTTGGGATTACAGGCGCGAGCCACCACGCCCAGCCTTATTATTTTTTGAGCTGGAGTCTCTCTGTTGCCCAGGCTGGACTACAGTGGCACGATCTTGGCTTATGGCAACCTCTGCCTCCTGGGTTCAAGTGATTGTCCTGCCTCAGCCTCCCGAGTAGCTGGGATTTCAGGCGCATGCCACCACACCTGGCTAATTTTGTATTTTTAGTAGAGATGGGGTTTCACCATGTTCCCTAGGCTGGTCTCGAACTCCTGACCTCAAGTGATCCACCCACCTCAGCCTTCCAAAGTCCTGGGATTATAGTCGTGAGCCACTGCGTCCAGCCATTATGGTATTATTTTTGAGCCAAGTCTTACCACGGTTGTGAAAAGAAATTGAATTTTGGGACTCCAAACTCATTTAGTCAAAGAGAAAAGTCAAGCTGGAAACTGGGTCAAGCAAACCTGCCTCCCCTGTTCCTAAATAAGGTGGCTACAAGATGAAATGCTACATGCCTCCCCCATATTTTGCCCACAAAGAAATTCCTGGTGAGCTGTTGTGAAAACTTCACCATGGCAATGCAAATTGATAGCTTATCTTTACAAGTGCAGTCACCCCGGCATCCCAGACACAAATGCGTATCTGATTGTTCCCCTGCCCCATTTTGTCTGTGTTATCCTAATGCAGATTCCCCACATTTTTCTTCTGCCCCGCCTTTTTTTTTTTGGAGACAGAGTCTTGCTTTGTCACCCAGGCTTGAGTGCAGTGGCGTGATCTCGGCTCACTGCAAGCTCCGCCTCCCGGGTTCACGCCATTCTCGTGCCTCAGCCTCCCGAGTAGCTGGGACTACAGGTGCCCGCCACCACACCTGGCTAATTTTTTTGCATTTTGAGTAGAGATGGGGTTTCACCGTGTTAGCCAGGATGGTCTCGATCTCCTGACCTCGTGATCTGCCTGCCTCGGCCTCCCAAAGTGTTGGAATTACAGACGTGAGCCACTGCGCCTGGCCCTTGACCCTTTTGTTTATGTGAAAATTGTGTTTCTCAATATCCTGACCTGTCCCCTTTAAATTCTTTTTTTTTTTTTTTTTTTGAAACGGAGCCTTGCTTTATCGCCCAGGCTAGAGTGCAGTGGTGTGATTTTGGTTCACTGCACCTTCTGCCTCCCAGGTTCAAGTGATTCCCCTGCTTCAGCCTCCCGAGTAGCTGGGATTACAGTTGCCCGCCACCATGCCTGGCTAATTTTTTGTGTTTTTAGTAGAGAAGGGGTTTCACCATGTTGGCCAGGCTAGTCTCAAACTCCAGACCTCAGGTGATCTGCCCCCCTCGGCCTCCTCAAGTGCTGGGATTACAGGCGTCAGCTGAGCTTGGCCTAAACTTTTTTTTCTTTTTTTTGAGACAGTCTTGCTCTGTCGCCCAGGCTGGAGTGCAGTGGTGTGATCTCGGCTCACTGCAATCTCCGCCTCCTGGGTTCACGCCATTCTCCTGCCTCAGCTTCCCGAGTAGCTGGGACTACAGGTGCCTGCCAGCACGCCCAGCTAATTTTTTTGTATTTTTGGTGGAGACGGGGTTTCACTGTGTTAGCCAGGATGATCTCGATCTCCTGACCTCGTGATACGCCCACCTCGGCCTCCCAAAGTGCTGAGATTACAGGCGTGAGCCACCACGCCCAGCCTTGAGTATGTTTTTTAATCATGCCAGGGTGTTGGGGCTAGACGCAATGGCTCACACCTGTAATCGGGACATTTTGGGAGGCCGAAATGGGCGTATCGCTTGAGCACAGGAATTTGAGACCAGACTAGGCAAAGTGGCAAAAACCCCATCTCTGCAAGAAATACAAAAATTACTGGGAATCTTGCCTTGTGCATGTAGTCCCAGCTATGGGGAGACTGAGGTGGGAGGATCACCTTACCCCAGGGCAGTCGAGGCTTCAGGGAGCCATGATTGCACCACTGCACTCCAGCCTGGGTCACAGAGTAAGACCTGGTCTCAAAAACAAAAAAGTAAAATAAAATAAAAAGTAAAGAAAGGCAGGGGTCGGGTTTGGAATTTTGTCCAATGCTTTTAATGCATCATTTGAGATGGTCGTGTTTTTTTCTTTATCCTGTTATTGTGATGTCTTACATTAACTAATTTTCGCATGTTGAAATATCCTTGCATTCCATGAACAGTCCTACTTGCTCGTGGTGTGTAATCCTTGTAATACACTGATGAATTCAACATTTAAGGGATATGGTTTCTAGGTTTCTTGTAGTGTGCTTGCCTGGCTTTGGTATCAAGGTAATGCTAGCCTCATAGGATGAGTTAGGAAGTGTTCCCTCCTGTTTTGGAAGAGTCTGAGAGGAATTGGTATTAATTCTTCTTTAATTGTTTGGTACATGCTGGGCATAGTGGCTCATGCCAGTAATCCCAGGACTTTGGGAGGTCAAGGTGGGAGGATTGCTTGAGGCCAGGGGTTGATGACCAGCCTGGACAACATAGTGAGACCATGTCTCTATTTAAAAAAAAAAAACAAAAAAACAACTTTATAAGTAGCTGCACATGGTGGTGCATACCTGTAGTCCTAGCTACTTTGGAGACTGAGGCAGAGGATTAATTGAGCCCAGGATTTGGAGGCCACTGTGAGCTGTGATCACACCACCGCATTCCTGCCAGGGTAGCAGAATGAGACCCTGTCTTAAAAAAAATTTTTTTCGGGGGGTTCAGTTTTAACCATGCAAACAACCATGAGAGCTACTGTTGAATGACAAGTCCAAGACAAGAGCATGTGGATGGTGCAATCCTGCTCACATGGAGTTCAGGGCCAATCAAAGCAGTCTGTAGTAATGGAGGTCAGAGCAGCGATTACCTCCAGAAAATGGGAATTTTTTTTTTTTGAGACGGAGTCTTGCTCTGTCGCCCAGGCTGGAGTGCAGTGGCGCGATCTCAGCTCACTGCAAGCTCCGCCTCCCGGGTTCACGCCATTCTCCTGCCTCAGCCTCCCGAGTAGCTGGGACTACAGGCGCCCGCCACCACGCCTGGCTCATATTTTGTATTTTTAGTAGAGATGGGGTTTCACTGTGTTAGCCAGGATGGTCTCCATCTCCTGACCTCGTGATCCACCTGCCTCAGCCTCCCAAAGTGCTGGGATTACAGGCGTGAGCCACCGTGCCTGGCCTAAAAATGGGTATGTTTTATATCATGGATTGTCATACACACATGGAGTGTGCATACACATATGAACACTCATGAAAATACATCTAAAGACTCAGTGAGTCATCCACTTTGAATTTATTCTGTTTAAATTATGCTTCAATTTATAATAAAAGGGTGATTATAACTTGGACCACAGTGGTGGAGGAAGTGTAAATTGGTAGGATACTGTGTGTATTTGAAAGTCAAAGCTGATAGCTTAGGTGTGACTTTTGAGAAAAGGGAGAGTGGAGAATGGAGTATGTTCCATCCCAGTGGAGCAGGTTTCTGGCCTCTTCCACTGAGAAAATGGGATGGCTGTTTACTGGGATTGGGAAGACTCAGGGAGAAGCAGCATGGGCCATGCCACAGCTTTTGGTCTCTTCAGGGTGTAATGATGGGCAGATCTCTAAGGGTTGGGTGGCCTAGACAGTCCAGTATGCATGTCTGGATTCAGAGGGGCCGAGTGGGTTGGGAGGCCTGGACAGTCTAGTATGCATGTCTGGATTCAGAGGGGCCGAGTGGGTGGGACAGGTGAAGGAAGAATGGTAATGGGAGTGGAGAGGAGAGTGGAAGATGATTTCTGTTTGGATAGACAGAAAAGCAAAGCATCAGGAGACACTGAAGAAGCATCTTGGGGACAGTTGGAGATCAAGTTCTTCTCAGTGAAGGGACTTCAGAAATACAGCTAGAGGATGGGCATGGTGGCTCACACCTGTAATTGCAGAACTTTGGAAGGCTGAAGCCGGAGGAGCACTTGAGGCAAGGAGTTTGAGACCAGCCTGGGCAACATAGTGAGACTTGTCTCTACAAAAAATAATTTTTAAAAAATTTTCTGTGAGTGGTAACATGCACCTGTGGTCTCAGCTACTCAGGAAGCTGAGGTGGGAGGAGCCTAGGAGATTGAGTTCAGGCTGGGCAACATAACCAGAACCTGTCCCTTTTTAAAAATCATAATATCTAAAGTGATATTTATTCACTATCCTTCATCCATCTTTATATTCTCTTCCTACCATGCAGGTGTATAACTGAAAAAAAATCTATGTTAATTTTTTAAAAATCTGGCTAATTTATTTGGTAGGATGTGTGTGTGTGTGCACATATGATTTTGTAAAAGCTTTTCCTGGAAGTATACATGCTAAAAAATACATAAATGTAAAACTAGAAGTTTTCACAAAGTAAATATACTGTGCACTTTCAGTATATATACTTCCTCTTTCAAATAATATGCCTGAGAAATGTACCCATATTTTTGTGTACTCTTAGTTTATTCACTTTTGTTAATGTGTGGTATTTCATCATGTAAGTAAACCACAAGTTTTCCATTTCCCAGTTGGTGACATTTGGATAGTGTCTAGTCTCGGGCTATTAGAAAGAGTGTTTCTATGAACATACATACACATTTCTTTTGATTGTACCCTTGCAAGTGGAATTGCTGTGTCACAGAATGGGCACAGCATCAGATATAATAGATACTGGCCTGGCTGATTTTAATGTTTACACATTACCATTCTAACTCTAGCAATTTTTTCTCTAAGGATTCAAAAATTTTCCCCTTTTCCTTTCCAGCCTGGGAAACAAAAGTCAAATGGAAGCATCAACTTGGGATGGTGTTGGGAAGGAACTATCCAATTTGGTGAAAATAAAAAGGTTCATCAGGGATGATTCCTGTTTTATCTGCATTAGGAGAGGTCTGGGAATGTGAGGACCAGGTAGAAATGCTCCATAGAAATCCAGAGGTGCATTTGAGGCAAACAGCATCCACACACAAGGACCCAGAGCATCTATGAGGGGCTGTGGTCACCATGACCATTGTGGTCATCTGCTCAGTCCTAGCTTCATGTCAAAGAGGTCCTCAAACAACAGGTTTCTGTGAACATGACTCAAAGGTTAAACATTTTAGTTACATACATAATTGTCAGAAAGGCTCTAACGGTCAAATTCTTGAGGAAAATGATGACTGTAGAGCAGCCATCAGCCAGGGTGGACAACCTAGCCACCTTGATGAAGATCTAACAAGGAGATGAGCCTTCAAAATGTAACGAAGGTGGTAACTCCTTCAGCCTTTCTACACACCTTAGTGAACAACATGTAATTGCCAGAGAAAGGAACAACACAAAGGAGAAGGACACGAGGAGGTGTTTGATAGGGACACATGTCCTTATGAACACAATGGAAGTATCTCTGGAAATGAATACAATGACAGTGAATGTGGACTGTCCGTTAGACCGAAATCTCATTTCATCAGTCACCAGAGGACTCATACTGGAGAGAGCCCTTATACCTGTAATGACTGTGGAAAATCCCTCTCTAAGAATTACAACCTGATTGTACATCAAAAAATCCACACAGGAGAGAAATCCTATAAATGCAAGAAGTGGGAAAGCCTTCAGTGCTGGCTCCACCTTTACCAAGCATGAGAAAACCCACATAGGAAAGAAGCCCTGTGAAAGGAATTGGTATGGGAAGACCTTCAGCTGCCACTCTTCCCTTGTTTTGCATTTCAGAAGTCATACTGTGGAAAAACTATTCGAATGTAATGAATGTGAAAAATCCTTTTCTGATGTCTCCAACCTTATTGTCCATCTGAGAATTCACATGTGAGGGGAGCCCTATGTATGTACTGGGTGTAGAAAGGCCTTCATTGATCACACATAACTTATTAAACATGGGAGAATTCACATTGGAAAGAGACCCTATATGTGTATGGAGTGTGAAAAATTCTCCAACCACAACAGTCAGCTCTTTTGCATCAAAAAAATCATTCTGGAAAGAAATCTCATGAGTTAAACAATGTGAAAAAATCTTTCACTGAGATTATGTACCTCATCAGGCACAAGAGGATTCATACTGGTGAGAAGGTCTGTGGCTGTAACCAGTGTCAAACTTTTCAGGAACATCGCGGGCCTCATCTGGCACCAGAGGACTCATACTGGTGAGAAGCCCTACGAGTGTAATCGGTGTGGCAAAGCCTTCAGGGACAGCTCCTGTCTGACCAAGCACAAGAAGGTACATGCTCAGGCGACCTTGTGCCAGTGTGTCTAGTGTGGGAAAGTTTTCCCAAGTATCTGTGCTCTCGCTAGAAACCAGAGTTGACACATTGGACTGAGACCTATGGGGATTCAGTGAGCATCTGTGGCAGTGACTGATCTGATTTTCTTTGCCTCCTCTTTGTCAGAGACTTCATGTTGAAGAGTTTATGTTGTTTGAAAGTAACAAATATGTTTTTCCATCTATAAATGGAAGAAAAAATCCTGGATGACAGCACATGTGTTTACCGCATGGTGCACTCAATATTTTATTTTATTTTTGAGACAGAGTTTCACTCTTGTCACCCAGGCTGCAGTGCAGTAGTGTGATCTCAGCTCCCTGCAGCCTCTGCCTCTTGGGTTCAAGCGATTCTCCTTCCTCAAACTCCTGAGCAAGTAGCTGGGATTACAGGTACCCACCATCACACTAATTGTTTTGTATTTTTTTTAGTAGAGATAGGGTTTCACCATGTTGGTCAGGCTGGTCTTGAACTCCTGACCTGAAGTGATCTGCCCACCTTGGCCTCCCAAAAGTGATGAGATTACAGGCATGAGCCACCATGCCCGGCCTGTGCTGAATATTTTAAACCCACTGTTGAGACTTCCTCAGAATAAAGATTCCTTTCAAAATATGGCTGCTTGTTGACAAGAGCTGTGATGAAGATGTACAGGGAGATGAATGTTGTTCTCACACCTGCTAACACAACATGTATTCTGCAGCCCATCATAGATCAGGAGTAATTTTGACTTTCCAGTCTCATTATTCAAGAACAGATGTCTTGGCCAGGCACGGTGGCTCACGCCTGTAATCCCAGCACTTTGGGAGGCCAAGGTGGGCAGATCACGAGGTCAGGATTTCGAGACAAGCCTGACCAACATGCTGAAACCTCATCTCTACTAAAAATACAAAAAAAAATTAGCCAGGCGTGATGGTGCACACCTGTAATCCCAGCTACTCAGGAGACTGAGGCAGGAGAATTGCCTGAAGCTGGGAGGCAGAGGTTGCAGTGAGCAGAGATCGAGCCACTGCACTGCAGCCTGGGAAACAGAAGGAGGCTCCATTTCAAAAAAAAACAAAAAAACAAAAAAAACAGATGTCTTTTTTTCTTTCTTTCTTTTTTTTTTTTTTTTTTTTTTTTTGAGACGGAGTCTCGCTCTGTCGCCCAGGCTGGAGTGCAGTGGCGGGATCTCGGCTCACTGCAAGCTCCGCCTCCCGGGTTCACGCCATTCTCCTGCCTCAGCCTCCCAAGTAGCTGGGACTACAGGCGCCCGCCACTACGCCCGGCTAATTTTTTTTGTATTTTTAGTAGAGACGGGGTTTCACCGTTTTAGCCGGGATGGTCTCGATCTCCTGACCTCGTGATCCGCCCGCCTCGGCCTCCCAAAGTGCTGGGATTACAGGCGTGAGCCACCGCGCCCAGCCAGATGTCTTTTTTTCTTTTGAGACATGGTCTCATTCTGTTGCCCAGGTTGGAGTGCAGTGCTGCAACCATGGCTCGCTGCAGCCTCGACCTCTAGGCTCAAGTTGTCCTCTCACCTTAGCCTCCTACATAGCTGGAACTACCAGCATGCACCACCACGCCTGGCTAATTTTTTTTATGTTTTGTAGAGACGGCATCTCACCATATTGCTCAAGCTGGTCTTGAACTCCTGTGCCGAAGTGATCCTCTTGCCTCATCCTGACAAAGTGCTAGTATTACAGGTGTGAGCCATTGTGCCTGGCCTAGAATGCTCTTAATGGCATCTAGCATAGTGAATCATTTCCAGAAGGTTTTTAATTTACTTTCCCTGGATCCATCCAAGGAATCATTACTATCTATGGCAGCTATAGCCTTACAAAATACATACCTTTTTTTTTCTTTTTTGATAAGGATTCTCACTCTGTTGCCTCGGCTAGAGTGCAGTGGCGCGATCTCAGCTCACTGCAGCCTCTGCCACCTGGGTTCAGGCGATCCTGATGCCTCAGCCTCTTGAGTAGCTGGGACTACAGGCATGTACCACTATGGCCGGCTAATTTTTTATTTTTAGTAGAGATAGGGTTTCACCATGTTGGCCAGGCTAGTCTTAAACTCCTAAGCTCAAGTAATCCACCTGCTTCAACCTCCCAAAGTGCTGGGAATACAGGCATGAGCCACCACGCATAGCTGCAAACTGCATTCTTCTTTTTTATTTTTTATTTTTTTGAGACGGAGTCTCACTCTGTTGCCCAGGCTGGAGTGCAGTGGTGCGATCTCTGCTCACTGCAAGCTCTGCCTTCCGGGTTCATGCCATTCTCCTGCCTCAGCCTCCCGAGTAGCTGGGACTACAGGCACCCGCCACCACGCCCGGCTAATTTTTTGTATTTTTAGTAGAGACTGGGTTTCACTGTGTTAGCCAGGATGGTCTCGATCTCCTGACCTCGTGATCCACCTGTCTCAGCCTCCCAAAGTGCTGGGATTACAGGCCACTGCGCCTGGGCCAGCTAAACTGCATTCTTAAATAAGAAGACTGGAAAGGCAAAATTATTACTCCTTGGTCCATGGGCTGCAGAATACACGTTGTGTTGGCAGTTGCGAGAACAACATTAATTTCCTTCTATGTCTTCATCAGAGCTCTTGTCAGTGAGCAGCCATAATTTGAATCTTTTTTTCTCAGGAGGAAGTCTCTCAACAGTGGGTTTAAAATATTCAGTACACCATACTGTAAACACGTACTGTCATCCAGGCTTTGTTTACATTTATAGACAGCACTCAGAGTAGATTTAACTTAAATCTTAAGGCCCTAGGGTTTTCAGAATGGTAAATGAGCTTTGGTTTCAACTTAAAGTCACCAGTTGCATTAGCCCTTAACAAGAGTCGGCCTGTTCTTTAAAGCTTTGAAGCTAGGCACTGACTTCTTTCTAGTTGTGAAAACACTACCTGGCATTTCTTCCAACAGAAGGCTGTTTTCTTTACATTTAAACTGTTGTCTACTGTAGCGACCTTCCTCAGTGATCTTAGCTAAATCTGGAGAACTTGCTGCAGCTTCTGCATTAGCACTTGCTGCTTCACCTTGCACTTTTATGTTACGGAGATGACTTAAACTTCATGAACCAACCTCTGCTAGCTTCAGACTTTTTTATTTTATTTTATTTTATTTTATTTTATTTTATTTTATTTTATTGAGATGGAGTCTCACTCTTTTGCCTAGGCTAGTGTGCAGTGGCATGATCTCGGCTCACTGCCAACCTCTGCCACCTGGGTTCAAGCAATTCTCATGCCTCAGCCTCTTGAGTAGCAGGGATTACAGGCACTTGCCACCATGCCTGGCTAATTTTTTTTGTATTTTTAGCAGAGATGGGGTTTCGCCACGTTGACCAAGCTGTTCTCAAACTCCTGACCTCAGGTGATCTGCCCATCTCTGCCTCCCAAAGTGCTGGTATTACAGGCATGAGCCACCACACCCGGCCCAGACTTTTTTTTTGTTTTGTTTTGTTTTGTTTTGTTTTTGAGACAGCCTCACTCTGTTGCCCAGGCTGGAGTGCAGTGGCACGATCTCAGCTCACTGCAACCTTCGCCTCCCAGGTTCAAGCAATTCTCCTGCCTCAGACTCCTGAGTAGCTGGGACTACAGGCGCACGCCACCATGCCCAGCTAATTTTTGTATTTTTAGTAGAGGTGGGGTTTCACCATGTTGGCTAAGCTGGTCTTGAACTGCTGACCTCAGGTGATCCATCCCGCTTGGCCTCCCAAAGTGTTGGGATTACAGGCATGAGCCACTGTGCCTGGCCGGCTCAGAATTTTCTTCTGCATCTTCCTCGCCTCTCACAGCCTTCATAGAAATGAAGAGAGTCAGGACCTTGCTCTGGATTAGGCTTTGGCTTAAGAGAATGTTAGTTCTCTTTGGGTAGTTTGATCTCCTATCCAGACCATTAAAGCTTTCTCCCTATTGGCGACAAGGCTGTTTCAGTTTCTTGTCATTCACATATTCACTGGAGTCACACTTTTCATTTCCCTCAAGTTTTTCTCTTGGCCATCACAATTTGGCTGTTTGGCACAAGAGGGCTAAGTTTTGGCCTGTCTTTGACACGCCTTCCTTACTAAGCTTAATCATTTCTAGCTTTTGATTTGAAGTTAGAGGTCTGACTCTGCCTTTCACTTGAACACTTAGTGGCCATTGTAGGGTTATTAACTGGCCTAAGTTCAATATTGTTTTGTCTCAGGGAATAGGGAGGCCTGAGGAAAGAGATTGAGAGAGAGTGCGTACCAGCGAGCAATGGCAGGTTGGTGGAGGAATCAGGACACACAACATTTATCTGCTGAGTTCATTGTCTTATATAGGCGTGGTTCCTTTCACTCCAGAACAATTACAATAGTTACAACAAAAATTACTGATCACAGATCACCATAACAGATAATAATAATGCAATAGTTTGAAGTATTGTGAGAATTACCAAAATGTGACACAGAGACACAGAGAGCATATGCTGTTTGATAAATGGTGACAATAGACTTAATTGACACAGGTTGCCACAAACCTTCAACTTGTAAAAAATGCAATATCTGCATAGGATAATTAAGCAAAGTGCAAGAAAACAAGGTAATGCCTATATCTGGAAGTTAGTCGTGACACAGAACCTAAAGACTTACCGTATTTCCTTTATTCTGTGATACATATCTTGCCATATTTTAACATCTGAAAACAAACCAGGTTAATCAGTGATATGGTTTAATTGGCAGCCTTTTTTTATTTTTTTATTTTTTTTTAGAGAGAGTCTCGCTGTGTCACCCAGGCTGGAGTACAGTGGTGCTATCTTGGCTCACTGTAGCCTCCACCTGCCAGGTTCAAGCGATTCTGCTGCCTCGGCCTCCCAAGTAGCTGAGATTAGAGGTGCACACCACCACACCCAGCTAATTTCTGTATTGTAGTAGAGACGAGGTTTTGCCAGGCTGGTCTTGAACTCCTGACCTCAGGTGGTCCACCCACCTCGGCCTCCCAAAGTGCTGAGATTACAGGTGTGAGGCACTGTGCTAGGCCTCAGGCAGCCTTTTATTAGCACATAAAATGTACATGTTACCATCTGTTATCTTGGAATCAATGAAATAAGAGTAATATCAGAAGGAGGAATTGAATGACTAGTGAGAGTCCATTTGAGGAGAAATACAACTCTCAAGGAAAAAATCTTGTTGCTGAGATGACAATTAACATTGACATATCCGATGCAGTACAAAATGGCAAGTCTGTGTGCCATTGTAGTCCTTCCTACCTTGCTGAATAATCATTGTTACCTGCCTTCTTTCTTATAGCCTGTGTCAGCCATAATTGTTATTTTATTGCAAGATTTTTAAAGTTCATAATGTGGGGGGAAGCCAAACAGCACAGAAGAGTATATGGTTTGTTTGTTTGTTTGTTTGTTTGTTTGTTTTGAGATGGAGTCTTGCTCTGTCGCCCAGGCTGGAGTGCAGTTGCGTGATCTTGGCTCTCTGCAAGCTCTGCCTCCCGGGTTCACACCATTCTCCTGCCTCAGCCTCCCTAGTAGCTGGGACTACAGGCGCCCGCCACCATGCCCGGCTAATTTTTTTGTATTTTCTTGGTAGAGACAGGGTTTCACCGTGTTAGCCAGGATGGTCTCAATCTCCTGACCTCGTGAGCAGCCCACCTCGGCCTCCCAAATTGCTGGGATTACAGGCGTGAACCACTGCGCCCGGCTGAGTATATGGGGTTTTTTAGTAAGCTGCCTAAACAGGGAAAAGTCACCGTCCTTATGGAGCTTCTACTCTAGCTTTTATACTGAAATACCTTTTGGTCAGTAATCGTGTGTGTGTGTATGCATGTGTGCATTTTGAGGCTTTTATTTATAAAAGAAAACATAATATGCCTGGAAGCTAATAGGTGCTCATTTAAGTGTGTGATCTCTGGCTGCTTAGAAGGCCTATATAGGAAACTCAACCCTAATTAAAGAAAAAAGTTATGTGAAATTACATGAACACACTGGTGCAGGACCATGTAAATATTAGCAGCATGGTTAGGAGTGAGATTCTGTCTCAAAAAACAAAGAAAAAAAAAAGGCTGGGTGCGGTGGCTCACACCTGTAATCCTAGCACTTTGGGAGGCCAAGGTGGGCGAATCACCTGAGGTCAAGAGTTTGAGACCAGCCTGGTCAACATGGTGAAACCCCGTCTCTACTAAAAATACAAAAATTAGCCAGGCATGGTAGCACATACCTGTAATCCCAGCTACTCAGGAGGCTGAGGCAGAAGAACCACTTGAACCCAGGAGGCAGAGTTTACAGTGAGCTGAAATTGCATCACTGCACTCCAACCTGGGTGACAGAGCAAGACTCTGTCTCAAAAAAAAAAAAAAAAAAGAAGAAGATAAAGTATATGGGAAAGCACAAGACTTGGAATAGTTAAAATAACTTTGAAAAAGAAAAAAAGTGGCCGGGCGCAGTGGCTCATGCCTGTAATCCCAGCACTTTGGGAGGCCAAGGCGGGTGGATCATGAGGTCAGGAGATCGAGACCATCCTGGCTAACATGGTGAAACCCTGTCTCTACTAAAAATACAAAAAAAAAAAAAAAAAAAAAAATTAGCTGGGCATGGTGGCGGGCGCCTGTAGTCCCAGCTATTCGGGAGGCTGAGGCAGGAGAATGGCGTGAACCCGGGAGGTGGAGCTTGCGGTGAGCCGAGATCGCGCCACTGCGCTCCAGCCTGGGCAACTGAGCAAGACTCTGTCTCAAAAAAAAAAAAAAAAAAAAAAAAAGTGGGAGGAATAACTGCACCTGATGTTGTTACTCTGTAGCCGTGGTAACCCAATGTGGTATTGGCAGACACATAGATCAGTGGAACGGAATCGAGAACCCGGAAATAGACCTGCAAAGATATTCCTGACTGATTTTTTAAGGAGCAAAAGCTATTCAATGCAGGAAAGATAGCCTTTTCCAGATGGTGCAAGAACAATTGGCCATCTGTGGTGTAATAAAACCTACATTTCATCTTTTTTCTTTTTTTTTTTAGATGGAGTTTTGCTCTTTTGCCCAGGCTGGAGTGCAGTGGTGCGATCTCAACTCACTGCAGCCCCTGCCTTCCAGTTTCAAGCTGCCTCAGCCTCTCGAGCAGCTGCAATTACAGGCACCTGCCACCATGCCTGGCTAATTTTTGTATTTTTAGTAGAGCCAGGGTTTCACCATGTTGACCTCGTGATCCGCCCGCTGGCCTCCTAGAGTGCTGGGATTACAGGCATGAGCCACCGCGCCTGGCCCTTACATTTGATCTTTATCCCTGGTTCCTGGCACAGAGCTAAAAGCCTTGGAATTTTGTGAATAATAGGAATAGGGTTTGCAATTCATAAGGAGCCCGTTTCGACCACACCTGAGTTTATGCTAATGAGGTGACTCCAGTGGGACCCATAGATATCTTCAGGATGGGGATAGTCACCTTAAAGAAGGTATGGACCCTCTCTCTGCCCCACGATTGAGAGAGCTGGGTTGGTGAACACATCTGAGTGCTGGGAGGATGGCTCACCCAGACGGTACATGGATGCACTGCACCTTCAGTGCCCCTGACCAGACCTTAGCTGTGCATCTCTTCCATTTGGCAGTTCCTGAGTTATATCCATTAAAATAAACTGGAAAGACTGGGCATGGTGGCTCATGCCTGTAATCCCAGCACTTTGGGAGGCCATGGTGGGAGGATTGCTTGAGCCCGGGGGTCTGAGACCAGCCTTAGCATTATAGTGAGACCCCATCTCTTAAAAAAAAAAATTAGCTGGGTATGGTAGCGCACACCTGTAGTTCCAGCTACTCGGGAGGCTGAGGTGAGGATCACTTGAGCCTGGAAGGTCAAGGCTGCAGTGATTCATGATGGCACCACTGCACTCTAGCCTCAGTGACAGAGTGAGACCTTGTCTCAAAAAAAAAAAAAACATAGCTTTCAAAACTGAGCAATTTTTTTAAAAATTAGAAAATGGGCAAAAGATACGAACAGATACTTTAATGAAGAGGGTATACAAATGCCAAAAAAATCATTAAAGTGTGCTCAAACTTGTTAGCAATTAAGGGAAATGCAAATTGAAACCACAATGATATATCAGTACATACCTATCAGAATGGCCAAAATAAAAAATAGCAAAACACAAATGCTGATAAAAATGTGAAGTGGATTCACACATTCATTGGTGGTGGGAGTGTAAAATGGTCCAGCTACTCTGCATGAGAGTGTGGCAGCTTCTTACAACACTAATAAGCACGTGTTCATTGTGTGACCTAGAAACTGCACTCTTGGGCTTTTATCCCAGAAAAGTGAAAACTTACGTTCACAGAAAAATCTGTACACGAATGTTCATAGCAGCTTTATTTTTAATAGCAAAATACTTAAAACGATCCTAATATCTCTCAGTGGGAGAAGGTTTAAACTGCTATATACCATAGAATACTACTTCTCAATAAAATGGAATGAACTGTTGATACATACTACTTCAATGCCTCTCAAAGGAATTATGTTCAGTGAAAAAGCCAATCTGAAGAGGCCACATACTGTATGATCCCACTTATATGACACTGTGAAGGCAAAATTGTAGCAGTGGACTACTTAGATTAGCTGTTCCTGGGGTTATGGGTGGGGAGGGAGTGACTACCAAGAGGCAGCAGGAGGATTTTTGGGCAGTGGAGCTATTCTTTGTCCCGAGTTTGTTGGTGGATATGAGTTAAAATTCATAAAACTGAATACCAAAATGTGTGGTGTATGTAAATTTAAAATATATAAACTGTTCAGATATACATTTTAAAAATCAGTTCACACAAAAACGACCAAAATGGCATCCTCATAAGCGCCTCTATCTGGAAAACTGAAATGGGAAGCAGCTCCTGGCCCTATCCTGCCTTCCAGGGGGGCTACATTTATATGGGGCTTTGCCAAAGCCCTCACCCCAGCTGCCACTCACATTTCCCTCATTTCAGCAGCTCCTGAATCCCTGGGGTGGGTAATCTTTGAGTTCTATCCACTCCTTGAAACTGTAGAACCCATTTTAGCGCATCAGTGTCTCTGGGTCTCCACCTCTTGTCTCCCCAGTACTGGGTCTGCTGGTCCCTGTCTCTGTATCTCTGTCCAGATCTGTCTCAGCCTCGAGTGCTCCTTTTCTCTGGGTCTCTCTCTTTTCCTGAGCCTGAGCTGGTCTCTTTCTTTTCTTGAGCCCATGCTGGTCTTTCCCTTTCTTGATCCTGGGCTGGTCTCCCTCCTTTCTTAACCGTGAGCTGGTCTCTCCCTTTCCGTGTCCGACTCTGTACATCTCTGTTTCGGGGACCCCAGGGCGTCTTGGTCTGCCCCCGAGCGTCTGTGGGCCTTCATGCTTCTCTCCCTCCCGGTCTGCGCGTCTTTTTGTCTTTGTTTCTCCGTTTCTCACCGTCTTTGTTTCTCCGGGTCTCTGGCTGTCAGGGGTCTATTATTTACCCGCTTGTTTACTTCGTTGCCATGGTGCCCAAAATGACGCAGGCGCCGGAGTGGGCGGGACGCCGGGAGGCCACACTCGCGTCTGATTGGCCATGCGCACTGTCACCTGTCACGGCTCCCTTGCTCGCCCCGGTGCGCGGCACAGCCTCGCGGCATTGTGGGAGTCGTAGTCCGCGGTGAGGCCCAGTGCGCAGGCGCAGTTTGCCGGCCGCCATCGCGCACTGGGGCTCCGGGCGGCTGGGACCGGCCTGGGGTAGCTGCGCAGCAGGTGGGTCGGTCCCGGGGATGCAGCGCGGGGGTCAGAGAGCGACCCCAACAGGGTAGACGGTGAGGACGCCTCAGTGGGCAGCGTTAGGGAAAGGGGCCAGGGTGTTCCCGGGGTTGGGGTGCGAGCCCCCGCTGTGCGTCCAGGAGGCCGAGGGTCTGGCATCCCTTCGCGTGGAGTGCGGGGCAGGGGCCGGGTCCCCCCGGAGGTGGCTGAGATCCAGATCGGTGAGGGGCCCTGCAGGCAGGTAGGGAACTAGTGCAACCCCCACCCCGTGTAGGCTCGTGGAGGGGAGGCGCTTAGGGCACCCTGTGGGTGGGAGAACAGGAAGGGGCGGCTCCTGATGGGGGAGAGATGAGGGAGGGGGAGGCTCCTGATGGGGGAGAAAGGGGGGAGGGGAAGGCTCCTGAGGGGGGCGAAAAGGGGGAGGGGGAGGCTCCTGAGTGGGGAAGAGAAGGGAGGGGGAGGCTCCTGAAGGGAAGAGGAGGGGAGGAAGTGGGGGCTGAGGGTGTGAGGATGTGAGGGTGTCCGTGGTGGGGGGACGCTGGGCAGGCTGTGGCCCCAGGGGCTGGAGCAGGGAAGGGATGGAGGGTGCGGGGACCAAAGGGGTGCCTAGAATGGGCATTGTCTCTGCTGCCCCCACCCTTGGAATATCTCGCCTCTCCCCAGTCACCTGGGGGTGGGTTCTGTTTGAGTTAGGTGTCTGCGCCCACCCCGGAGACCTCTCTCGTGGAAGAGGCAAGAGTGGGTGTACTGGCTTCGGTCCTGACCCAGGGGGTTGGGGTGGGGGCCTGACTCACCCTCCCATCACTCCTTCCCCATTTCCTTTCTCTCACCCTCCTGGGCTCCTTCCTTTTCCCAATCCCCCTCTACCCCCGTCCAGACTATCTGGCTTTCCCTGCTCTTGCTCCTTCCTCTCCTGTCTTCTCTCTCCCTGCTACCTTCCCTCCCCGCTTCCCCCATTTCTGTCTGCCCTCCTTCCACTTTCCCATATATTCGCCTGTGTCCTTGCTGACTCCTGGGCGAGGCTGAGTGGCACAGTCACTTGGTTCCATGTCACCTCCTCGGTTCCATTTCACTTCCCCCATCCCATCATGTCCTGCGGATGGTTTCCTGCCCTGGAGTCAGAGCGGGACCACGTGTCGCATCGAGTTGCTGTTTTCTGTGCATGATGCTTGAATCTGTGACTTCCTGGGTATTTCTGGCCTCGGGTTTTCGGGGAGCCTAGGCCAGTTGCGCAGGACATCTCTCTGGTTCTGTCTGTCCTGGCGAGTGGATCAGGGACCACAAAAGGCAGCTGAGATGTGAACGACGACCCTTACTCCATGTTTTTTCATTCTTTTAAAAGCACTTTTACCCCTTTTTATAATGAGTAAGTGATCTGTGGATGAAGCCAGGGCAGACCCTGGGAATATCCGGCGACCCATCAACAACCACATCCCATGCATTGAGCTTCCCTGGCTGATCCTCAGGCCTGTGGCTGTGGGGTGGTTTGCTAGACCCTGCCGATGAGTGTGGTGGGATGGAGAGCTGCGATGAATATTCCTCAGGTGGCCAGGGCTGGGCCCACGGAGGGCCAAACCAGGCTTGAGCTCTGCTCAGCCCAGGATGAAGGGGATTTGCTGCAGGACTCTGGAGACCCACCAGGCTTGGGACCCCTCAGCTCAGCCACCCCTCACCCACCGTGGAGCTCTCTGCCTCAGCTTCTGTATTCCAGGCCTCTGGGTGCAGCAAAGCCTACAGGACTGGCTCAAGACTTGTGCAGATTGCTTCATTTGCTGAGGCTGGGGGGCTGGGCTCCAGGAAAATCCCATCTGAGGCAAATCCTGGACAGTCCCAAGATTAGGGGAGGGAGGTTTGCCCAGTGACCAAGCCAGACTCCAACGAGGTGTGGCCTCATTCAAGCAGGCTGTGGCAGGAAAGGGTCCCAGTGGTATCTCTATTTTGTTTGTTTGTGAGACACGGGCTCATTCTGTCGCCCAGGCTGGAGTGCAGTGGCCAATCACAGCCTCCAACTCCTGGGCTCAAGCAGTCCTCCTGCTTAAGACTCCCCAGGCTCTGAGATTATAGATGTACGCTGCCGCACCTGCCCCGGTGAGATCTCTGAGAGTCCTCTTGACAGTGTGGCCAGGAATGGGGCTGAAGGAGGCAAGAAGACACAGGGCCAGAGATTTCTGGAGGCTCTTGAGATGGCCTCATCCTCCTGGCTGTGAGCATCAGGGTCCCAGTAGGAAGGGAGATGAACAGGGAGAGGCTGTTTTCACAGGAGGCAGCAGCTTCCTTGGAGTTGGGCGTTTTAGGAGACCCCTGGTTCCATGGAAGCTTCTGCTTTGCAGGTGAATGGAGGAAGTGGAGGCAGAGGTGGCTTCCCAGAGAGGCTCACAACTTGTAATGCTGAGGGGGAAGGGCACAGAGGCGAGGAGCTCCCGTTCCTGTCCCCAGGGGCTGACATGTGTCCCCCACTGTCTTGGCCAGTGACCCAGCCGGAGGGTGTCCCGTCCTCCCCACGTCATCCCGCCCCTGCCAATGGCCGAGGACCCTTGCTCATTCTACCTAGACCCCGATGCCTCCACCATGCTCAGAGCTGGGAAGTTGGAGCAGGAGGAGAGGGGCTGGGGGAGCTGGCTGGGATCTGCCCACTGTGGAGGCCATGAGGGCTAGAGGGGAGGGCCGGCAGGAGGCCTCTTAAAGGGCAGGCTTATGGGCCTGGACGGGGAAGGATGAGTGGCAGCGTCACTTTGCAGGTGGGGTCCCAGCCTTAGTGATTGCCTGCCTCGTGCCTCTATTTCCCACTTGCACCTTGGGGCTGCATGTGGTTCCTACCCCTCTGGGATTGTGAGGTTCTGATGAGGGAAGGTTCTGTGCACACACATTATGGAGCTCACAGTTTGTTTTGTGGAGACAGGTTCTCTGCAAGGTGAACAAGCCTCTGGCGTCCTAAGAAAGCCAAAATTACATGCCTGCAGGACCACACCTCTGTCCATGCACCAAGTAGAGCTCTGTGCCTCCATTGCCAGGGGGTAGAGCTGGCGTCACGCCTCCCATCAGGAGAGGCTCCAGAACAGGGGTTAGCGTACCCACCTGCAGGCCAGCAGTGACCTGTTTTGTTTGTATTCATTAGAGACAGGATCTTGCTGTGTCGCTTATGCTGGAGTACAGTGGCACAAACATAGCTCACTGCAGCCTCCAACTCCTGGGATTAAGGGGTCCTCCCACATTAGCCTCCCATGTAGCTGGGACCACAGGTGTGTGCCACCACGCCTGGCTAATTTTTTTTTTTTTTTTTTTTTTTTTTTTTTGCGACAGGGTCTCACTCTGTTACCCAGGCTGCAATGTGGTGTTGTGATCACAGCTCACTGAAGCCTTGACCTCCTGGGTTCAGGTGATCCTCCAACCTCAGTCTCCAGAGTAGCTGGGACCACAGGCATGCACCACTGTGCCTAGCTAATTTTTCTATTTTTTGTAGAGATGAAGTTTTGGTATGTTGCCCAGGCTGTTCTTGAGCTCCTGGGCTCAAGCTGTCCACCTACCGTGGCCTCCCAAAGTGCTGGGATTACAGGTGTGAGCCACCACACCTGGCCACCTGTTTTTGTAAATGAAGATGCATAAGAACATGCCAAACCTGTGGGTACGCACAGGGCTCTGGTTGCTTACTTGCCACGAGGCAGAGTTGAGTAGTTGAAACTGAGACTGTCTGGCCCTTTATATCTGCTATTCTCTGTTCCTGGAGGATGAATAAGAGGATGTATTTCTTTTTTTTTTTTTTGAGACAGAGTCTCACTCTGTCGCTCAGGCTGGAGTGCAGTGGCGCGATCTCGGCTCACTGCAAGCTCCGCCTGCCGGGTTCACACCATTCTCCTGCCTCGGCCTCCTGAGTAGCTGGGACTACGGGCGCCTGCCACCATGCCTGGCTAATTATTATTATTTTTTTTTTTGTATTTTTAGTAGAGATGGGGTTTCACGGTGTTAGCCAGGATGGTCTCGATCTCCTGACCTCGTGATCTGCCTGCCTTGGCCTCCTAAAGGAGAGGATGTATTTCTAATCCCAAGGGAAAGAAACCCTTTTTAAGTGGGTTTCTGAACTCCGAAGTCCAATTTAAAAAATGGTTGAAGGCTGGCTGCAGTGGCTCACTCTTGTAATCCTGGCACTTTGGGAGGCCGAGGCGGGTGGATCACTTGAGGTCAGCAGTTCGAGACCAGCCTGGCCAACATGGTGAAACCCCGTCTGTACTAAAAATACAAAAATTAGCTAGGCATGGGGCAAGTGCCTCTAACCCCAGTGACTCGGGAGGCTGAGGGAGGAGAACTGCTTGAACCCAGGAGGTGGAGGTTGTGGTGAGCTGACATTGTGCCACAGCACTCCAGCGTGGGTGACAGGGCGAGACTCCGTCTCCAAAAAAAAAAGTGATTGCATTAGATAGTAAGAAACATTAGGACATTACCTGTGACCAAAAGACAGCGTGGAGTGAAAAGACAAGCCACAGATGGGGACAGTAGCAAGATAGAGCCAGACAGGGAACTCGTTAACTGGTTGACAGAAAGAGCTGTAAAGAAAAAGTCACGGGAAAGTGGGCAGTTTACCCGCCCTCAGAGATTAAATCATGAGAAAGCGCTCAGTCACAGAGCAGGCAGATGCTTGGGTCTGAGGGTCCTCTGGCAGCAGGTGGAGTGTGTGAGGAGAGAGGGCACCCCGGTGGGGGCTGCCATAAGTAGGTGACGGTCGTGAGGTTGTCCCCTGTGCCCTAGCTATCCTGCTTCTCCATATGTCCTTTAAATAGATCAGAAAGGACCCCACAGAGATGGACATGAGGGTCCACAACTGCCAAAAACAAATGAGGCACAGCCAGCATACCCCTCAGCAGAACTGCACTGTTTGCACAGTCCACACACACTGAGCCAGCTCTGCCCAGGCCAAGGGACCTGCCTGTGAAGAACCCTTACTCTCCTGGGTATGCATTCCAGTGGGGGAGGCGGTCAGTAGGGAGGTAAAAGGCGGGGGCAGTGAGCGGGTGTCAGGTGGGTGCGTGCAAGGAGTGCAGAGGAAAAGTCTCCCGGAGGGGCCAGTTGAGAGCTCAGGCCTATGAGGTAACAAAAGGGTGGGGGTGGGTGCAGTGGCTCACGCCTGTAATCCCAGCACTTTGGGAGGCCCAGGCAGGCGTATCCCTTGAGTCCAGAAGTTACAGACCAGCCTGGGCAACATAGTGAGATCCCTGTCTCTACAAAACAAATTAAAAATTAGCCAGGTGTGGGTGATGTGCACCTTTAGTCCTAGCTACTCAGGAGGTTGGGGTGGGAGGATCACTTGAGCTCAGGAGGTTGAGGCTGCAATAAGCTATGATCATGCTACTGCACTCCAGCCTGGGTGACAGAGTAAGACCCTGTGTTTAAAAAAAAAAAAAAAAAAAGTAGAGGTATCGTGGTGGTGGTGATGATGGCACGGCATGGCTCTGTTCTGCTTGAGGTAAGTGGAAGCTTGTGTAGAATGTCTTCCAACAGCACTTAAGAGTTCCGCACTTCCCTTTAAACTCTGGTAGCCACAGAGAGAGAGGTTGATAGTTGACTCTCTGCAAACTTCTGGTTCTTTTTTTTTTTTTTTTTTTTGAGACAGAGTCTCGCTCTGTCACCCAGGCTGGAGTGCAGTGGCATGATCTCAGCTCACTACAGCCTCCACCTCCCAGGTTCAAGCGATCCTCCTGCCTCAGGCCTCCTGAGTAGCTGGAATTACAGGTACCCACCACCACACCCAGCTAATTTTTGTATTTTTAGTAGAGAGGGAGTTTCACCATGTTGACCAGGCTGGTCTCGAACTCCTGACCTCAGGTGATCTGCCTGCCTCGGCCTCCCAAAGTGCCGGGATTACAGGCGTCAGCCACTGTGCCCAGCCCTGTTTTTTTGTTTTGTTTTGTTTTTTAAACAGCTTATTGAGTGTAATTTACATACTGTGAGGTTTACCTATTTAAAGTGGACAGTTCATTGGTTTTTAATATGCAGTACTCACCGTTGAGCATTTTCACCAACCAAAGAAGAAATCCTGTACCCATTAGCAGTCCCTCCTCATTCCCCCAAACCCCAGCCCCTGGCAACAGCTGATCTACATTTTGTCTCCATAGATTTGCCTGTTCTAGATGTTTCATTTCTGTGGAATCACACACCACACCCCACCCCACAGCGGTGAGGTCTTTGCGCCCCATATTCTGGTGGAGCACTGTCAGAGCAGAACTTGACGACCTGAGAAGGGCTCACAGCACCTGGCCTGGTGTGGTTTACTCTATGGTTTTCCCTATAAAACTGGGCTTGCTGCGGCTGTGGGAAATCCCCTTCCAGCTGTCTCTGTGGACCTTCAGACCCAGGCGGTTCCTGGGAGAAGGTGGACAGCTGCAGTTCACACCCTTGTGTGTCCATAGCCAGTGACATGAGAGCCCGAGGCCGACTGGAGGCCTGGACAGCTGTGACCCGCTGGGTTCTGTTTAGTGAGCTCATTGTTGGTGCACAGTTACAATCAAGAGAGTTCATCCTGAATACTGGCTTCACTTAATGATAGGGCTGCCCTGTATGTGGGGATTCAGCTGAGGGTGGGGCACAGGTTGGCAGGACCTGAACTCTCTCAGTCATTGTGGTCTCCCCCACCCCCCACCCCCCATTGTCCTTGCTCCTGGGTACTTCCTGCCCCTCCCGCCTGGTTCTGTGGATGCTTTGGTCAAAGCCTACATCCTGCACCATTTCCAGAAACGGGGAGGTGGGTGGTTGTTCAGTGGCCTCCAGAGGGAGCCCCCCGCTCCCTACGCTTTTTTCTAAATAATTTTATTTCAGATTTGTGGTGGTTTTAACTGGAGGAACAGTCTTGACACCTAGCTCCTTCATGTTATTAGAAATTGACATCCCTATAATCTATCTTTTTTTTTTTTTTTTTTGAGACAGAGTCTCACCGTTGCCCAGGCTGGAGTGCAGTGACGCAGTCTCGGCTTACTGCAACCTCTGCCTCAGGGTTCAAGCAGTCCTCCTGTCTCAGCCTCCCAAGTAGCTGGGAATACAGGCACCCACCACCACACCCAGCTAGTTTTGTATTTTTAGTAGAGACGGGGTTTCACCAGGTTGGTCAGGCTGGTCTCAAACTCCTGACCTCAGGTTATCCACCCATCTCAGCCTTCCAAAGTGCTGGGATTATGGGCGTGAGCCACCGCGCCTGGCCTATTTCAAGGTTTTTACATCCAGGTTTACATAGAGATTGTCAAGTAATTTTTCATTTTCATCCTATTCATGACTGATTTTTTAAAATTCTGGTAATGATGCTGGGCGCAGTGGCTCACACCTGTAATCCCAGCACTTTGGGAGGCTGAGGCGGGTGGACCATTTGAGGTCAGGAGTTTGAGACCAGCCTGGCCAACATGGTGAAACCCCATCTCCACTAAAAATACAAAAAGTAGCTGGGTGTGGTGGTGCATGCTTGTAATTCCAGCTACTGGAGAGACTGAGGCAGGAGACTCGCTTGAACCCGGGAGGTAGAGGTTGCATTGAGCCGAGATTGCGCCACTGCACTCCAGCTTGGGTGACAGAGGGTGACTCGGTCTCAAAGAAAAAAAAATTCTGGTAATGCACAGAATGAGTTACCCTCCATTTACATGCTACTTTTTATCTACATGAGTACAACACTGAGGTTCTACTGATGCCTAACAAGCGGGTTTCTTGGAAATCTGTGTGAACTCTGGGTGTGGTGTCTTTGTTCTCTGGCAGCTGGGGTGGCTGCGCCCTGGCCTTATGCAAGGCCATTGCCTTGTCCGTGTCCTCTGCAGGTCTGTGGGTTCTGGCACCACCTGAGCCCACTGGGCATCTGGTCATCCCTGGCACCTCTCCTTTGGAGCCACCTTGTCCCTGGCTAGACAGTCACATTTTCCAGTGCCGTTTTGGAAAGATGTTGCCTTTGGAGAAGGCGTTTGCCTCCCCCAGGAGCTCCCCAGCCCCGCCGGATCTGCCCACGCCGGGGTCAGCAGCCGGAGTCCAGCAGGAAGAACCCGAGACCATCCCTGAGAGGACCCCTGCTGACCTGGAGTTCTCCCGCCTGCGTTTCCGGGAATTTGTCTACCAGGAGGCTGCCGGGCCCCACCAGACCCTGGCCCGGCTGCATGAGCTGTGCCGCCAGTGGCTGATGCCTGAGGCGCGCTCCAAGGAGCAGATGCTGGAGCTGCTGGTGCTGGAGCAGTTCCTGGGCATCCTGCCTGATAAGGTCCGGCCCTGGGTGGTGGCACAGTACCCTGAGAGCTGCAAGAAGGCAGCCTCCCTGGTGGAGGGCCTCGCTGATGTCCTGGAAGAGCCAGGTGGGCTGTCACAGAGGAGAAGCATGGCTCAGAGGAGATGGGGAGGGGATCCTGGAAGGCCCCAGTGCCAGCCATGGCTTGCCTGAGATAGTTAAGTTCCCCACACTGCTGAGGCAGCTCCTTGGTCCTCGGGCCAGGACAGATGCCTGGGCTCCTGCCTTCTAGATGTAAGGAAGCCAGAGGAATGAGGGAAAGGGACCAGCCTCTTTTATTTACTTATTTATTTATTTATTTATTTTTGAGACGGAGTCTCAGTCTGTCACTAGGCTGGAGCGCAGTGGCGCAATCTCAGCTCACTGCAACCTCCACCTCCTGGGTTCAAGCAATTCTCCTGCCTCAGCCTCCCAAGTAGCTGGGATTACAGGCGCCTGCCACGATGCCCAGCTAATGTTTGTATTTTTAGTAAAGACAGGGTTTCACCATGTTGGCCAGGATGGTATCAATCTCCTGACCTCGTGATCTGCCCGCCTTGGTCTCCCAAAGTGCTGGGATTACAGTTGTGAGCCACCACACCCAGCCCAGCCTCTTTTTTTTTTTTTTTTTTTTTTTTTTTTTTTTTTTTGAGACGGAGTCTCGCTCTGTCGCCCAGGCTGGAGTGCAGTGGCGGGATCTCGGCTCACTGCAAGCTCCGCCTCCCGGGTTCACGCCATTCTCCTGCCTCAGCCTCCCAAGTAGCTGGGACTACAGGCGCCCGCCACTACGCCCGGCTAATTTTTTGTATTTTTAGTAGAGACGGGGTTTCACCGTTTTAGCCGGGATGGCCTCGATCTCCTGACCTCGTGATCCGCCCGCCTCGGCCTCCCAAAGTGCTGGGATTACAGGCGTGAGCCACCGCGCCCGGCCCCCAGCCTCTTAACAGTAAATATTCTGGGTACTTTGCAGGCTGGAGGTCTCCTGGTCCAAGATGAGGTGCAGGATGGGTAGTGATGTGGCCCTGGAGCCTGCAGGTCCCTGTGGTTTAACTGTGTGATTGTTGTTGGCACGTGTCCTGACCTCTTGGGGTCACAGGTCCCTCCACTGTTGACAGGGATGCTGCTGGGCTCCCCTGCGGGCTCATCCTCAATTCTTAGCGATGGAGTGTACGAGAGGCACATGGACCCTCTGCTGCTACCAGGCGAGCTCGCGAGCCCCAGCCAGGCCCTTGGAGCTGGGGAGATCCCGGCACCTTCTGAGACACGTGAGTGCCCAGCTAGCCTGGCAGCCTCTGCTGGGCCTTAGGTGGGGTGTTGGGCAGAGGCCTGTGGTTGGGAGAGGGCAGAAGGGCAGCCAGGGAGTCAGGGGCTCCATGGTCCATGCTATCATTGGGACTTCCTCCTGTAGTTTCTCTGAATGTTAGACATTGTTTATTAAATTAGTCTTCAGAGATTATGCAGATCATCCATACTTACCACAAATAGTGAAGAAACATCAATACATAAAGAAAAGAATCTCCCAACCCCCGACCATGAACCCTCTGAAAATAAAGGGTCTCAAGTGTCCTGATGCACGTCCCCTCATGTCTCCCTGCACATCACACATGCATAATCAGGGCCTGGGGTCGGGCTCTGTGTGTGTGGTGTGCTGTGTCTGAGTGCTTGCTGTTCGAGGGGTGGGTCCCCCAGGCTGTGGTTGGGTCTGGTTCTTTAGTTGCCCAGCATCGCGTGCTCAGCCCATCCCCATCCTAGAGGTGGGCTCTCTGCCCCTTGGAGTGAAGCTGCCCTGACACCTCCTGACTTGTGTGCCCATATGTGAGGCTCTGGGCACTGTGGGTGGACTCCTCAGGACCACTGGGCAAGTGGTGTGTGAGTTCGACATTTCACATAAAATAGAAACTTCCATGTGGTTTTCCAGAAGTTTTGTGGCTGTTCATTACCAGCACGGAAGGTGCCCACTGGCCTGGATACAGCCCAGCACTATGTGGTGTTGCTTTTTAGGATTTCCACGAAGGCCAGGCACAGTGCCTCATGCCTGTAATCGCAGCACTTTGGGAAGCCAAGGCGGGCAGATCACTTGAGCCCGGGCATTCGAGACCAGCCTGGGCAACATAGGGAGACCCCATCTCTACAAAAAATACAAAAATTAGCCGGGTCCGCACTTTTAGTCCCAGCTACTTGGGAGGCTGAGGTGGGAGGATTGCTTGAGTCCAGGAGGTGGAGGTTGCAGTGAGCCAAGATCATGCCACTGCACTCCAGCCTAGGTGACAGAGCAAGACCCTGTCTTTAAAAAACAAACAAACCAAAAAAAAAAAAGATTTCCATGAATCCAGTGGACTTGAATGGGCATCTCTGGGGCCACCCAAGCCCTGTGGCCACCGCGCTGCTTTGTAAATCAGGGAAAGGTGTAGTGTCCGTTGAGCCTTGGGTGCTGCTGTCACAGAAGCACACTGGGGCCTGTGTGGGAGGCAGCGGGGGCTCCTTGACCCTTGAGGGCACCTGGCCACAGGGAGCTCATTGCCTCAGCTCTGCCTCTCCTTCTCCCCAGCCTGGCTTTCTCCGGACCCCCTGTTTCTGGAACAGAGGAGGGTCAGAGAAGCAAAGACCGAAGAGGACGGCCCTGCCAACACCGAGCAGGTGGGTGGGCACGAGCAGGTGGGTGAGGGGCCTTGGCCTCAGCTTAGAGGCATCCCCCTCCCCATCACCAGTGCTCAGCAGAGGGCTGTGGCCCCAAACGTCCACAGCGCTGAGGCCCAGAACCCACCCTGGTGGGAGCGTGAGGGCGGAATCTTTGTGGTGCGAAGGGGGCTGCCTCCTGCAGTGCACCTGGGTTAGAGTCCCTGGCCAGGGCTGGCTCCTAGCCTGCTCCTGTGGCTGTGGGGCTGCGGCGGGTCCTCCCTTCTCTAGGGCAGGTGGGAGGTCTCAGCCACGACTAATGTTTCAGAAGCTGAAGTCCTTTCCAGAGGACCCTCAGCACCTGGGGGAGTGGGGCCACCTGGACCCTGCCGAGGAGAACCTGAAGAGCTACCGGAAGCTGCTCCTGTGGGGTGAGAGTCGCCTGCCTCGGGGTCACGCCCCACTCCCCATCCCCTTCCGCAGGGGTTGGTGCAGGAGACTGTGACCCCAGGGACTTTGGCTGGGACACTGTGATGTCTTACAGGATTTGAACTTGCACGTGTTGGAGCTTGAATTTATTCGCTGAAGCCCCCACCCTTTCTGATCTAAACATCTGAGTTCTGCCCAGGCCCTGCCTGTAGGACTGAAGCCTCGGAATTTGGAAAGGCCTCCTGGCCCCAAGGCGCCCACATTGCCACCCTCCTTGCCAGATACAGGGCCTCACCTGCATGGCCTGATCAAGGGTCTCCTCTTTTGTAGACGTTCTTGCCCCAGAAACCCTCCTTTTAGGGAGGCCCCCCGACTCAGACTCCTGAGCAATTTTTGTCAATGTCTTTCTTTAGCTTTGCTTTCTCTGAGTCCTGCCTCCGCCTGCCCCGTTGCCCTTCCAGCCTCGCCTTCTTCTTTGCTCCACTGTCCAGGGGCCTAACAGGGAGGTGGCCTTGGTGGGGGTCCCAGTACAGAGAAGAGGAGGTGGGCTGCAGCCTGCCCTGGCTGGCCCACGACACACAACACCCATCAGCCACTCTGTGTTGATGCCTTTTATTTCTTTGGTTTTTAACCCCACTCAGGGTATCAGCTTTCCCAGCCTGACGCTGCCTCCAGGCTGGACACTGAGGAACTCCGGTTGGTGGAAAGAGATCCACAAGGAAGCAGCCTCCCAGGTGAGGTTGGGTTGAATTGGTGTTAGGGCCGGGTGGGGTTTGCTTTTTCTTCAGAGGCTGAGGGGGCCCCTCCCAGCGCCATCAGCCCCAGCAAAGACCTCAGCATTGACTGCTTCACCATTCTCCCACCACCGTGTCTGAGTGAGGCAGGAATCCAGTTACGTCCATGGTCTCTTGCTGCATGACAGACCACCCCAAGACTTGGTCGGTGGAAACGGCAGTGGTGTTAGTTGCCAGGATCTGTGTATGACTGGTCCCGGGGGTGGCCGTTCTGCCCCATTGGAGGCTCTGTGCCAGCACACCAACAAGAACACCTAGAGGCGGACTTGGGCTGGAGGGCCCTGGGTGCCTGTCGCCAGGGGGCTTGTCGCTGGGGGGTTTGGCCTTAGCTATTGACCCCACTCTCTTCGCTGGCAGCCGGGCCCCTCCCTCCAGGAGGGTGCGCTCTGAGCAGGCTCTCCTTGCATCGTGCATCTTGTGGCCAAGCTAGTGGCCAGGTGGAGACCTCCAAAGGCGCGGTTTCCAGAACCCGGGCTCAGTGGGGCTGTCCTTCCTGTCCTGTCGGTGGCCTCCGTTGTTGGAGGCCTCCAGGTCCCACATCTGCAGCAGCAGGCGCGGGGCATGCGCTGCAGGGCTGCCTGGGAGGGACAGCGCTGCTTCCAAACAGCCGTGAGCCCCGCGGGGATCCAGAGCCCGGAGCCCTGTGCGCTGTTCCGGCAGCTGAGGCTCGGCTGGGTCCTCCTCTCCCTGGCCCTGGGCGGGGCGCTCACGCTAGGGCTCTGACCTTGTTCCAGAAGGCGGGAGGCGGCAGGAGAGCGCTGGGTGCGCCTGCGAGGAGGCCGCCCCCGCGGGGGTGCTGCCTGAGCTGCCTACGGAGGCGCCCCCTGGGGACGCCCTTGCCGATCCCCCGTCGGGCACCACTGAGGAGGAGGAAGAGCAGCCTGGGAAGGCCCCGGACCCGCAGGACCCCCAGGACGCGGAGTCCGACTCTGCCACCGGATCGCAGAGGCAGTCCGTCATCCAGCAGCCTGCCCCGGACAGGGGCACGGCGAAACTGGGAACCAAGAGGCCGCACCCCGAGGATGGGGACGGGCAGAGCCTCGAGGGCGTCTCTAGCTCCGGCGACAGCGCAGGGCTGGAGGCCGGGCAGGGCCCTGGGGCTGACGAGCCGGGCTTGTCCCGCGGGAAGCCCTATGCCTGCGGCGAGTGCGGGGAGGCCTTCGCGTGGCTCTCGCACCTGATGGAGCACCACAGCAGCCATGGCGGCCGGAAGCGCTACGCCTGTCAGGGCTGCTGGAAGACCTTCCACTTCAGCCTGGCCCTAGCCGAGCACCAGAAGACCCACGAGAAGGAGAAAAGCTACGCGCTGGGGGGCGCCCGGGGCCCCCAACCGTCCACCCGCGAAGCCCAGGCGGGGGCTAGGGCGGGCGGTCCCCCAGAGAGCGTGGAGGGCGAGGCTCCCCCCGCACCCCCAGAGGCGCAGAGGTGAGCCGCTGTGCTGTCCCGTTCCGGAGGGGCCGCTTTGCCGGCCGTGAATCCCAGACGAGGCATTGGGCCTTTCCACGCCCCTGGGTGGCGGCTTCCTGTGGTGTTTGTGGACGTCCTCTGCCTGTGCCCTGAATCCGCTCCTGAGGCTAAGCGCTCCCAACGAGAAGGGTCCACGGGAAGCCCTCACCTCTGTAAACACACCCTGGGCCAGCGCTCGCATCCGAGGGGAGCCGCCGGATGTGGAAGAAGACTCGGCT
Organism: Homo sapiens; assembly: GCF_000001405.40. Lineage (NCBI taxonomy): Eukaryota > Metazoa > Chordata > Mammalia > Primates > Hominidae > Homo > Homo sapiens. The sequence continues at coordinate 58,084,428 of NC_000019.10, read as the reverse complement.
TTCCTGCAGCCATTTAGTGCCGCCCCATGCTAGGTTATTTGACATTGTGCAGTGTAGAGTTGCCTTAAAGTGCGTGATCTGCCAGTGCTTTCTTCAAGTCACCCTTGCCCCGATTCCTCCTGTTTGCGCTCCCCAGGGTTGCTCAAGTGGAAATTTTGTCAGCTGTTTAGCCTTTTCGTACTTGGCGTGATGTCAACTTCACTTCTAATCTGCAAAAGCAGAAGCTGTTTCCTAGTTTACCTCGCGTGTGTTTACCTATATGGAGTAGCTCGCAGAGATCACAGAAATGCTTGCAGCCTAAGGCAGGGTTTTCAGACCGTGGGTCCCAGCCCATTTAGTAAAATGGGAAATCAATTAGCAAGTGGTCACCAGCATTACACAGCAATGAAGCAGAATAAAGTAGGCCAGAATGCATCATGTAGTAAAGGCAAATACTGTTTTGTGAAACTTTTCACCCATACATCTAAATGTGAGAACTGGTTGCAATGTAAGACATTTCTTGCTGGGAAGTTGTGAGCAAAATAAGTTGAAAACACTAATAAAGATCTGTCTGTCTGAGCAAAGGAGACTAAACTCCTTGGGCTACATAAGGTGATCTTTTCATTGATTGCATTTATTCTCAAGATTACAGTATCATTCCCATTGCCTGCGCATAAACTTAACTGCTCCCTGCGCATAAACTTAACTGCTCCCTGTAGATACAGAAACTGGTGCCTCTTTTTCTGTCACTGTGTTTGAGCAGGCAGTCTGTTGTAATGACCCCCAAATCACAGAGACTTAGTAAGTACTTATTCATGGGCCGGGCGTGGTGGCTCACACCTGTAATCCCAACACTTTGTGAGGCTGAGGCAGGCAGATCATGGAGTTTGAGACCAGCCTGGCCAACATGGTGAAACCCTGTCTCTACTAAAAATACAAAAAATTAGCCAGCTGTGGTGATGCGTGCCTGTAATCCCAGCTACTCAGGAGGCTGAGGCAGGAGAATTGCTTGAACCTGGGAGGCGGAGGTTGCAGTAAGCCAAGATTGTGCCACTGCACCCTAGCCTAGGTGACAGTGCAAGACTCCATCTCAGAAAAAAAAGAAAAAAAGAAAAAAAAATTATTTACTAACAGTCGATTGTCCTGTGTTGGTGTTGCTGTTGCTTATATATTGGTTTGCACTCTGCTCCATACAGTGATTCAGGGATCCAGGCCCCATCTCTGTTGTAGCTCTGCTCTTCACTGTACCCTTGGAGCATGTAGGGAAGGCCGAACCTGTTCACCTGGGAGATGACACACATCACTTCTACTCACAAATCCTTGGAGAGAAATGATCCCATGGCTCCAGTCACTTGAAAGGGCCTGTGAACTGTCACCTGGAGTGCCTGTCTCCGCAACAGTTACAAGCTTAGTTCCCCTCTTAGCCTATCCATCTTAAGCCCCAAGCTGAGTGTGGTTCTGGTAAGAAAAAGGCTAAAATGGTCTGGGCACGGTGGCTCACGCCTGTAATCCCAGCACTTTGAGAGGCAGAGGCAGGTGGATCACCTGAGGTCAGGAGTTCAAAAGCAGCCTGGCCAACATGGGGAAACTCCATCTCTACTAAAAATACAAAAAATGAGCCAGGCGTGGTGGCAGGCACCTGTGATTTCAGCTACTCAGGAGGCTGAGGCAGGGGAATCGCTTGAACCGGGGAGGCGGAAGTTGCAGTGAGCCAAGATCACACCACTGCACTCCTGCCTGGGGGACAGAGCGAGACTCCATCTCATTAAAAAAAAAAAAAGAAAAGAAAAAGGCTAAAATGTACCCTCCCATTTCTCAGCCGAACCTGTGAGCTCACCTTCTTGCACTGCCACAGGGAGCATCCCCTGTGATGTGTCCCACTCAGCTCTCAGGCTGTGGGTGATCGTCATTTGTTATAGGGCTTCACCACCTTCAGTTTCCCATCTCCTGTCTCATTTAGTGCACAGCCAGATGTCTATGCCTTTTTTTTTTAAAGTTTTCTATTTGGAAATAATTACAAACTTATATTTTAAAAAGGCACAAGAATTAAAATAGTGCACAGATTGGCCGGGCGCGGTGGCTCACGCCTGTAATCCCAGCACTTTGGGAGGCCGAGGCGGGCGTATCATGAGGTCAGGAGATCGAGACCATCCTGGCTAACATGGTGAAACCCCGTCTCTACTAAAAAAATACAAAAAAAACTAGCCGGGCGTGGTGGTGGGCACCTATAGTCCCAGGTACTCGGGAGGCTGAGGGAGGAGAATGGCGTGAACCTGGGAGGCGGAGCTTGCAGTGAGCTGAGATCGCGCCACTGCACTCCAGCCTGGGTGACAGAGCGAGACTCTGTGTCAAAAAAAAAATCAATAAATAAAATACAATAGTGCACAGATCATCCACAAACCCTCATCCAGACCCACCTATTAACATTCGACCCTGCTTACCTGTGGCCTGCATGTGTGCGCCTTCCCCCATCCCATCCAGGGTGCACGGTGTCCACATTCCTCCTGTCAGTGATGTTCTCTTTGCTCACCTGGTTAGAGTGCAGTTTTTCCACTGTATGGCTAACTGGGCCAGATGCAGAGGCTTACACCTGTAATCTCAGCACTTGTGAGGCTGAAGCTGGGCACGGTGGTGCACACCCGTAGTCCCAGCTACTTGGGAGGCTGAGGTGGGAGGATGGCTTGAAACTGGGAGGTCAAGGTTGCAGTGAGCTGAGATTGAGCCACTGCACTCCAGCCTGGGTGACAGAGCAAGACCCTGTCTCAAAAAAAGAATATAGTTAACTTTTTCTCCTTTTAACGAATAAGAATCGGTGGGAAGATACTTTAAGATCATGCAAGTATCAATGATCTTCAGTTGTCACAAAAAGATTAAAGATAATGCAAATATCCTGCTCCTCATCAAAACTTCCCCCTAAATTTGGCTTTCATTTATGATTCTTGCCTGAATCCATCATTACCAGGGTGGTGATTTTCCAACACCAGCCCTCCCTCCATGCTGACCAGCAGGCCCTCAGCATCCTACTGCCAGCCAGCACTCTTCCTTCTCCCCAAGAATTTGTCTTTATTGTTGGAATGGACTCAGGATTTCTGTTTATTCAGTGGTTTATAACTCGCTGCTGATCTTATTTTGGTGCTCAAGTTGTCCTAGATGAGGCCAGTGAGACTCCCTTCAGTTGACTCCTGCATCCTTGTGACATGCCTCCATTTTTTTTTTTTAGCACTTATTTGCTTTTTGGTGTAGTAGGATGTTCCAAGCCCATCTCCTTTCTACCCTTCCTCAGCCCTGAAATTGGCCATGTCTTTGAAGAACTGGTTCCTTTTAGTGGGTAATGGCATTAGAGACCAAGATAGGGTGCCAGTTGAGGTGTCTTCTGCTGAGCTATGAAATATATGTGCATATGATTGCACACAGGTCACACACAAAGGTGTGTCTGTGCACATACACGTACATATCCAGTAAGACCTCCAACTCAATTCATGACTTCCTCCAGCCCATATTTTTATGTGTCTTCTTTAACACTGAGAACCCTGACACCCCAAAATTCAGCATTTTACTAATTTGATGAATCTTAAAATAACTCTAATATAGTTTCAGAATTTCCTTTCCCAAACCACTACCAAAAGTGAACTGATTGAGATTTCAGGATTTGTTTGCTGTTCTCCTACCACTACCACCCTGCCCAGGATGTAAGGAGCACAAATGGATGTTTTATTAAGCTAGACATTCCCACTTGTTAACCTCAGGGGCAGCTGGGCTGGTTCAGGCATTTGAGGCAGTGGGTCTCAGCTCCCATACAACAGTGTGGCAACGTGGACCAGCAAGAAAGATGGGTGGGGTGAGGCAGGAGAGGGTGGCTCAGGTCTGTCCAGTGGAGTTGGCAGGGATGGGATGTGTGCGAAAGGACACAGAGCTCTCTAGGGGGCAAGGGAAAACCCCAGGCAGGTTGGCAGTGAAGAGGGGTAGAGTTCAGGGTGGGTTTATACAGGGTGTCGGAAGGTAGCTGTGTTCTAAGTAAGTAGGAAAAGCAAATGAGAGATGGACACCTGGAAAGATGGGAATACATTTCAATGGGAAAATGCTTAAACACCCTCTGGTACGAGCTGAATTAAATGTCATATGTTGAAGCCTTAACCCACAATCTGATGATATGTGGAGACAAGGCCTTTGGGGAGGTAAATAGGCTAAATGAGGTCGTTGGAGTGGCGCCTGCATCCAATAGGACTAGTGTCCTTATAAGAAAAGCAAGAGGCTGGGCGAGGTGACTCACACTTGTAACCCCAGCACTTTAGGAGGCTGAGGCAGAGGGATCCCTTGAGCCCAGGAGCCAGCCTGGGCAACACAGCTAGACCTCGTCTCTACAAAAAACTTAAAAATTAGCTGGGTGTGGTGGCATGTACCTGTAGTCCCAGCTGCGTGGGGGGCCGAGGTGGGAGGATGACATGAGCCCTGGAGGTCAAAGCTGCAGTGAGCTGTGATACACCACGCACTCCAACCTGGGTGACAGAGCAAGACGCTGTCTCAAAAAAAGAGAGGGAGGACCACGCACAGTGGCTCACGCCTGTACCAGCACTTCGGGAGGCTGAGGCAGGTGGATTACCTGAGGTCAGGAGTTCGAGACCAGTCTGGCCAATATGGTAAAACCCTATCTCTACGAAAAATTAGCCAGGTGTGGTGGCAGGCATCTGTAATCCCAGCTACTTGGGAGGCTGAGGCAAGAGAATAACTTGAACCTGGGAGGTGAAGGTTGCAGTGAACTGAGATCACACCACCGCACTCCAGCCTGGGCGACAGAGCGAGACTCCATCTCAAAAAAAAAAAAAAAAAAGAGATAGCAAGAGACGCCAGAGATTGCTCCCTCTCCATGCACACACAGAGGAAAGGCCATAGGCAGGTGCAGACACAGCAGGATGGCAACCATCTACAAGCTTGGAAGAGAGGCTTCACGTGGAACCCACTCTGACTTCCAGCCTCCAGAACAGGGAGAAAATATTAATAAATTCCTGTTGATTCAGCTTCCCAGCCTGTGGTATTTTGTGATCACAACCCAAGCAGACAAATACATGTCTGCCATCACTATTTGAGTTGAGGAGAGTTTTATGAATCAGTGTCAACTAGTGCAATCATTTTGGAAAGCTAACAGTCCAACTGTATTCAGTAACAATACGGGGCCAGGCACAGTGGTTCACACCTATAATCCCAACACTTTGGGAGGCCAAGGTGGGAGGATCCCTTGAGCCCAGGAGTTCAAGACCTCCCTGGGCAACATAGTGAGACCCCACTTTTTCCTCCACAAAAAGGAAAAAAAAGGACCAAAAATATATATATACACAAGGATGCTGGTTTGCATGAAGTTAAATACTATGACTTAAATATGAATGGTAGAGCCATTCAAAGCAATAGTAAAAAGGCATAAATGATAATTAAGACTAGCAAAATCGAAGAATTTTTTTTTTTTAGACAGAGTCTCGCTCTCGCTCTGTTGCCCAGGCTGGAGTACAATGGCGTGATCTCAGCTCACTGCAACCTCCGTCTCCCAGCTCCAAGCAATTCTCCTGCCTCAGCCTCCGGAGTAGCTGGATTACAGGTGCGCACCACCACACCTGGCTAATTTTTGTATTTTTAGTAGAGACGGGGTTTCATCATATTGGTCAGGCTGGTCTCAAACTCACGTCCTCATGATCCACCCGCCTCAGCCTCCCAAAGTGCTGGGGATTACAAGCGTTAGCCACCGCGCCCGGCGCTGGAAGAGTAATTTGTAAGTGTAGTTCAAGTAGAATGTAACTGTTGATTCTGTTGCAACTGTGTAAACAGTGGGCATTAGTTGTCAAATCCTAGCAGACAAAGTATAGAAATGCAAAGAGTAGTTGTGTTAGGGTCATGAAATTATGAGGACATTTATTTCAGTTTTTTAAATTCCTTTGAAAGTTTTTTTTGTTTTTTTTTTGAGACAGAGCCTCGTTCTGTCACCCAGGCTGGAGTGCAGTGGCACAATTTCAGCTCACTGGAAGCTCTGCCTCCCAGGTTCAAGCGATTCTCTCGCCGTGGTGTACTGAATAGCTGGGATTACAGGCCCCTGCCACCATGCCCGGCTAACTTTTGTATTTTTAGTAGAGATGGGGTTTCACCATGTTGGCCAGACTGGTCTCGAACCCCTGGCCTCAAGTGATCTGCCCACCTCAACCTCCCAAAGTGCTAGGTGTGAGCCACCGCGCCCAGCCATGGGCTTTTATAATAAAGTTCATTTTTCACCATTTTAAAAAGAATTCTCCCAATTATGTAAAAGTTAAAAACACAGATTCGGCCGGGCACTGTGGCTCATGCCTGTAATCCCAGCACTTTGACAGGCCCAGGTGGGAGGATCACCTGAAGTCAGGAGTTCAAGACCAGCTTGGCCAACATGGTGAAACCTTGACTCTAGTACAAATACAAAAAAATTACCTAGGCATGGTGGTGCGTGCCTGTAGTCCCAGCTACTTCAAGAGGCTGAGGCACAAGAATCATTTGAACCCAGAGGCAGAGGTTGCAGTGAGCCGAGATCGTGCCACTGCACTCCAGCCTGGGCAACAGACTACTCCTTTTGACATCTCAGTGTATTTATGTCTCCCAGTCATTTTTCAGGGTATGAGATGTGAGTATAATGTGTTTGGTATATGTGTAGTCTGCGTACATTCTAAGTGTGTCTCTTGGGTATCATGAAAAAATGAGTGAGGTGTCTGATGGGTCTCGGGAATACCCTGTGGACTTCCTTCAGGCAGATACAGAACAGGATAGGGTGATGTGCTTTTGATGCAAAGAAAGGCAGATACTCCATTCTGCCTACCCTGAGTCCAGTGAAGTCAGTGATTTATTAGTAGCTGTTCCTTCAACCTGAGAGGCTCCTGGGATGGGGCCACACTTGGGAACTATGGGCTTCGCAGACAAACTGCTTCAGGAAGTTTGGGCACAGTTCTCACTTGAGGCTTCCGGGTCTGTTTCAGAATCACCCAGTGCCTTGGTGTGCAGATTACCAAACCCCCTCGGACCAACCAAAGCAAGGTCCCAGGTTTAACACCCTCCACCTTCAGGTGGTTTTCACTCACATCAAAATGGGAGATCCATTACCCTTGGCAGTGCTGGGTTCTGTCTTCCCAGTGTCCATGCAGAAGTCTCTAAGACGAGGGTTGCTGGAACCAGGGGTCGATCCAGATTTGTTGGGCCTAAGGCTCACACAACTGAGGGGTCCCTCTTCAGAAGAATAATTCAAAATTACAAAGATAAAATTAGGCGCTTGGTCTTGAAGGGATCCCTGAAAGTGAGGGACCTAGAGTTTCAGCTTACTTTCATGGCAAATCCATGAAGCCAGAGCCTCAAAACATAGTGCAGCCCAGCCTTCCCTCAACTCGAGAGAACATGAATTTGTAGAAAGGTTCCCAGATGTCTCAATGAAATGAACAGCTTTCCAAAGTCCAGCCTCTGGCTGACCAGGTAGCTCTTGAGACACAGGCTCCTGAGGGACCAGCCACATGCGATGGGGGCAACTGCCAGGGAAATCTGCTCAGTGAGAGGGTGGCTTCTGGGACATGGTAAATCTAAGCTCCCCAGCTCCTCACCAAGGCCCCAGTACTGGGGAGGTCTCTCCAGCTGTGGCTCTGCCTGTCTTTTCACGGAGGTTTGCCCTGATGCCATGGTTTTAATGTGACGTCCCTCACCCCATTCACCAAACACAATAATCCCCAAGTTGTTATCATCTCTGGGCTGGTATTCATCTTATCACTTTTTTTTTTTTTTTTTTTTTTGAGACAAAGTCTTGCTCTTGTCGCCCAGGCTGGAGTGCAGTGGCACAATCTCGGCTCACTGCAAGCAATTCTTCTGCCTCAGCCTCCCGAGTAGCTGGGATTACAGGCTTCTGCCACCATGCCTGGGTAATTTTTGTATTTTTTAGTAAAGACAGGGTTTCACCATGTTCTCCAGGCTGGTCTCGAACTCCTGACCTCAGGTGATCCACCCGCCTCAGCCTCACAAAGTGTTGAAATTACAGGTGTGAACCACTGCGTCTGGCCCGTCTTACTGTGTTTTCTCCGCTATGACTCACCTTGCTTTTCTTCTGATGACTTGCTTTGCCTATCTTGCCCACTAACTTGCAACCCACATAGGGCCAGGGGCATTTTCTGTGTGGTTTATACTTGTTTACTCTGGGCTCAAAGAGAAGAATAAACGAATCAATTCCTTTGACAGTAAACCCTGAGACCTTCCTTTAAAGCCCTCACTCTCCTAAAATAAACAGAACTTGGGGGTGAGTGTGTGACAGAAATGCGTGGACCATGGTGGAGTGGTGGCTCATGACTATAATCCAAGTGCTTTGGGAGGCCAAGGTGGGAGGATTGCTTGAGTCTGGGAGTTCGAGACCAGCCTGGACAACATAGTGGGCCCCTGTCTTAATAAAAAATAAAAAATTAGCTGGGCATGGTGGTGCATGCCTGTAGTCTCAGCTACTAAGGAGGCTAAGGCAGGATTGTTTAAGCCCAGGAGTTCCAGGCTACAGAGAACTATGATCACACCACTGCCCTCCAGCCTGGGTGACAGAGTAAGACCCTAAGGATTTAAAAAAAAAAAAAAAGAAAGAAAGAAAAAGAAATGGCATGGAGCGGCCTTTGAAGGCAGAAAAGCCTCCCAGCAGAAATCTAAATCACTGAGTTCAGATGTGAGCCAGCGATGTGTGGTTTCATGGTGTCACTCTTGGCTTCTCCTAAGGACAGCTAAAGCTTAAACCTCCTCCTCTCTATAAGAATGTATACGGTATCTAAATATATACATCTGTGTGCTGCTATATAAAGTATGTGTGTACTATAACAAAGAGACTGTCTTCAGAAACAGCCTCTTTTTTTGGGCATTTAATGGGCATGACAGTTTTACAAGTAACGCAAATGAACGGATGTTTTACATTCACTTTATACTTTGCCACACGCTTTGGGATTCCAGGAGCTCATTTAATCATCACTGCACTTTGAGGGGCAGGTAATTTACCAGTTGTGTGTGTGTGTGTGTGTGTGTGTGTGTGTGTGTTTTCTCTTTTTTTTTTTTTTTTTTGAGACAGAGCCTTTCTCTGTTGCCCAGGCTACAGTGTAGTGGTGCAATCCTGGTTTAGTGCAACCTCTGCCTCCCGGGTTCAAGCAACTCTCCTGCCTCAGCCTCCCAAGTAGCTGGCAGTAAAGGCACGCACCACCACGCATGGCTAATATATATATATATATTTTTTGTATTTTTAGTAGAGACAGGATTTCACCATGTTGACCAGGCTGGTCTCAAACTGCTGACCTCAAATGATCCATCCATCTTGGCTTCCCAAAGTGCTGGGATTACAGGCATGAGCCACCACACCCAGCTTACTAGTTGTGTTTCTTTAATTGGATTGAATTTGTGTTACCTGCCATGGGGCTAAACCAAAAAGGAATGAATTGGCTCAGGTAACTGAGAAGTCCAGAGAGGCTGTGCGCAGTGGCTCATGCCTGTAATCCCAGCATTTGGGAGGCTGAGACAAGAGGATCGCTTGGGCCCAGGAGTTTGAGACCAGCCTGGGCAACATAGCAAGACCTCATCTCTAAAAAAATTTAAAAGTTAACCAGGCATGGTGGCACATGCCTGTAGTCCCACCTACTCAGGAGGCTGAGGTGGGACAGATAGATCATTTGAGCCCAGGAGGTTGAAGCTACAGCCTTCGTGACAAAGCAAAACCCTACCTCAAAAAAAAAAAAAAAAAAAAAAAAAAAAAAGTCCAGAGGACTTGGGGTTTCCCTTCTTCTTTTTTTTTTTTTTTTTTGAGGCGGAGTTTCGCTCTTGTTGCCCAGGCTGGAGTGCAATTGTGCGAACTCGGCTCACTTCAACCTCTGCCTTCCGGTTTCAAGAGATTCTCCTGCCTCAGCCTCCCTAGTAGCTGGGAGTACAGGCACGTGCCACCATGCCCGGCTAATTTTGTGTTTTTAGTAGAGACGGGGTTTCTCCATGTTGGCCAGGCTGGTCTTGAACTCTCGACCTCAGGCAATCTGCCTGCCTTGGCCTCACAAAGTGCTGGGATTACAGGCTTGAGCCACTGCGCCCAGCCTGGGGTTTCCCTTCTTGGACCATTTTGTTTCTACATAACACTTACTGTGTAATGTGCCCATAACATCCTAATTTCTCTATTTTCCATTTCCCCACCAAAATATAAGCTCCTGAGACCACGAGTTTCATCAGTTTAGTTGCCAGAGTCTGGAATTGTGCCTGAGCTATAGTTGGTGCTTGGAAAATACTTGCTGCCTGAAAGAATCTCCCTCTCACATACAGTATAAGAGGAGACTCAGGAGGGACAGTGACTACCACACGTCAGTCCTACCCAGTGCTTCCACAAAACTTCCAACGGCCCTGGCTGTGTTAGTCTGTTTACACGGCTATAAAGGAATACCTGAGGATGGGTAATTTACAAAGAAAAGAGATTTATTTGGCTCACGGTTCTGCAGGCTGTACAGGAAGCATAGTGCTGGCATCTGCACTATGGGGAGGCCTCAGGAAGCTTCCAATCATGGCGGAAGGCAAAGGGGAGCTGGTGCATCATATAGTGAGAGAGAAAACAAGAGAGAGGGGAGGAAGTGCCAGGCTCCTTTAAATAACCATCTCTTGGGTGAACTCATAAAGGGAGAACTCACTCATTACCATGAGGACAGCACTAAGCCATTCATGTGGGATCCACCCCATAGCCCACATACCTCACACTAGGCCCCACCTCCAACACTGGGGATCACATTTCAACATGAGATTTGGAGGGGACAAATATCCAAACCATCGCACCAGCTTTCCTGACTTTTTTTCAGAAACACAATGGGAAGCCAAAGGATACTTAATTCTCTACTTTCTACGATTCTTCCACTCAAGATGCATTTTTGGCTGCCAGTCACCAGAAATCCAACTCAAAATTGTATACACTTTAGGATATTATTTACTTTTTTTTTTTTTAGAAACATGGTCTGGAGTGCAGTGGTGAAACCATACCTCACTGCAGCCTCAAATACCTGGGTTCAAGTGATAGTCCTGCCTTAGCCTACTGCGTAGCTGGGAGTACAGGCACACGCTACCATGACTGGCTAATTTTTTATCTGTTGTATAGATGGGGTCTCACTATGTTGCCCAGGCTGGTCTTGAACTCCTGGGTTCGAGCAAGCCTCCCAAAGTGCTGGGATTACAGGCATGAGCCACCACGCCCAGCTGAGGTTATTATTTATTTGCTGTGAAAGACCAGGATGCAAGGTCCAGGGTGGGGCCCCTGCTTGAATTGTAGATGAGTTTGGGCTTTGCTGTCTTCTCTGAGTTGACTCTGTACAGGATGGTCCTCTCTGTGCTTGCAGGTGGTAGGCAGCATACTTCTCCCTTTGCATCCAGAAAGAGACAGAACCTTTCCTTGCTAAAGAACCAGACCTTCCTCTCAGTCTCATGGCTGCACACCCAGAAACTGTGCTCACTGTGTTAGGCCGTTCTTGTGTTACTATCAAGAAATGCCTGAGATTGAGTAATTTATAAAAAAGAGAGGTTTAACAGGCTCATAGTTCTGCAGGCTGTACAGGAAGCAGGGCACTGGCATCTGCTCAGCTTCTGGGGAGGCCTCAGGAAGCTTTTACTCATGGTGGAAGGGGAAGTAGGAGCAGACATATCACATGGCCAGAGGAGGAGCAAGAGGCAGTGTGGAGTGGAGCGGCTGCCTGCACAGTTAAAAAAACAGACCTCAGGCTGGGTGCAGTGACTTGCTCCTGTAATCCCAGCACTTTGGGAGACCAAGGCGGGTGGATCACCTGAGGTCAGGAGTTTGAGACCAGCCTGGCCAACATGGTGAAACCTTGTCTCTACTAAAAATACAAAAATTAGCCAGGCACGGTGGCACACACCTGTAATCACAGCTACTTGGGAGGCTGAGGCAGGAGAATTACTTGAGCCCAGGAGGTGGAGGCTGCAGTGAGCCTTGATCATGCCATTGCACTCCGGCCTGGGCAACAGAGCTAGACTCTGTCTCAAAAAAAAAAAAAAGGCACATTCAAGGATGACTTTATGACTTTGGTCGGCTCCACCATGTGTGGGGCCTCAGCTGGGAACTTGAAGGCTGAGGTACCTTGAAAGCTGGGAGGCTGGAATCATCTGAAGACTGTTCTGTCACAGGCCTGATGAGGCTGGGGAGATTCAGACTAGGAGTGAACTGACACCCTGAGCAGAGCCTGTGTGGCTTCATCCTCACAGCATGGTGGCCTTGGGCCAGTGGGTTTCTCAAGTGGTGTCTCAGGGCTCCAAGCACAAGTGTTCCAGCAAAAAAAGACAGACGCTGTATGGCCTTTTCTGAACTAGCCTCAGAACTCTCCCTCATTCTTATTTCACCTGCATTCACCTGTTTTCCCACTTGATCTTCTACTTGTGTGCCAATAACTGAGGCGTAGTAAGCAAGGTCCTCTAGACTCAGGAGGGTGTAACCCCCACAGTGCCCTTCCACTGGCTTGGCACCATCAGGGAGAGGAATCTCATCTCTTTCCCTGGCTTAGGAGAGAAGTGATACTGTGGGCACCTCTCTGTAGTACCCAATCCTTGCTGTATTTCCCCTGTGTCGCTGAAGGAGGTCTGATGAAGAGGGGCTGAGTGGAGAGGAAAGAACTCACATTACCGTTTCTTGGTGATTATGCCAATCTAGCACTTTCAAAGGACTGCAAAAGTGCATGTGCCAGATTCCATTTTTACTGAACTGAACTGGAATAGACTGGCCATAATCTCTTTCCTGAATGTAATGTTCTGTGATAAGAATAATATCCTAGGGAGCCTGAAATGAGTAGGCACCTGTCATTCCAATTACCTAAAGCAGCAGATCTTCCTAGCACATTTGGTTTCCTTGAGCACAAGATGCTACACAAGGATAGGAACACAGGGAAAGGCAGGAGGACACAGGTAGTAAAGGGAAGGAGGACAAAACAGCTGACCAAAGACCAAACTGTTGAGCTGCACGTGTCAAATGGGCACTTGAAATGTCGCTATGGTCAACTCTGAGATGTGATGCAAGTATAAGATGCACACTAGGCTGGGAGTGGTGGCTCACGCCTGTAATCCCAGCACTCTGGGAGGCCGAGGCGGGCGGATCACATGAGGTCAGGAGTTCGAGACCAGCCTGACCAACATGGAGAAACCCCATCTCTACTAAAACTACAAAATTAGCCAGGCGTGGTGGCACATGCCTGTAGTCCCAGGTACTCGGGAGGCTGAGGTAGGAGAATCACTTGAACCCGGGAGGCGGAGGTTGCAGTGAGCCAAGATTGTGCCATTGCACTCCAGCCTGGGTGACAGAGGGAGGCTCCGTCTCAAAAAAAAAAAAAAAAAAAAAGATGCACACTAGATTCTGAAGATGTCACGTAACAGAAAGAATGCAAATATCTCAATAATTTTTCATATTGGTATGTTAAACTGCTAACATTTGAGATATATAGGGGTAAATTTTAGTTTCACCTGTTTCTTCTTGCGTTTTCTTTCTTTTTGAGACAGTCTTGCTCTGTCACCCAGGCTAGAGTGCAGTGGTGCAATCTTGGCTCACTGACGCCTCCCAGGCTCAAGCAATTCTCGTGCCTCAGCCTCCCGAGTAGCTGGGATTACAGGTGCATGCCACTGCACCCAGCTAATTTTTGTATTTTTAGCAGAGACATGGTTTCGCCATGTTGGGCAGGCTGGCCTCAACTGATCTGCCCACCTCAGCCTCCCAAAGTGCTGGGATTACAGGCATGAGCCACTGTGCCTGGGCCTCTTCTTGTTTTTTAAATGGGGCTACCAGAATATTTAAAGTTATTTATATGACTTGCATTGTTTCAATGAGACAGTGCTGCTATGCACTGTGTACCCTGGCTTTCTCCAGTGGCTTTTATTTTTTAGAGATGGTGTCTCGCTGTGTTGCCCAGGCTGGAGCACAGTGGCTATTCATAGGCACGATCCCACTAATGATCAGCATGGGAGTTTTTTTTTTTTTTTTGAGGTTGAGTTTTACTCTTGTCACATAGGCTGGAGTACATTGGCACAATCTAGGCTCACTGTAACCTCCGCCTCCCAGGCTCAAGTGATTCTACTGCCTCAGCCTCCAAAATTGCTGAGATTACAAGCATGCACCACCGTGCCCAGCTAATTTTGTAATTTCAGTAGAGACGGGGTGTCACCATGTTGGCCAGGCTGGTCCTGAACTCCTGACCTCAGGTGATCTGCCCACCTTGGCCTCCCAAAGTGCCGGGATTACAGATGTGAGCCCTACCAGCATGGGAGTTTTGACCTGCTCTGGTTCACCCCTACATAGGCAAGCTGGTGGTCATCTGCTCCCAGGAGGTCATCATATTGATGCCAAACTTAGTGTGGACACCCAATCAGTAGAGCACACTACAGCCCAGAACTCCTGGGTTCAAGTGATCCTCCTGCCTCAACCTCCCAAGCAGCTGGGACTAGAGGCAGGTGCAGCCATGCCTGGCTCTCCGGTGGCTTGTAAATGACAAAGGCATTTATCCCAAGAGGCACTCCACAATCATAATGAGAAGCAATATTGGAAGACTATCTGCAACATGGTCTCCCCAAGAGAGAAATTTCAAGTAACTGGAAATTTATATCCCAGCATTGGGATTAGAAAAATCAAATTGATGGATGTAACCACAACTAACAGCTAATAACCAAAAACAGCCAATGCAATTTTTTTTTTTTTTTCTGAGACAGAGTTTCACTCTTGTTGCCCAGGCTGGAGTGCAATGGTACGATCTCAGCTCACTGCAACCTCCATCTCCCGACCTCAGGTGATCCTCCCACCTTGGCCTCCCAAAGTGCTGGGATTACAGGCATAAGTCACCGCGCCTGGCCAGCCAATGCAATTTCTAATGAGGGCAGCAAGTCACCATTTAAAGGTTATAGTTGTCAGAAAGACTGCTATTTGTGGACTTAGGGTTTAACAAAATGTTAAATTGTATGAAAACAATGAAAAAGCAGTTTGAGAGGATTAACTTGAACATATCCCAAAAAAGATGAATCTTGCAAAACAGAAGTTTCTAACATGAATTTGCTATTGCTTATAAGACGATGGTTTAACAAAGGAAAAATCTCCCTTTTTGTAAAACAAATATCTGTGTTTCTAACGCGAGTTCTGCAGAGAAATGTAGAGGGAGAACAGAGCAGCAAAAGCCATCTCAGAATCAGTGAGACTCTACGGAAGCAGCTTTACATTTTGAGTCTTCCCATACAAAGCTTTTCAATCTCATTGCATATAAAGATTAATTGCAAAAATAATGCAGGGATAACTAAAAACCTGTTTATAGTACACTGATACTTTGTCATATGTAATTCCAATCTGTGACTGGCTGCCATGTACCCTGATCAAACAATATACACACAGACAAGACAGCTGTTTACTGAGACAGTCAGTATCCACAGTGATTCCATAAAGATGCCACTCTCATTTCTGGAACACTCTGCCATACTGTCATTTGGGAATGAATATCAGAGTCAACCTGCACCATTCATAAGCACTTTCCCCCCCAAAAATGTGATGTGCAATAATGGCAAATTCTGACTTCATTTGGTTCTCGTATATATGAAAGGCATTTGTTGGGTTTCTCACCAATTTGAACATCTCTGGTTTGGAATACGGTGAATCCTTGGACAAAAGCGTTCCCTGGATCCACTACATTTGTTCCATTTCTTTTTTGTAGGTTCTATAACATAGCACTAATGGGCGTTCAAGGCTGAAGGTCCTGAGTGTTGATTATCTCCACGTTTCCCTACTATTTGGATGCAGAGATGGATGACCTAGAGCTTGGTGGTCCCATGGTCATTTCCCATCAGTGTGAACTCTCTGAGGGTGTCTGAGGGGAGTGCTGTGTGAAAAGGCTTGTGTATGAATGTACGTTTCTCATGTGTATGATTGGGTCAAATCTAGAAAGGGATGAGCTATGGCTTAAGGTCTTCCTATGTCCCCAGCACATGTGGAGTGGGTTTATCCAGTGTGAGTTCTCTGGTGCTTGGTAAGGGAGGAGCTGTGGGTAAAGGCCTTTCCACAGTCCCTGCATGCATATGGCTTCTCTCCTGTGTGGATCCTCCGGTGCTGAGTGAGGTGGGTGCTCTGCCTAAAGGACTTTCCGCAATCGTGACACTCATAGGGCTTTTCCCCAGTGTGCGTCCTTTCGTGCTGGCTGAGCGAGGAGCTGTGGCTGAAGGATTTCCCACACTCATTGCACCCATACGGCTTTTCCTTGGTGTGAATCCTCTGGTGTTCGATGAGAAGGGAGCTCTGGCTGAAGGCTCTGCCACACTGGTTACATTCATAGGGTTTCTCTCCTGTGTGGATCCTCTGATGCTGAATGAGGGGAGCAAGCTGGCTGAAGGCTCTGCCACACTGGTTGCATTCGTAGGGCTTCTCCCCAGTGTGGATTCGCTGATGTTTGGTGAGGGACGAGCTGTGACTGAATGCCTTGCCGCAGTCATTGCATTCATAGGGCTTCTCCCCTGTGTGGATTCGCTGGTGTTGGGTGAGGTGTGTGCTCTGCCGGAAGGCCTTCCCACACTGACTGCACTCATAGGGCTTCTCTCCTGTGTGTGTCCGCTCATGCTGGCTGAGTGAGGAGCTGTGGCTGAAGGTTTTCCCACACTCGTTGCATCCATAGGGCTTCTCTCCTGTGTGAATCCTCCGATGCTCGGTCAGGAGTGTGCTCTGACTGAAGGCTTTCCCACACTCACCACACTCATAGGGCTTTTCTCCTGTGTGGGTCCTCTGGTGCTGAATCAGTGGTGTGATCTGGGTGAAGGCTTTTCCACACTCATGGCACTCGTAGGGCTTCTCCCCTGTGTGGATTCGCTGGTGTTTGGTCAAGGATGAGCTGTGGCTGAAGGCCTTGCCACACTCACCACACTGATAGGGTTTCTCCCCAGTGTGGATTCGCAGATGCTGGGTGAGGTGGATGCTTTGCCGGAAGGCTTTCCCACACTCACTGCACTCGTAGGGCTTCTCGCCTGTGTGAGTTCGCTCGTGCTGGCTGAAGGAGGACCTAAAACTGAAGGATTTCCCACATTCGCTGCATTCATAGGGCTTCTCACCTGTGTGAGTTCTCTGGTGCTGGATCAGTGGGGCAATTTGGTTGAAGGTCCTCCCACACTGAGTGCATTTATAGGGTTTCTCCCCAGTATGGATTCTCTGGTGTTTGGTAAGTGCCG
The DNA here is from genome assembly GCF_000001405.40 of Homo sapiens. NCBI lineage: Eukaryota > Metazoa > Chordata > Mammalia > Primates > Hominidae > Homo > Homo sapiens. The sequence goes on along the minus strand of NC_000019.10, from coordinate 58,067,247 downwards.
AGCTGTTCCGGAAGCCTTTTAAGCATTCGTGACATTCGTAAGGTCTCTCTCCTGTGTGCGTCCGGTGGTGTTCGATAAGTGCTGAGCTGTGACTAAAGGCCTTTCCGCATTCCTGACATTTGTAGGGTTTCTCTTTTACACAGGTTTTCTGTAAAACATTTAGGTCTGGCTTCTCCCTTTTTCCACGTGTTCCCCATGTGTGGGGGCTTTGTCTTTCAGGAGTCATTGGTTGATGTGGGAGATCAGGGTTCAGACTTATGTTTTCCCCAAACCCATTCCTCTGCCACTGCTCCAGAACAGGCGTCTTCACAGGCGTGAAGGCCACCGGCACTGCCAGGCTCTCTAGACTCTCACAACTCCATTCCCAGTGGCCCTCAGTGTCCTCACCCCTGCAGTACCACAGACCATCCCACAGGAATCTTTCTACCAAGATGACACTGTTGGATATTTCTTCAGAGATGCCTTGCTTTAGAACTGACAGTTTGACTTTGGGTCTAGTTTCCAAGTCTGAAAGAAGCAAAAACTGGAAATGTCCCTTAATCTCTGTTCCACGGCAAAAGAGTTTGTGGTGAGATGGGAAGAGGAAGGATAAAACTAATTATTTTGAAACGTTCAAGGTTCAAGTGGCTTTGACCATTTAAAAATATAGTTTTGCAAACCAGGAAAGGAAGAGAGGGAAACACAGAATAAGGAAGAGGAAAATAAGGAATAAGGAAAGGAAGAGGAAAGAACAGAATAAGGAAAGGAAGAGGAGAGGGAGGAAAAAACAGTTGGCACAAGGAGTATGAATGGAGTCTGTGAGGGGAGCACAGAGGAGGATGCAGAGCGGATGCCCAGGAGAGAGCACTCAGACACACAGAGGCACTGGACTTGGAAGGAGCAGTGTGGCACCCAGGCTCCAGCTACAGTGGCCTCCACAATGCCAGGTGGCAACAGAGAAAAACGTGCTGCATGGGGAAAGTTGGCTGATACCCAGCTTCTTCCCGACAGCATATGCTGTTGTGCCACCTCACTCTAGATGTAAAGGAACCTAACTGCTCCCCACAAACAGGAATAGCTGCAATGTACATCACTAAGAGGAAGAAAAATGACCCGTGGCATATTAGAGTGCTTTGGTCTGCCTTATTTTGTCCATTTCACTAACTGGGAACCCCTTGAGGGTAGGGGTTTCCGTCCACCTTGCTTACCACTGTATCTATAGCCCACAGCAAGAGCTCAATATACATGCTTAATGAATGAACAAATGCATTCCCTCCTCCTCCTTCATGGCAGGACTCTCTTTTTGCCCTGGTACCCAGCCCTCTCTGCACAGCCATGACCTGGGTGTGTGCTGCCCCTACCCTGACCCCACAGTGGCCTAGAGGTGTGATGTGGGCACCTTCCCCATATTGTTATGTTTCAGTGAAAAGTTCAATTAAAAAAAAAAAAGTTAAGCCAGAGTGAATGGCAGAATAGTGGCTTCCCAAGATGCCCACATCCTAACCCTATAACCTGTATGTTTCCAATTACATGGGAGGGAGGAATTAAGGTTGCTAATCAGCTAACATTAAGATAGAGAAATTACACTGGATTATCTGGGTGGACCTGTGTAATCACGAGGGTCCTTAAATGGGGAAAAAAGGCAGAAGGGTCAGAGTCAGAGTGAATATGATGTGACTTGACCAGGCCTTGCTGACTGTGAAGATGGACAAGGCCATAGCCAAGGAATGTGGGTGCCTCTAGAAGCTGAAAAATGCAAAGAAACGGATTCTTAGCCAGGCACAGGGCCTCATGCCTGTAATCTCAACACTTTGGGCAGCTGAGGTGGGAGGACTCCTTGAGCCTAAGAGTTCAAGACATGCCTGGGCAAAATGATGAGACCTTGTTTCTACAAAAAATAAAAAAAAATTAGCTGGGCATGGTGACACACACCTGTAGTCTCAGCTACTCAGGAGGCTGAGGCAGGAGGATCACCTGAGCCCAGAAGGTCAAGGTTGCTGTGAGCCATGATCATACCACTGGACTCCATCCTAGGCAAGATAGCAAGACCCCATCTCTTAAAAAAACAAAAAGGAGAGAAAGAAATAGATTCTTCCCTTCCCTAGAGCCTCCAGAAGGAATGATGCCCTGCTGACATCTTTATTATATTCCAGCTAGACCCATTGTGGATTTCTGATCTCCCGAACTTTAAAATAATTTGCTTTGCTTTATGCTACGAAGTGTAGTATTGTTGACGCTTGAACAATGAGGGGGCTAGGGGCACTGACCCCAGTACAATCGAAAATCTGTGTATAGCCTTTGACTCCCCAAAAACTTAACTATTAATAGCTTATTGTTGACCATACTGATAAAATAAATAGTTAACACTTTGTTTTTTTTGAAACATGGTCTTGCTCTGTCACCCAGGCAGGAGCACAGTGGCGTGATCTTGGCTCATCACAACCTCCACCTCCTAGTTCAAGCAGTTCTCCTGCCTCAGCCTCCTGAGTAGCTGGGACTACAGGAGCGTGCCACCATGGCCAGCTAATTTTTTTTTTTTGTATTTTTTTTTTGTAGAGACGGGGTTTCACCATGTTGGCCAGGCTGGTCTTGAACTCCCGACCTCAAATACCACCTGCCATAGCCTCTCAAAGTGCTGGGATTATAGGTGTGAGCCACTGCTCCCAGCCCTTAATTAACACATATTTTGTATATGTATTATATAATGTGTTCTTAAAGTAAGCTAAAGAAAAAGCTATTTAAAAAAATCATAAGGAAGAGAAAATATATTTACTATGCATTAAATGGAAGTGGACCACCATAAAGATCTTCATCCTCATTGTCTTCACAGTGAGTAGGCTGAGGAGTAGGAGGAGGGGTTGGTCTTGCTGTCTCAGGGGTGGCTCAGGCAGAAGAAAATCCATGTATAAATGGACCCACACAGTTCAAACCCATGTTATTCACGGGTCATTTGTAACTGGTTGCAGGAGGAGCAATAGGAAGCTAATATATTGGGTAAGGGCTGTTATTGATGTGGAGGGACCCTACTGTGACCCTTTCCCACACTGGCCATCCCTCCTGGACTCTGGTGACAGGCCACTCTTCCCACCTGATGCCAATGGGAAATTGCCTGTCAGTGGGCTGGGATACCTCTGCTACCTACCAATCACCCTACAGGCACATGGCGTAGGGCCCAGCCTGGATCCACTGACCCACAGACACATGAATTATAAACAATTATTTGGTTTAAGCCACTGAGGTCAGAGTGTTTTCCTACACAAAAGCTGACTGATGCATGACTTCAGGCCTTTGCACCTGCTGTTTCCTCTGCCTGAAATACTACTGTTCACTCAGACTGCCTCATGGCTCAGGCTTCAAGTCACATGTCACCTCCTTGGAGAGGCTATCCCTCATCTCTCTGCTAAAGTCTACTCATCCCCCTCCTAGTCTACCTCATTGCTCATTTTCATTTTCTCGGCATTCATCACAATCTGTAATCATCCAACTTGTTTTATTATTATTATTTTACCGATTTATTGTTTGTTTCCCCCACTCCCTCACCAAGAATATAAATTCAGTGGAGATGAGGACGTGGTGTCGTCACTCACAGCAAAATGGGTGCTTGGTAAATCTTCACTAAGACTGAGTAGTAAATTTGCTCTGAAGAATTAGAGAGCAGATGCAGAGGGAGAAACCAGGAAGCAAGCATGGACAGGCTTCTCTCTGCCCCGAAGGGCTCCCATCTCACCTGGGTACACGCCTTGGGGAAGTCTAGACTCCACCGCCCACAGCTCTGCCTCTTGCTCCAGCAGGGAGATGACATTCGGCTTCGGTAACCAATGTCCTGCTCAGGGAGAGACCCATAGAGTGAGCATTTGTATCCCAGGACCCTTCCTGAGCCTCAGCCCATTCCACCTTTGGTCTTCCAGGTCCCAGATGGCTGGGGACCCCTGAGTGACTTCAGCTGTCATACCCACAGCCCTGGATGTTCCTCAGGGACTCATTCCCCTACTCTCAGTCCCTGACCCTACCACTGGTTCTGGGGTGGACATGTGACCCAAGCCTGGACAATCAGAACTCTGGTTCCTCCCCTGCCCACTGGCATCAATGATCACTGTGAAGAAGACCTGGCAGCCAAACCAGGACAACCCTGGGACACAGATCCTGTCTTTTCTGCTGGTCTTGGTTGCAGGAAAGGCACCCCAGGCAGTTGTCTTGTCACCTCCAGAGGAGCCTCTCTGGAAATGAAGCCAGAAAGAGATTGCTATGGTCTGAATGTTGGTGTCCCCCTAAAATTCAGGCTATGCATAGTGGCTTATGCCTGTAATTCCAGCACTTTGGGAGGCTGAGGTGGGAGGATCACTTTAGCCTAGAAGCTTGAGGGCAGCCTGGGCAACACAGCAAGGACCCGTCTCTACAAAAATTTTAAAAATTAGCTAGGTGTGGTGGTATGCACCTGTAGTCCCAGCTACTTGGAAGACTGAAATGGAAGGTTTACTTGAGCCAGGAGGTTAAGTGTGCAGTAAGTATGACTGTGCCACAGCACTCCACCCTGGGCAAGAGAACAAGACCCTGTTTCTTAAAAATAAAAAAGGTTCAGGCCGGACGCAGTGGCTCACGCCTGTAATCCCAGCACTTTGGGAGGCTAAGGTGGGTGCATCACGAGGTCAGGAGATCGAGACCATCCTGGCTAACACGGTGAAACCCCGTCTCTACTAAATATACAAAAAAAAAAAAAAATTAGCCAGGCGTGGTGGTGGGCACCTGTAGTCCCAGCTACTCAGGAAGATGAGGCAGGAGAATGGTGTGAACCCGGGAGGCAGAGCTTGCAGTGAGCCGAGATCGCACCACTGCACTCCAGCCCGGGTGACACAGCGAGACTCTGTCTCAAAAATAAAAAATTTAAAAACAAATAAATAAATAAATAAATAAATAAGGTTCAAATGTTAGAATGTAATACCTAATCTGATAGTGTTGAGGTGGGGCCTTGGGGAAGTGATTAATTCATGAGGGCTCCACTCATGAATGGGATCAGTGCCCTTATAAAAGAAGCTTGAGATAACTCCCTTGCCCTTATGGCATGTCAGGACACAGGAAGAAAGTGCCATCAGTGAGGAGCAAGCCCTCACCAAACACTGAATTTGCTGACACCTTGATCTTAGGCTTCCCAGCCTCCAGAACCATGAGCAACAAATATCTATTGTTTAAAATTACCCAGTCTAAGGTATTTTAGCAGCCCTAACAGACTAAGACAGAAGTGCAGAGGGAGGTGTTGAAGAAGGAGGGGCTCCTAACAGCTCTACAGAACACCCTGGTCTACCCTGGGATTCTGTAGTCTTCAGACCCAGTATGTTTCCCTCACCTCATGTTTCTCTGCTTCTGTTGATTTCAGGTTGAGTCTGAGACTTGCTAATATTGGTCTTAATTGATATTTCCTACATTAAAACAGTCAGGTTCTTAAAGCCCAAGACATACAGCCCCAGGCATTTGCTTTTAAAGCTCAGTCCTATAAATATTTAACCTGGTAGAATCAGAATCCGTGTCAGGGACAGATCAACAGATAGGACATGGGTGTGGCCTTACCCACAGAGACCAGAAGCCTGAAGGTGTCCAGCATTACATCACGGTACAGGGTCCTCTGGGCAGGCTTCAGCTGCCCCCACTCCTCCTGGCTGAAGCCCACTACCACGTCCTCAAACGTCACTTGCTCCTGAAACATCACACGAGTGTCCTCAGCCAAGCCAACCCTGGCACTGGCTGCTGGTGGGGTAGCTGGTAAATGCCAGCCAGGCTGGGTCGGATGGAGTTCCCTTTGGTCTGGGGTTTTGGGTCAGGTTTTTCTGTGGGGCCTGGATGGGTGCCCTGCTGATGAGGTGGAGGATCTTAGAATCTAAGGCATCATGCCCGTTTCCAATAATTTGTCTCTTGAAATAAGAAATGGAGGGAGCCAGCAATAAAGGAGTGGACCAGCCCAGCATGGTGTCGCATGCCCGTGGTCCCAGCTGCTTAACAGGCTGAGGTGGGAGGATCACTTGAGCACGTAAGTTTGAAGCACAGTGAGCCATGATTGCATCACTGCACTTCAGCCTAGGGGATAAACAAAGTTATAAAGCTAGTAGCAGAAGTCTAAAGACTGAATCTGGGTGGTTTTTTTTTTCCCCCGAGACGGAGTCTCGCTTTGTCGCCCAGGCTAGAGTGCAGTGGCATGATCTTGGCTCACTGCAAGCTCCGCCTCCTGGGTTCACGCCATTCTCCTGCCTCAGCCTCTCGAGTAGCTGGGACTACAGGCGCCCGCCACCCCCCCGGCTAATTTTTTTTTGTATTTTTAGTAGAGACGGGGTTTCACCGTGTTCGCCAGGATGGTCTCGATCTCCTGACCTCGTGATCCGCCCACCTCGGCCTCCCAAAGTGCTGGGATTACAGGTGCGAGCCACCGCGCCCGGCCAAATCTGGGTTTGTTTTTTAATTTTTTAGAGACAGGGTTCCACTGTCATTCAGGCTGGAGTGCAGTGGCACATCATGGCTCACTGCAGCCTCCAACTCCTGGGCTCAAGCAATCCTCCCCCATAGCTGGGATTACAGCTACAAGCCATCGCACCAGTCCCCTTGTACGGGTTTTCTGACATTCCTACAGGAGGCTGGTTTCTTCTGGTGGCTTATGGGTGGGGTTAATGTCATCATAAAAAGGCGAGTTCCGCCCCCTTGGCCTCCATGACGTCTGAGGAAGCGGCACTCGATGCGCCATCTTGGAGCGCAGAGCATGCTAAGGCCTTCAACTTCAGACTGCAGAGCCGGGGCACCTACAATTTTCTGACATCACCCAGCCTCAGGTATGCAATGACGGCCGCACAAACATAAAGCCCACTCAGACAGGGACCCGTGCCCGCTGACCTCCAGCGCGGCGTGGGCGGTCCTTTCAGAGGCAGGCTGTGGTTGGGGAGCTTGGCGCGGACTTTAGGAGGCCGGGTGTGCAGGTAGAGGCCGGACACGAGTAGAGGCTAGATGTGCAAATAGAGGCCGGGCACGAGTAGAGGCCGGGCACCAGTAGAGGCCAGGTGCGCGAGTAGAGGCCAGTTGTGCGAGTAGAGGCCGGGCACGAGTAGGGGCCGGGCACGCAAGTAGGGGCCGGGCACAAGGAGGAGGCTGAGCGCGAGTAGGGACGGGGTGCAAAGAGGAGGCCGGGCGTGAGAAGGCCGCGCGCGAGGAGGCCGGGCACGAGGTGGAGGACACGCGCAAGGAGGCCGAGATTCTCACCGGGTCTGTGGAGACGCGCACCCCAGGGGTCATGCCCTGGCTTCTGGCAGGAACGGCTGGCCCTGCTCTGTGGGAAAGGGGAGGTGAGCAGCTGGGGCAGGCAGAGGCGGTGCTCAGGTCCCCAAGCCGGGGAACTGCGCCAGAGCCTGGGGAGCTCCGCGGAGAGCCGTCCAGGGCCCCGCGTACCCGTTTAAGCGCCTGCTGTGTGTGGGGCGGCCCTCCGCTCGGAGAAGGGCAGCCTAGGGTTTTCCCGCCTGTCTGAGGGAAGCTGAAGGCCTGGCGGGTGCGGACACATATCTGCTGCGCAGACTCTGAGCCTTAACGCTACAGTGACAAGGGCCGGGTGGTTGCGGTCCCCTGGCCCTGGGCACTATGCCTCAGTTTCTCTCTTCCATCAACAAAGGTGGCGGCCCAGTGCCCGGTGTGGGGCAGAGGTGGGGCCAGGGGCGGGGCGCGCGTTCCCTCAGGGGCCGTCGGAGCAGCTCCTGTCCAGCTGGGCGTTGGGCCCCGCCCTCCTCTCAGACTAGGGATGCCCCGCAAAGCCTGCCCCCGCCAGCCCCGAAACGGCCTTCCCCAGGCCCCGGGCAGCAAAACGGACTCCACACAGACGCGCGCTGCTGGAAACTCGCCCCGCCAGGGCCTCAGGAAGATCCCCGGACCCCCCGCACCCGGCCCGGCCCGGCCCGGCCTGGCCTCCCCTCCCCCTCCTCGCCGGCCTAGCTCACCCTCCTGACTGCGAGACAAAGGCCGCGGCACCGGCAGCCGACACTGCGCCGGCGCGAGCCTAACTCCATTTCCCAGAGAGCCGCGCGCGCATTTCCGGCCGCCCTCCCCCACCTCGCTCTCGCCCTTGGCGTTCGTGAGCTCTCAGTGCTGCTGGAGCTGGAGTGACTGGGCCTGGTGAAACAGGGCGCGCGGGGTGCCTGGGCATCAACGCGGGATAAGTGCCGCTTGGAACGCCGTGAGCTCCCGGCGCGACCACACGGGCTTTCGTGTTGGAAACTCTACCGTCAGTTTTACTGCTGCAAACAAAGCAATGATTTTTTCAAAACACATACTTTCAACCAAAACATTCACCAAGATCGCACACACGGGAGTCTTTGCATTTTCCACACTGAGGCAGCCATGGAGACTTCACACTGTATTTATTACATGGTTATAAGGAACATCACGTGCAAGACACTAACAATTATGACGACTTTGGACATTGCTAGGTAATTGTCAAAATTGTGCATTTGAACAGCAGCAAAATATTCAAAGCTGGTGTGCCCTCGCTGACACGAAATGAATTGTCATTTTCTGAACATTCACCAAAGCCTGCCAGGCGCTAGGCCTAGGTTCAGCAGCACACAATAGTGAAGCCCCCATTCAAGCGGGCTTCGTTTCACCAGCGTACGTCACACGTCCGTGGAGCAGCGAGACCAGAGGAGCTGGGAAAGCCAGGGCTGAGCCTTGTGCTTTTGCCCTTTTAAGGGAGGACAGATTAATTCCAATCAGCCTGGGCTTGGGAGCTGTATTTGAAGCAGAGGAAAAGTTTTAAGACGGGCATTTTTTTTTCTTTGACTGAAACAACTCTGAAAACAGCAGAGAACACAATACGAATTCTCGTACCACACACAGACACTTGCAAAGATTTGGCTGGTTAACACACAAGTTAAGACTTTAAATTTCATAAGCCCTAAAACAGTGGCAATTATGAAGAGATATAATGGCTCAAAATCATAATGCACTGATGTAAACAAAGCAAAGGCAAGCTTCTTGGCTTTTAAGGGCGTCCTGTACATTCCAAGTACTGTAAAGCCCCACATTTGTGACCGTCGCACTGAAAGCCAGCCTGCTTTTCACTCTACAGCAGTAAAGAGGCTTTCCATTATACATAAAATGCCGTTTTTCAGTTCTCGAACTCACAAACCCAAATGCCACAAAACATCTTTTTGTGTATTTTTTCTTTCACAAAATGTATACTCTTGCCCCCCACCCCCACCCCCAACCGTTTCCTTTTACTGGATCAAAAGGTATGAACACACAACTCATGGTGAAGTCTTTTTCCCAAGCGGTCTGATAGTCCTGGTGAGAAGCTGTCAGTGGTGCCACACTGAGCCTGCTCAGCCCTGATGGTGGCCAGGCGGCCCTGCCCAGCTCCCTCAAACTTGCCCCTCTGTTTCCTCCCTCAGACCTTCTGATCCTCTGTTTTTCTCAGCCAGGTTTCTAAACCGTACATGCTTTTGCAGGGGCGGGCTCTTTCTACAGGGGCAAGTGCTGCTTGGCTCCAGCCAAGTGGGGTCGTGCGGACTGGCAAGCCCAGCGTCCCAGGTCTGGATTTCTCTAAAGAACCCAGAGATCAGGATTTCTATGTGAAATCTCTTGATTTTTAAAAGCTGGTAGGGATTTCAAAGGCTTTAATAACACTCTACCAGTCAAATAAGATGAGCTGGAGGCTACTCCAGTGCCACCCTTGCTGTGGTCTGAACCTCCTGCTGTCTCTTGTAACCACTGGCTGGGCCCCTCTCAGCTCCTTCTTGGCTTCCTGTACGAATCTCCAAGCAGAGCATTGCTGGTTGCCTCTCTGTGGCCTGGAACAGGACCCCCCACCATGAGCAGGTGGGCTGCACATCAGTACAGCTTCCAAGCAATCCTGCAATCACAGCATGGATAGCAGAACTGTGTCATGCTGTATGTTAATGTTCAAAAAGTTAATCTGTTCAACACATACATTTAAAATATACTGTAACAGTTACAGCTCCCTGGACATATTTCTCCCTTTAAAAAAAAAATCTTTTTGACAGCTTCAAAACCTGGCAGTGTCCAGGCCTCCTCTGACCCAAGAGACCCTGGCTGCCAGGGAGAAAGGTGGCGTCTGAGACTCCGGTCTTCCAGAGCGTGAAGTGCCCAGGGCTGGGCTCACAGCTCCTGTGACAAGGGCTGGAGGACAGGAGACTGGGGCACATCGTGATGGGGGTGTTGGAGTCTTTGGGGGGTGCTGGCAGAGGAAGGCACAGGGCAAGGGAGGCGTGCTGAGGTGCTGGGGCTTCCACAGCTGGGGTGAACCCAAAGAGAAGAGAGGGGCTAGTGCTCTGTCTCACTGCAGCTCGGGCAGGGGCTTGGGACTGGGCAAGTTAGGTGAAGAACACCACGTGGTGGCTTTCGTGAGTTGCAGCAGCTGCCACAACTGGTCCAGCACCCTGGGCCAAGTCCTTGCTTCTGTCAGCCAAGGTGTAGCACGTGAGAGTGGCCCTCCAGGACCCTGGGCCACGTCCTTGCTTCTGTCAGCCAAGGTGGAGCACACAAGAGTGGCCCTCCAGGATCCTGGGCCACGTCCTTGCTTCCGTCAGCCAAGGTGGAGCACACAAGAGTGGCCCTCCAGGACCCTGGGCCACGTCCTTGCTTCTGTCAGCCAAGGTGGCGCACACAGGAGTGGCCCTCCAGGATCCTGGGCCACGTCCTTGCTTCCGTCAGCCAAGGTGGAGCGCATTGAGAGTGGCCCTCAAGGGGTGGCCCACCTCCCCTCAGAGGTCGAGGGAGGCTTCCCCGGCTGGAAACTGCAGCCCACAATGGTGTCCCGGTGTCTCCACAGGGACTTCCCCTCACTCATTGAGTCACTCATCCCTTCACTCTGTAGGACCTGTTGTATGCTGGGTGTGGTCAAGTATGGCAGTGGAGACTGTTCTAGGCACAGGAGGAGGCCAGGGTGAGAGGCAGTGTGGAGTCAGGTGGAGACACAGTGAGTTAAGGACACCAGCCTCCACCATCCCAGTGCTGGGGGCTGTGGAGGCAGCAGGGCCACAAAGGACACTATAGAGCTACCCTGCTGGGCTTTGTCTTTTCAGTGTCTGCATTTTAGAGGGACCCTGTTGGCTGCAGGATGGGGATGGGGCAGAGGGAACGGGCTGGAGGCAGAGTTTGCTTAGAGGCAGCTGCAGGCATTCAAGAAATGGGGAGAGAGCCTGGGGCTGATGGTGCAGAGGAGAAAAGAGAACTGAGAGGGATTGGGAGCTGGGTTCCCAGGGCAATCAAAAATCCTTGTGGGGCCTTGGAAGGTGGTGGTCCCTCTGAGGGGAGTGGGAACCCCAGAGGGGAGGCAGTTTGCGTTGTTTTCTTTGTTGTTGTTTTTTGTTTTTGCACAAGGGAAGATGAGTTATTTGGACAAACTCAATTGGAGAACTGAGGGACACCAGATGGATGTCTCTGGGGCCAGCCCAGGTAGGCTGGAGCCTGACTGATGCCTCGTGTTCAATGGCACCCACTTTCTTGTGCAACTCTGGCACCAACAAACTGAGCTGTGATTGTGCCTCCAGCAGGTGGAGACCGAGATGGAAACAGCATGGAATGAGCCCCTGGCTCCCAACAAGTGGGGGCACTCGGGAGAGCTATCTCTACACATCCCGTTGTCTGAGACGATCAATCTGCGCCTGAGAGAAGGCTCAGGGGGGCTTCCGAGAGTAATGGGCTGACTGCGGGGCCAAGACCCCACCCTCCATCCTGAGCTCTGTAGAAGAAGCTCCTCCTTTGCAGGATGAGAGAGAAGGTGCCAGGAGGGGAGCTGGAGCCCACCAGCAATTAAGGCATAGGATAGAGCCAGGAGCCCCCAGTGGGGACTGCAGGGAAAAGCTGGGGATGCCTGAGGGAGCCGGGAAGCAAGGTCCGGAGGCGCGGTTAGGGGGCGCTCCGAGAAGGCAAGCGTGAGAAGGCAAGCGCGGCAGCGAGGATGAAGTGAAGGCAGCGGTGGGTCCGTGGGACCTGCACAGCCCGAGAGGGCCATCGGGGACAGAGGCCGAGAGTGGGGGCAGCTTGGTTGAGAAGCAGCAGCAGGCGGATGTGACGTGGGTAAGTCCAAAGGCTTTTGATTTAGAAGGCGACTTGGAAAAATGTCTCTGCCTGTGCGGATTCACAGTCAGCCCAACACTGTGTTTCCAAGTGAAGTCGGGAGGAGAAAAAGAAAAAGGCAAAAACTTTTAAGGCTTTTGCTTGAAAGGGGACGAGTGTCCGACAACAATGAGTTGGGGACGGGTGAGAAGCCGAGTCCGAGGCTGGCTCCCCGCTGTGACGTCACCGCCTGCCCACACTCTGCTCCAGCCTAGCAGGAGAGGCGGGCCCACTCTTTGGAGACCATCTGATCCTTCCTGGCAGACCAGAAAGCCAGATTTTTATGGTTTAAACAAATGTTGGCATCTATCTAAAAAAAAAATCCTTCTGTAAGTCAAACAAAATACAGGCAGGTCAGTTTTGGTCAGGCCTAAAGACTGCGCCTGAAATCCTCAGAGACAGGAAGCAGATTCTGGTTGTCAGGGCGGGCAGGAATGGCGAAGGCGTGCTGAGGACTGTGGGCTCTCTTTCTGGGCAAGACGAAAACATCTTTGGAGCTAGAGAGTGCTGGTAGTTGCACAGTGTTGTGAATGTGCTTAATGCCACTGAACTGTTCATTTTTAATGACTGAAATGGTAAATTTTATGTTGCATGTACTTTACCCAAAAAAGGAAAAAAACAAAACCCTGTTTATCTGTTAGGTTCCAAGGGGGCTAAGCTGGCAGGAGGGCAGCCGGGGTCAGCTGTACCCTTCTCTGGAGTTGGAGCTGCCCAGGCCGGCTCCCACCCTCATGGCCTCAGGGATATCCACAGTGAAATGAAAACCCAGCGGCAGAAGCTGCCGCTGAGTCAGGTGCTAACAGGGAGACCTGGACAAGGCTTCTGAAAGATGGGACGCGAATGAAACTCCTCTTCAAGCCACTTGCAAAACTATAGTGCGCAGGACTGACCAGGCTGTGCTGTGGAACTGCTGCTTCTCAGCTGAGACCCTGGGAAGCCCCATCCCGTGCTTGGCTTCGGAGCAGGTGTCCAGGGTCTTCCGAGAAACAGCTTGTGTCCTTCAAGAGGAGTCCCAAGGTGGCCAGGGGTTGGTGGGGCTGGGGGATGTCCCCCATCTTCTGGGGCCCATCAGCTCCCCCCAGGGACTCAGGGCCGGGTGGCCGAGGCCCGAGGCTGGCCATTCACATGTGGCCGTGGGCCGTGTGGAGCTTCTGGTGGTCAATGAGGTGGACCATCCAGGGGAAGGCCTTCCCGCAGACGCTACACTGGAAGGGTCTTTTGGGGCTGCGAGGGGCCACTGGGCCCTGGGCTCCATCCCTGGGTGGGACGGACTCCCGGGGGCCCTTGCTCCGGGGGGCTTTCTTCCTCGGTGGCTCCAGCAGGTGGATCTTGCCATGCTCAGTGAGGACGGAGTTGTGCAGGAAGACCTTGCCACACTCGGGGCACGGAAAGGGCCCTTCCTCGCGATGGGTCTTCTGGTGCTCGATGAAGTGGGTGACCCAGGTGAAGACCATCCCACAGTCGGCACACTGGAAGGGCCGCCCACCTCGGGGCCCACGCGGCACTACCGAGATGCCTGCAACAGCCTCTTGGGTACCACCTTTGGTGTGCTTGAGGGATGGCTGGTGGCGGCCGCTCTGGTCAGTGTTCCTGTTTCTCCTTCGGGGACTGATTCTCTGAGCACTTGGACCCTTGGGGCTCGAGATCACAGTCCCTTCTGCCCGCAGGTCTGAGGAGGGCCCTGCGAGAAGGTCCTCAGGCTCGTCCCAGATACTCGGCTTCAGAGGCAAGCGGGCCCGGGACCCTGTGGAGGGCGAGGGAGATGGGTCACCTGTAGTGAGTGGATGGCCTTGGCATCTCCCTGTGCTCCCCAGGGGCACGGAGGACCCCAGTGACTGAGCCAAGTCCAGGCCCTTCCTCTGCTCAATACGGCCCCTGTGTCCTCCGTTCTGTCCTTTAAGATACAAGGGCACATGTGGCCGGTGCAGTGGCTCATGCCTGTAATCCCAGCACTTTGGGAGGCCGAGGAAGGTGGATCATGAGGTGAGGAGTTAGACACCAGCCTGACCAACATGGTGAAACCCCGTCTCTACTAAAATACAAAAATTAGCTGGGCGTGGTGGTGTGCGCCTGTAATCCCAGCTACTCAGGAGGGTGAGGCAGGAGAATCGCTTGAACCCAGGAGGCGGAGGTTGCAATGAGCCAAGATCACACCACTGCACTCCAGCCTGGGCAACAGAGCAAGACTCTGTCTCGAAAAAAAAAAAAAAAGGCACATGTTTTGGGAGCAGATCCCACAGCACTGGCCCTTGTTCCTACCTGGCTGGCCCTCTGGGTAACCCCGTGCTCCAACACTCTCAGACTGTCTGCCTTGGCTGCCGTTCAGGTGCGGAGGCTGAGGCCCTTCTCGTAGGGTGAACGATGTACATGGTGGTTCTAGGGGCCCCAGATCTCAGTCCTCACAGGAGGTGTGCATGCTTTCTGGGGGAAGTGTGGAGTTCACCACCGAAGCACCCAACTCAACCCATTAACAAAGTCTGTGGCTTTGGGTTGAAGTCCCAAACTCCATTTCCAACCCTTAATCCACACAGGAGCCAGACTCACCCAGCAAGCCAGGGGCGCGGGGCGCTTCGGCCTCCGCCCTGGTGTGCAGACTCTGCTGGAGCTGGGTAGTCTCCAGCCACTCACTTTCCTCGGGGAGTGCTGGGGCTGCTGCCACTGCATCCAGAATCAGCTCAGACGCCTAGAATGGCAAGCACAGGACTGTTCGGCAGCTGCCCCTCAGGAGCCATCCTCCCCACCACCACCGAACAACCAAGGAACGGGCGTCATCCCCAAAGGCTCTGTCCCAGGGCAGTGCGCGGTGTCGCGCCTGTTGTTCCCGTGCTTTGGGATGCTGATGCTGGAGGATTGCTTGAGGCCAGGAGTTTGGGACCAGCCTGGGCAACACAGCAAGACTCTGCTTATACAAAAAATAAATAACCACTCCTAAAGAGCTCTTAACAGGACCTGAGACAGAATTCGAGGGGCCCCTGTACAAAATGGAAATGCAAATCCCCTTGTTCAAAGATCGTTGATCATTTCAGGACAGTGACAACAGAGCATTAGATGGAGCCAGGGGACCTGTGCCACAGCTCGGGTCACTGTTACAAGCTGGGGCTCCTAACTCCCGTCCCCCAAGGCTGCACTGTCCTTGCCCACAAGCCCAGAGGAAGTGGGCGACTTCACAGACTTCACATCCCACCTGCGACCTATGACCTCTGATGCACCTAACCGTGTCCCGCCCAAAGCGGGGATCACCACTTCCTGGGAGGAGACTGAGCTGTGGTTGAAGAGCAAGAATTCGAAACAGAGGGGCTTGGCTTGGTGTCCAGGCTCCAGCCCTGCTTGTTGTGTGGCCCTGGATGAGGAGCTTTAGCTCTCTGGGTTTCCAGTGAGGATGTGGGTGCTACGTGCCCAGAGCCTGGTACCATCAAGGGCTCGGCAAACTGCAACGGAGTCGTGTCAAAGGAAAACACAGTGACACTTATCAATGCAAATCAGGTTGTTGGAGGAGGTATGTTGAGTCAAACAAAGCATCAGAAAAGACCAGGAGTCAAGCACGCACTGACAAGGTCTGTCTTGAGTGGGTCTTCGCTTTCTGCTGCCCCAACCCTACCTGGATGCACAGGGGCCTAAGGAAGCTGTCCAAGATTCCCAATAGCTGGGCAAAACTGGAGTAGAGGGATTGCTGGGCTAGAGACGGAGGAGGGAGGGAGGGAGGGAGGGAGCTGATGGCAGGAAGGGAGTTAAGGCACAAGATTCTTCCTGCTCTCACGTTGGGAGTATGTGGATGGTGTGTTTGGCTGGGTTATTGATTTTTATTTCTTATCAAATGCTAGTTTTGATTGTAAAACATGTTGAATTCTGAAATCGTAACCAGAGGAGCCACCATCTATAGGAGTAAAGGCGGGACTCCCTTTTACGCCTCTTCCTGGTACCTGGCTACTGGGGGCCATTGTGGACAGTCAGGCTCTTCCCTACTTCACCCACCTTGGCGTCTGTGACTAATCAAGGGCAGCAGAGGGGCTGCGTGGAGAGAAGAGTGGGTGGCATGTATGTGTGGAGAGAGGGGCATGCTTAGTTCCCCTGACTCTCAGGGGGCATCAGAGGAGCTATCGACACACTTGGGTCAGGCACAGAAACCAAGACATTCCCGGGGCCCTATCTGTACCTTCAAATGCAAACACATCCCCATAGCCCCGGTGAGCCACTGGCCACAGATCTGGGTTCTTATCCTTCCAGAGGTGGACCCAGGTTTATTGTTTCAGGGATGACAGGTGGGGAGATTGGAGGCGGGAGGGAGATGCATGTCACACCCTGGGAGAGTCCTGATGCAAACCAAGCAACCAAGAAAAAGAAAACAAGAATAAGGGGCCAGGCGTGGTGGCTCACGCCTGTAATCCCAGCACTTTGGGAGGCAGAAGCGGGAGGATGAAGAGGTCAGGATATCGAGACCATCTAGGCCAACATGGTGAAACCCCATCTCTACTAAAAATACAAAAATTAGCTGAGTGTGGTGGCGTGCACCTGTAGTCCCAGCTACTCGGGAGGCTGAGGCAGGAGAATCGTTTGAACCCAGGAGGCGGAGGTTGCAGTGAGCTGAGATTGCACCACTGCACTGCAGCCTGGCGACAGAGCGAGACGCCGTCTCAAACAAAACAAAATGAAACAAGAATAAAGGAGGAAATATGAATGCCTGGCAACTTACTGTTGTTGAGGAATTATCTTAATAGCTCTATTTTATTTATTTATTTAGAGACAGGGTCTCACTCTTTCGCCCAGGCTGGAGTGCAGTGGCGCAATCTTGGCTTACTGCAACCTCCACCCGCTGGGTTCAAGCGATTCTTATGCCTCAGCCTCCCGAGTAGCTGGGACTATAGGCACGTGCCACCACACCCAGCTAATTTTTGTATTTTTTGGTAGAGACGAGGCTTCACCATGCTGGCCAGCCTGGTCCTGAACTCCTGACCTCTAGTGATCCACCCACCTCGGCCTCCCAAAGTGCTGGGATTACAGGCATGAACCACCGTGTCCGGCCAGGAATTATCTTAATGGTTTTAGTTGGGGCAATGGTGCTGGGTTATTTTGGAAAAAAAAAAAAGGAAAGAGTGGAGCGACATCACCAAGATGGTGGAGTAGGAGATACCAACCTTCATTTCCCCCTCCCACTACCCACACACAAATCAACTACAGACAGATATTCACAAGCCAGAATAGCCCAGAACGCTCAAGGACCCATTGAAGATCTGCAGCAACACAGTGGAGTAAAGTGAAAAAACCCGAGAATGCCCACAAGAAAAAGCTCACCGGTGAGATAATGCATACCTGAGATGCCAGGAGATCGCTATGCACAAAGAAGAAAAGCAGGGGCCACGAGTATCAGCTACGCGGTGGGAACCACCAGGGACCCCAGCAGTGTGTTCCACAGAGGACACTGGCATCACTTACCACTGAGGTTCCAACAGTCATTCCCGCCAGGGCCTCAGGGAGATACGCCCATGGGATCTCAGGGACCTTAGAGTGCTACCCTCAAAGGGCTTCGGGCAGCTACCCTTACAGGCTTCAGGCAGCCCCTCCCCATGGGGTAATGGTGTTTCAGTCAACAATGGACCACACACACCACAGTGATCTCGTAAAATTATAATGACTCTCTTCCACCACCATTTGAAATCCAACTCCGTAGCATAAGCTGCTGCCTGACCCTGAATGTGCACCAGCACCCCCCGCCTACAACTTCTCCACCAGCAAAGACCTGAATGAGTACCACAACCAATACAGAGGAAATCGCAGAGGGATCCAAGATCTGCCGGATGATGGTACAGTGTTACAAGCAAAAAGATCTGACGATGTGTCTTGACTTAGGGAAGTTGCAGATTGCACAGTTAAAACAGTTACTGGAAGATCAAGGGGATTTGTATCTGTGCTTTTGGAAAACGCTGCTAGTGCTCTTAAGGCCTTGGAACGGAAAGAACAGGAGCTGGATGGCAAATTGATAGGATCACCCCCCACCCCTGCTGCAAAGAGCCAAAGCTTGAAAAGGGAAAGAACCCCCCGAAAGGTTTTCGTGGGTGGATTGAGCCCAGCTACTTCTGAAGAACTAACTAAAGAATATTTTGGAGGCTTTGGGGAGATTGAAAATTTTAAAGGCCAGGCACAGTGGCTCACACCTAGAATCCCACCACTTTGGGAGGCTAAGGCTGAGGCTGGAGAATTGCTTGAGAACAGGAGTTCAAGACCAGTGTAGGCAACATAGCTAAGTCCCAACTCTACAAAATTAGAAAATTACCAGGCACTGTGGCTCAAGCCTGTAATTCTAGCTGAGATGGGAGGATCACTTGAGCCTCGGTGGTCAAGGCTGCAGTGAGCTATAACTGTGCTACTGCACTCCAGTCTGGGTGACAGAGTGAGACCCCGTCTCAAAAAAAGGTAAAAAGGGCCGGCCTCGGTGGCTCACGCCATCATCCTGGCACTTTGGGAGGCCAAGGCAGGTAGATCACTTGAGGTCAGGAATTCGAGACCAGCCTGGCCAACATAATGAAACCCCATCTCTACTAAAAGTACAAAAATTAGCCAGGCATAGTGGCGTTTGTCTGTGGGGCAGGAGAATCATTTGAACCCAGGAGGTGGAGGTTGCAGTGAGCCGAGATCATGCCACGGCACTCCAGCCTGGGCAACAGAGCAAGACTCCATCTCAGAAAAAAGAAAAAGAAAGTAACATGGTCTCGCTCCATCGTCCAGCCTGGTCTCCAACTCCTGGGCTTGGCTTATCCTCCGGCCTTGGCCACCTCAAGCAGTGGGATTACAGATGAAAACTTGGCTCAAACCACATCATTTACACTTACCTACATGCCCCAGGGCAGTTAGTATACTAATTAAGAAACACAGCTTGAAACACTTGCAGGGTTAAAGCTATAAAATGTCTATACATTGATTTTTTTTGAGAATTCATAAATATTAAGGATCTAAAACAAACTTCTTTCTCAAATAATTGAAATCTGAAAGGCTTTGGAAGCCAACTGTCCCTGCACAAAGGTTTACAATTGAGAAATATCTCCTGTTCCTATTTTGTCAAGTTTCTTTAATGGCTGAACAAAAAGAAGCTTCAAGTAATGGAGAAGGCATCGTCTGAGCGCAGCTGCTTTCCTGGCTGCCTGTGCCATTCCTATGTCTTCCAAATCCTATGCTTGGAGGCCCCCGGAGGGACATTTTTACCAGGAACCAACCTGACCTTAAAAATATGAGTGTGACACAGCCGGCTGGGCAGGAGGGTGGAGGTGGCCACAGGACACTGCCTGCCCACGCCCTCGCCAGCCCGACCATGCTGCCGAGTGCAGGGAGGCCACCCCACCCAGAGGGCACAGGGTAAACCCTAAGCACTGCGGGTGTTGCCCTTGAAGCCCCAGGGGATGCCCTGTGCCTCGTCTTCGTGCCTCGGTGACCAGCCTGCTTGTTAAAGGACCCCAGGGGCCTGAGCCTGCAACACCACAAGGGGTGAGAAGGGTATGCTGCTGTGGGTGCACTGGACTCAAACCTCACATTAGAAGCTACAAAGAACCCCAAATGTGCTTCAGAGCCCCACCAACCCGAGCCAGGCTCATCCCTGACACAGTAAATCCACTGCAGCCCCCGTGGCGCGCAGCCCAAGCACCACCCAAGGGAGTCCCATGGCTAGGGCTACGTCAGAGTTGCGTGGCTTGGGTCAGAGATGGCTCTTGGGGCAGGCCGACCAGCGTGGGAAAACTCTGTGCCAATCGACTGCTTAAAGAATTGGGGGAAAATAGAAAGTTAAGAAAGAGCTCCGATACACAAGGAAAACTGCAGGTGAGAACCGGCCCTGCCAGCAGGGAGACGTCACTCTCCAGAGGCCACAGAGATGGCAGATACCTCTGTCTCCACAGTGACCCAGATCCAACTAAAAGCATGCAGGAAGACAGGTCTATTGATGCTGAAATCTAGAAAGCAAGGTCCACAGGTGAATGGAGGCATCTTCAGCCCTGAGGGGGCCAGGCTGTGTCTCCTGACGCCTCTGAGGGTGGGCGTAGCAGCCAGCTCCGTGTGGGCAGAGTCCATGTGGTCCTCATTCTCCTCCCTGGGCACAGGGCAGCACAGTCAGACACTGAGACGTGAGGCCACACACAGGGGGGCACCTTCCTGCCTTGGCCCAGCCGCCTCTGGAGCCAGGAGGCCGTGGCAGCCACACCACAGTGTGGATCCAGACAGGATTCTGTGGAGGGATTCTGGGACTCCAGACAGATTGAAGCTCCGTGGAATGATGAAAATTACAGTTTACTTGATTATGGAAGTCTCTGATTTATTCCAGCCAAAGTATTAGATGAGCCACTAAGAATCACCGCAAATCGCTCTCACAGCCCTCACCAGGGTGGCAGTGCAGCAGGAGGACAGGTGCCCACGCCAGTGGCTCTAGCTCTTCACCTCTGCAACCTCCTTCTCCACCTTCTCCTTCTCCACCCTTTCTCCTCTTTTTCCAGTGTTGCTACAATCTCGGCCACCTGACTGGTGGAGACGTGAACATCTTCTTTGTCCACCAGCTCAATCACCTTGATGAGGTGGTCGACGTTGACCTTGCCATCCTTATTTTCATTCAGTGCTGCGGCCAGGCTGGTGAGCTTGCTTTTGGGAATGTGCTTGACTTGCTTCATGGCGTTGATGAGCTCGGCAACACTGATGACGTTCTCCCCCATGGGCACGCCCTTGGCCGGGGCCAGCTTGCTGGCCCACTGGTCCATCTCCAGCTGCGAGATCAAGCCGTTGATCTGCCCGATTATCTGCTGCACCCTTTTTGTCAATCTCTTGCTGGCTTTAGATCCTTCCATGTATTTTTCTTCACCAGTCTTTGAAAGTTCCTTCTTGAGCTCCTGCAAGTCCTCGCTGTAGTCCTGCATGTCCTCCTTCAGCAGCTCCAGCTCCTCCTTCTTCCTGGTGAGTGACTTCTTCTGTTCCTGCAGCTTAGAGCAGGCATTGCTGAGGATGCTGATCTCCTCCTTAGTCATCTCTTCCTCCTTCAAGCCCTCTAGCACGGGGGCAGTGTCCTTCATGGTCTCTGACTGCAGGACAGTGTCAGGCACTTCTGGCTGGGGCTGGGCCCCTGGCCTTTGGGGAGCGCCTTCCACACATTCGGGTTCAACATCCTTCGCCACCTCCGAATGCTTCTGCAGCTCCTTCTCGCGGTGCTCCTACTGCATGGTCGCCTTCTCCTGCAGTGTGGCCTCTAGCTTGGCCTTGTCCACCTGCTTGCCCTCCACCTCGGCCACTTTCACCTGTGCTTCCTTTGCCACAATCTCTGGGAGAGTCTGCAGTGTGGACTTGAGCTGGTCGGCTGGCAAGAGGGTGTCCGGGAGCTACATGGTCCGGGACAGGATGAGCAGCGATGTGGGGATCTCCTGATGCAGGTGCAGGTCCAGCCACTGCTTCAGCTGGCCCCTCAGGTGGTTTTCCCTGACGCCCAGGGCCCGCATGCCTCGTGCCCGACATGCCGCCTGCAGCTCCTTGACGTTCAGGCTGTCCACCCCTTCCTCAGCAAACAGCTTGTCCTCTGCCTTTATGGAGCGCAGCCGCATCGTGAGCTGGAAGCGCAGGAAGCTGTAGCTCCAGCAGCTTGCACAGGGCCACCAGCTGCGGCCGTGTCAGGTTGTCAAGGGTCAGCTCATCCTCAAATAATTTGGAAAAACCCATGATTTCCTCATTGCTGGGCCTCTCCCCCGTCTCCCGGATCTTCTGGAAAAACACAGAGAAGTCTTTGGTGGCACTGCCCTTGGCTGCCTCGTTCTTCAAGGCCATCTCCTGGATGGTGTCCTGGAGGAACTCGGCTAGCTCCAGCTTGACCTGAAGCTCCTTCAGCCTCTTCTCCTTGATGGACTGAGTCTCGGATGTGGATGGCAACATGTTGGGGAAGAGTTTCACAGCAACAGGCAGCAGAAACTCCACGAACGGCACCACCACGAACAGGAGGAACGGCACCAGGCGGAAGAGGTCGGCACAGAACCGGAGCAACTGCCTGCGCGCCTGGCGGGTCAGGGTGTGGCAGTTGAGGATGCGCCAGAGCATGCGTGCTGCGATCTTGGTGTGGATCCGTAGCAGGCGGAAGCCATGGTAGTAGTGCCTCAGCTCGCCCAGCACCCTCTCTGCCCCCGGGACTTCACCACCATCTCTGCGGGGGCGCTGTACACAGGGCCGCCTTCCTCCAGCTTCTTGTTCTTGTCCTTCAAGGACTTGAGGGACTTCTCTACTACCGAGTCATCACCAACAGGGCGCGAAGAGTGCCAGCCGCGGGCAGGAAGGCACCGAGGCCCCAGGACCACAAAACCCACAGAGGTGGAGGTCCATGGCGCTCTCGACACGGTGCGAAGGCACTCGGGCCTCAGAGTCCAACAGCTGAGGTGATCGCCTCTGAAGCACGGGTAGGCAGGGTGGGTGGGAGTGCAGCAGCCAAATGAAACTTTCGGGCAGCTCCTCAACCCCAGGGTGCTGGCAAGCTGAGATGAGCAGGATCCCCCGGACTACCCCGCGGGGCGGTGACCCGAGGCGGCGGCGGGAGGCTGGCGGGCGCCCAGCCGCGGCAGCTCCTCATTAAGATGGACGCCGTGTGTCCGGGCGTGGCGGCCGCTCGGGCCTCCTGCGCTGGCTCCTCCTCCTTCTCCGCGGCGGCCGCGGCTCTTCGCCGTCTCGGTGGCTCCTCAGGCGCCGTCCGTGCGGACGGTTGACGGCAGCGGTTGGCCTCGGACAGGAGGCGCCCAGCTTCGATGTTTTTGGTTTTTAAAAAGGTTTAATCCTTCTTCCGCTTCTTTAAAACAAAGCTTTTATTTCTGCTGCCCCCAGAGCATAACCTTTCTGTGGGATAATGATGTATCATTTATTTATTTTAAAATGACACAGGTTGTTTTTTGTTTTGTTTTGTTTTGAGACGGAGTTTCGCTCCTGTTGCTCGGGCTGGAGTGCAATGGCGTGATCTCGGCTCACTGCAGCCTCCGCCTCCTGGATCCAAGCGATTCTCCTGCCTCAGCTTCCGGAGTAGCTGGACTTACAGGTGCACACCACCACGCCCAGCTATTTTTTTGTATTTTTAGTAGAGACGAGGTTCCACCATGTTGGCCACGCTGGTCTCGAAGGCCTGACCTCTAGTGATCCGCCCGCCGCGGCCTCCCAAAGTGCTGGGATTACAGGCGTGAGCCACCGCGCCCGGCCCCAAGAGTCAGAAAGTTTTTTACGCCAGGCACAGTGGCTCACGCCTGTAATTCCAGCACTTTGGGTGGCTGAGGAGGGAGGATCGCTTGAGCCTAGGAGTTTGAGACCAGCCTGGGCAACATAGTGAAACCCCATCTACACAAAAACTAAAAAAATTTTAAAACATATAAAAATTAGCCGGTGCGGTAATGTGTGCCTGTGTTCCCAGCTACTCAGAAGACTCAGGTAGGAAGATCGCATGAGCCCAGAAGGTTGAGGTTGCGGTGAGCCATGATCGTGCCACTGCACTCCAGCCTGGGTGACAGAGTGAGAGTCAGTCTAAGAAAGAAAAAAAAAATGTAAAGCAAAAACTTACAGTAAGATAAATTATATTGAAGAAGGAAATATAGTTGCCAATTTAGTAGCCTAAGTGCACCATGTTTATGAAGTCCACAGCACAATAACCTCCCAGGCCTTCACATTCACTCACCACTCAGACTCACCCAGAGCAACTTCCAGTCTCACAAGCTCCCTTCCTGGCAAGTGCTTTATACAAGTGTACTGTTTTTTATCTTCTATTTTGTATTTTTACTGTACCTTTTCTATGTTTAAATCCACAAACAACATTGTGTTACCGTTGCCCACAGTATTCAGTGCAGCCCCGTGCTGTGCAGGTCTGTAGCCTAGGAGCCATGGGCTGTGCGTGTAGGTGTGTGAGTGCCCTCTGCGATGTATGCACGGTGACGAAACCGCCTAAGGAAGCATTTCTCAAAAGGCTTCCGATGGTAGGCGGTTGTATGCGCTCAGCGATCGCCAGTCGTGCCCACTCCACAGCGCCTCCTGGCGAGCCGGGCTGCCCCGCGCAGAGCAGCTCCACCTGTCCCTCACCTACGCTCCCGCTAATCCCCGGCGACTTCAAAAGCAGAGGTGCCTCAGGCAGTGTTAGCACCCTGGCAGCGGCAATGCCTGGGGCCGCGCTCACCAGCGCCCCGATCCCGGAGCTGCCGTCTCTCCACGCGGGCGCCAGGCCTCAGGCCTAAGGCCTCTCCCTCCACAAGTGCAGCTCGCTCAGGGACGTTGGGGCACCCTGCTGTGGCTGAGCCCCACAGCCTAAACCAGCGCCAACGAGGATCCTCTCAGCCACAGCGGCCCTGGTGGGAGAGGGGTGGGAGGACCTCAGCAGCCTTCCCCACCTACGACCCCCGCAAAAAGAGAGTCCTTGGAGTTGCCGTGTGGTGAGGGGATGGCCTGTGAGCGCGGCTGTGGTTTCCACGTGGCGTCTGGGATGGGAGAGGGAGTCAGATAAGCACATCTGCCGGCAGCGGCTGAGGAAGCCCGTGGCCAACAACTGTGGTCTACCCAGGTTAGATGCCTCCGTTAGATGCAGAAACAGAAACCACGGCCCACGAAACTTTGTTTTGGTGCAGGAGAGGGGCTCTCATGATGATCTTTAAATCTATTTTAGGGCCGGGCGCGATGGCTCACGCACTTCAGGAGGCCGAGGCGGGTGGATCACGAGGTCAGGAGATCGAGACCATCCTGGTGAACACGGTGAAACCCCGTCTCTACTAAAAATACAAAAAAAATTAGCCGGGGAGGTGGCGGGCGCCTGTAGTCCCAGCTACTCCGGAGGCTGAGGCAGGAGAATGGCGTGAACCCGGGAGGCAGAGCTTGCAGTGAGCCGAGATCGCGCCACTGCACTCCAGCCTGGGCTACAGAGCAAGACTCCATTAAAAAAAAAAAAAAGTAAAGTAGAAGTTCCTCTTCAAAGACTTTCCTCCCCATCTAATTAGGAATAAATAGTAACTTCTCTTAGAAGCAAAATTTATTCAAAGACCTGTGCTAACATTCTTATATATCTGCTAGCCATAATAAAAAAAATCAATGTACTTTATGTTCTTAGCTCCCACAATTTAGCCTAAATATTTGCCCTGGTGTGCCTATACTGGTCCAAGCAAGCATTAGGTCATAGCCTGTTCCTCTTCCTTATTTGAAGGTGTTTTTACCTTTCTCAGCATTCCACAAGTTACTTCCTTCTTCCTTGAACTCCTGAACTTGTGATCCGCCTGCCTCAGCCTCCCAAAGTGCTGGGATTACATGCGTGAGCCACTGTGCCCGGCTGTTGATGTTTTTTGAGTTAGGGTCTCACTCTGTCATCCAGGCTGGAGTGTAGAAACATGATCATAGCTTACTACAGCCTTGAACTCCTGGGCTCAAGTGATCCTCCTACCTCAGCCTCCAGAGTTGCTAAGACTACAGGTGCACACCCCTACACCTGGCTCATTTTTTTTTAAGACATGGGGTCTTGCCATGTTGCCCAGGCTGCTCTTGAACTCCTGGGACCAAGTGGTCCTCCCACCTCAGCCTCCCGTGAGGCCTCACTCAAAGTGCTGGGATTACCGGGATGAGCCACCACACCCAGCCGTATTTTGTTACAGCACCCAGAACGGACTAAGCCAGTGGGAGACACACATGTGCAGTCTTTCAGCCTGTTACTTGGCTGCCTGAGAGTGGGTCCTGGGCCTAGAACATCTCCTTACCAAGAGATAAGGGGTCCCCCCAGTTTGTGCTGGGTGTAGTGCCTCGTGTGGAGGTCTCTGTTTCCCAATGTGTGCCCCTTTGTTCTGCTCAGGCGTGTGCTTCACGTGGCACCTAGACAGCCCCACTGTTAGGTCAGGACCCCTCTAGGAGGGACCTGCTGGCCCCGGCCTGACAGCCACATGGGCAGATGGTGCTCTGGCCCGGTCTCTGGTCTGTGAGCAAAACCTTGCTCCATTCATTGTTCGACCGTGCTGTGTTTCCCTTGGCGGCTCCAATACCAAGATCCAGAGGCAGAAAGTGGTCAAACTCAGTAGCCCTGATCATACGAACACATGCTACTCACTTAGCAGTTCTTACTTTTGTTCTTTTGTGATTTACCCATTACCCCTGGATTTCTCTCATGTGTCTGCGTGTCCCCACCCCTGATTTTAATCTCTCCAGCCACACAGAGATCCGCTTGGCTCCCAACCGAGCCGGGCCCCTCCCGTCGCCTTGAGGCCTGCGCAACAGCAGGTCTAGCTGCAGGGGAGCCCTCAGCATTTCCTTCTGGGCCCGCCCAGAATCCTGGGTTCACTGAGGGAAGATGATCGGGGCAGCAGGACTTTCTCAACACACGCAGCATCTGGTGCGGGTGACACAGGAGGATGGGTCTTAACTGCGAGGCTGGGAAAGGACAGGAGGGGCTGGGGTGAGGCCCAGAGGCACACAGCAAACACACAGCTGCACTGACTGCCCTCGCCCAGCACTGAGCCCCAGGAAGCTTGGGGAATCTGTGGGGCAGGCGGGGAGTTTGGAGGCCGGGCTTCCTGGGAGCGCTGGGGACAACCTCACACAGTCCTTGGATGGGGCATCCTTGAGGCCGTCCCAGAAGCGGCACGCATGCCCTGGGGTGCAGGAGCACGGAGCTGGGGGCCCCGGGCTCACCTGCGATGGTTCTTTCTGGGACCTTGGACTCTTCCCATCTTCCTCCTCACCGAAACTCCAGTCCTGGGGTTCGACCGAGTCCAGAGATACCAGAACTGTGCGGGAGAAAGGGATCGTGAGAGGGGCCTGTTCTTCCCAGAGCCCCCAATTCTCCAGGCCTTCTGGGGAGGGCAGACTTTCCCCGAACATCCCTGCAGCACCCCTGAGGCGCAGGCAAGAGTGGCTGCAGGGCTGTCATTCTGTCCCTCCATGTGGCTGCTGGGCAGGAACCTGTGGTGACACCGAGGGCCGCTGAAGACAAGTACCCTCTTCACTCATACTCCACACCCCTGTGCGCCTCCAGAAGCCCACGAGGACACACACTGCAGCACTGACTAACTAGGGAGGCCCGAGCACTGTGAGCCCTCTGCTCCCCAAGCCCCCCGGGGCTGTGTGCACAGAGTGCACAGAGGACGACTGCTGAAGCAGGGTTCAGGACACCATTGACAGAAGGGTCAAGACGTGGGAACCAGGCCAGGCGTGGTGGCTCACACCAGTAATCCCAGCACTTTGGGAGGCTGAGGCAGGAGGACTGCTTGAGCCCAAGAGTTTGAGAGCAGCCTGGGCAACACAGCAAGACCCCCCCCTATTTATTTTTTAATTAAAAAAAGAAAAATTCAAGATCACGGCCACCTCTGGGGTGTCAGGCAGAGCGGGGGACAACAGGACTAGGAGACGTGCATGGGGGTTCAGCTGATTCCACTGGTTGTTCCTTTTTTTTTTTTTTTTTTTTTTGAGACGGAGTCTCGCTCTGTCGCCCAGGCTGCAGTGCAGTGGCGTGATCTTGGCTCACTGCAAGCTCCGCCTCCTGGGTTCAAGCGATTCTCCTGCCTCAGCTTCCTGAGTAGCTGGGATATAATATAGGCACGCGCCACCACGCCCGGCTAATTTTTGTATTTTTAGTAGAGACGGAGTTTCACCATGTTGGCCAGGCTAGTCTCGAACTCCTGCCTTGTGATCCGCCTGCCTTGGCCTCCCAAAGTGCTGAGATTACAAAGCATTTCCTAGGTTGGGCTTTGATAAGGGTGGGTGGCCGGTGCAGGGCTGTTCATTATACTTGCTCTACTGTTTCATAGGCTCAAAATATGGAATGTAGAAAGCAGACCACCGCTATGGAAGACAGATAGAGAGCCCTTTGCTCAAAAACGTTGAATTTTGAGAGTGACCATGGAACATTAAAACTAGCAAGGGTGGCTCTGGGCTGGGATGGCTGTGAGGTCCACAGAGCGCCAGAAGCCAGTGCTCTTGGGCCCTCTACCCCAGGATCAGAGAGTTCAAAGGGCCAATTCATCTGGCTTCTGCCTTGCAGCTTACAGGGCTACCCTTGAGCCTCTGGAAAGCTCAGCTGTCACAGCTTTCCTAAGTGTGGCACCGGCTGCCCTGGGGCAGTAAGGGGACCCTGGACCCTGTGTTCTGCAAACTGCTTATCACTGTTGGTCTACGGAAATGCTGTAGTGGGAGGGTGCAAAGGGAGGGCCTGTTCCTCTCCCTTGCTCCACCCCTCTTTTCTGTGAGCTCTGATGCAACCCTTCTCACTCCCAGCCTTTGCTCCTGCAGCGTGGCTGCCTGGCACCCTCCTTGCTGGGGCCCTGCTGGGGAAGCCCTCCCGAGGCCACAGTGCCACGACTGCTCTCACCATCCGTGGCTGCCTCTTTTGGCCTCCCAGTGTCCAATCCCTGCACTTTTGTCACTAGGAAAGAAAGAGCCCCACTCATGGGACTGGGCCCTGGGTGGATGGAATCTCGACGTGGGGTCACAGGGGCAAAGATGCAGAAGGACAAAGCCCTGTCAGGGGAGAGGGGAGCTGAGAGAGGAGACAGGGAGGGAGCCCAGTTTCAACCCCAAATTTCCCAGCTCCCAGAGTCGGGATGCAGACCTAAGCGTCTCTCCCCACCATCAGCCAGCGATGGGGCCTGCGCCCTGTGAAGGCTTAAGGATCTCTAGGATTCCTGAGTGTTGCAGGAGGCGCTGCAGGTGGCTGGGAGGAAGTGGCGAGGCAGCGTCCTTCCCAGAGAGCAGCCGTGAGGAGCAGCAGACACAAAGCCACAGGACAGATGGACGCATGGGAAATGGAGGGATCTTTAATCACCGACTGAGTGAGAAATTCGAGGCAGATGAGGCGTGCAGCACATTTATATGTAAAAATAATTAAAAACACAGCCGCGGGGCAGGAGAGGTTTGCTGGTCGGGAGGGGCCGGGCAGGGGTGGGAGCGATGTGGGCGGGAAGGAGGGCAGTTCGGTCCTCGGAGACGTCAGGCCCCCTGGCCCGGCCCGGGGCAGGAAGCCTGCGCCTCTCACCTTCCTGCTGGCACATCTGTGTGAGGTCCTCCACCAGGCTGGCGGCCTCCCTGCAGCTTCGGGGGCCCTGTGACTGCACCCAGGTCCGCATCTTGCTGGGCAGCGCGCCCAGGAACTGCTCCAGCACCAGCAGCTCCAGCATCTGCTCCTTGGAGCGCGCCTCGGGCCTCAGCCACTGGCGGCACAGCGTCCAGAGCTGGCCCAGCGCGAGGTGCGGCCCGCTCGCCACGTGGTACTGGAACTGCCGGAAGCGCAGACGCTGGGCTTCGGTGTCCCTGGGGCTTGCTGGCCCAGGGTCTGCGTCCTGCTCACTCGGGGTTGGGGTCTGGGGGCGTCTGGGGGAGGCAGGGGCTTTGGGCCGTGGAAGCATTTCTCTGGCCACAGTGCCCCTCTGAGGGGTGTGTGTGGACTGGATCCCGAGTCCCAGTGGCTCCGGACAGAGCCGGTGTGGCAGGCGGACAGAATCAGCAATCAGGGGCCTGCAGAGAGGGGCAGGGACAGAGGGGTCACATCAGATGGTGGCCCTCTGTACTCAGGATGCCCCTCGGCTCCTTACTTCCTTGTTCTGACCTCCAGCACCCCAAGGAACCAACCTGACCTCTTCCCACCTTCTGACCTAATCTTCCACATGCCTCTCACAGGCTACTTTGCACTGAGTTCAAGCCACTGGCTGCCCCAGGACCTTTGCACCTGCCATCCCACCCCAGCCCCTCCCCTTCCCACCCCAGCTCCTCCCCTCGCAGATGTCCTGGCCATCATCCTTATGGCACTGTCTTCATAACCTCCATGACTTTCTGAACACAACTTTTCCCCTTACTTAGTGTCTATCTCCCTCTCATTTAGTCATTCAACACACATTGACTGACGAGCTGCGGGAACAAGAATGCCTGCCCCGTGGTGTGGCCAGCACTGCCCAGTGAAGTTCCTACAGGGATGTAAAGATTCTCTACCCATGCAACCACCTACGTGTGGCTAGGAGCACCTGAAATAGGAACTGAATTTTAAATTTAAATTCCATTTAAATGGAAGCAGCCAGGTGGGCTACATAATAATGGATGACACCACCACCAGCAGCAGGTCTACCCATGGTGTTATCTTTGCTGTCTTCCTGACTTTCCTACCAGGTCCAAGCTGGGGGTGGAGACCAGGAAGAGGGCAAGGGAGACTGGAGACTCTGAAAAGAGAGGGAAAGTGGGAAGAGTAATTTTAAAATAACCTTTTGTGGCCGGGTGCCGTGGCTCACACCTGTAATCCCAGCACTTTGGGAGGCCCGGGTGGGTGGATCACCTGAAGTCAGCAGTTCAAGACCAGCCTGACCGACATGGCGAAACCCCGTCTACTAAAAATACAAAAATTAGCCGGCGTGGTGGTGCACACCTCTAATCCCAGCTACGTGGGAGGCTGAGGCAGGAGAATTGCTCCAACCCAGGAAACAGAGGTTGCAGTAAGCCAAGATCGCACCACTGTACTCCAGCCTGAGTGACAGCGTGAGATTCCATCCCAAAAAAAATAAATAACCAAAAATGAGTTGGGCGTGGTGGCACGCACCTGTAATCCCAGCTACTCGGGAGGCTGAGACAGGAGAAATGCTTGAACCCAGGAGGCGGAGATTGCAGTGAGCTGAGACTGTGCCACTGCACTCCAGCCTGAGCGACAGAGTAAGACTCTGTCTCAAAAAAAAAAAAAAAAAAGAAAAGAAAAAAAAGAAGTTACCTTTTGTACATTTTCCAAGCCGACTATGGTGAACATATAACTGAAGAAAACATTAAAAGTTGTAAAAATAAAAATAAGCAGGGAGGTTTCGTTTGTTTGTCTTTAACAATTGTACTCTGGACTGATCCGCTGGTGAGAATATAAATTGGCACGACCTTTCTGGAAAGCACTGTGGCCATTTATATATCAAGAACACTTGGTAGACTGCGTGCAAGATGCGAGATTCAGGCACCAAGATTCACTACAAAAGTGCCCAACAGTTGAACGTGGTGGGATCAACTACCTCCCCCATCATGTGATGGGAGTATTCAACCGTGCCCAGTACACAACACTATGACATGACCACGG
Organism: Homo sapiens; assembly: GCF_000001405.40. Lineage (NCBI taxonomy): Eukaryota > Metazoa > Chordata > Mammalia > Primates > Hominidae > Homo > Homo sapiens. Next base: position 58,036,145 of record NC_000019.10, on the reverse strand, counting down.
GGAGTAGACACATGATGTACAGATGACATGAGGCACAGGGAACGTGGGATGCAGGATGATGCGTGAGTGTCATAGAAAGGGAGTCCTGGGAAGACGCCCATGGGGGGCGGCCAAGTGCTTTGTGCTGTTCATACTTCTCTGAATCTCCTCCAAATGGTGTCGGGCTCCCATGTGACCTTCATCAACATGGAAAAACAAAACAAAACAAGACATCTTTAGGAAGGATTTTTGACCATATGGGAAATGCTTATGACAAGTGAAAAGGAGGGATTCCATGGGATTTTTCCCTCTTCATCCTCTGCTGCATTTTTCATACACTCTGCAGTTCTCGTGCATCTGGTTTTACAATCCAGGAGAAAGGAGAGGTGCAGGGTGGCAGAAAGGCAACTCACGGGGACTGTGCCCAGCCAGCCATCTTCGAGTCAGCGTACCCGGCCACCTGCACCCTGATTGGGAAACTACCAGCTTGGTCTTCCCTGCCAAGGCCACAGGCAAAAATGCTCTCTTATGTTGTATTCACACTTTTATATATGTAGTTTTGAATAAGAAAAAAGGGCCTATTTTGAAGCTCCACAGGTTCAAGAAATCCCTTTGCCCTGGGGCCTCAGACCTTATACTCTCTCAGGTGCTCATGGCAGCTCACCCTGGAGACTCTAGGGAGGGGGGCTGTAGCCCCTCAGCATCCTCCAGGGTCCTGGGCTGAGGTCTGTGGGAGGAGATGCTAAGTTTATCAGGGATGAGGGTAAAGAGGAGGTCTTAGCAGAAGGCACCAGAGGTCCATGGGTGTGTCTGGGGTCTATATGGGGGCTGATGTGGAACACCTAGGCCAATGTGGGGGTACCTGAGCTGATGAGAGTCCTGGACTGATGGGTGGCTGTTTCTGGAAGATGAAGAGGGCCTGGGATGATGTGAAGGGGACTGAGGTCTACATGGCTGGTGAGGAGGATCTGGGCCCCCCCATGGGCAATGCTGTGGTGGCCCTGGGGTCCTAGAAGTCTACTTTGGTAGGGGTCTCTGATTAATGTTGGGGATGTGTGTGTGTGAGAGAGTGTCACTTGGAGGGCTCAGTGCCTGTGGAAGGGCCAGGTTCACCTGGCATGGGCACTGAGATCTGCAGCCCGAGCCCCAAATTCTATTGCGGGGATGGGCAGAAGGGCTTTGCCGCTGATGCCGGATGCTTAGTGACATAGAAGACGTGTTCACTGCGCCAGTCAGTGAATGGTTCTGGCTTTGAGAAGGGGGCTTACAGTGGGGAGGGCGTTGGGAGCTTAGGATGCCACACGGAGGAGTTCCATAATAAACGAGCTGGGGAAGTGTGCAAGGGCAGCGCACTGGGAATACAGGGGAGGGGCAGCGACGACGGCTGTGGACGGCTGGTTGGGGGGAGGATGGTGGGGTGATTGGGTGGGGGATGGGTCGGGGGCGGCTGTTCAGGAGGGAGATGGGCCTGGGGCGGGGAGGGGGAGCTTGTAGGGAGAGAGACGGGTCGGGGGCTGCTGTTCCAGTGGGGGATGGGCCCAAGGGGCCGGGTAGGGAGGGAGATGGGTCCGGGGGCGGCTGTTCAGGAGGGAGATAGGTCCCGGGATGCTGATCAGGTGTGGAAGGGAGAACTTGGACGCGGCCGAGCGGTGTTTGGGCGGGCAATGGGGGTACGTAGAGGGGCTTCGGCCTCAAACGGACAGGCGGATGCCAACAGGGGTCGGGGTCCCTGCGGAAGGGGCGGCCCCAGCCCCCCCAGTCCCCGCCCCGCGTGGCCTCTAGCCTTCCCCTTCCCTCCCCTACGGCGACCTCAGGACTCCCGATGGGCTCTGGAACCCCGGCCCGGCCCGCCCCCTCCCGGGCCCGGGCCCGCCTCCCCCGACGCGCGCCCCTGGACCGCGATCCCGGGCCAGCTCCCGCCGACGCGGCGCCGAGACCCTCCCGGGTGGGCGTCCCGATGGACGCTCTGGCGGGCGGAGGGACGGATGGGCCGCGGCGGACTCACCGCGCGCGGGCTTCGCTCGGGCCTGGGCCACTCGGTCATGGCGACCCCTGGGCTGGCGAGCGCGCCCAACGCCGCGGGCGGACCCCATCCCCGCACCCTGCGCGCCGCGGGCGGCCGCCATTGGTCCGCTGGATCACGCCGGGCGTCGGTGACAAGTCACCGCTGCGGGACTCCCGGGCAGGGGCGGGGCTGTGACGCACGAGGCGGCCGAGGCCAATCAGAAGCCGCCTGGGATGAGCGCCCCGCCCCCGCCGTGCCCTCCAGTTACCTCGGGCCGCGGTTCCAGTCGCCTTGGCAACGGGTCGCGCAGCGTCAGGGACGCTGCTGCGGAAAGTGGAGACGGTGGCGGCTGCGGGGATGCGCATGTACGATGGGGCCGCGGGGCAAAACGACGGCATTCCAGACACGCAACCGTTTTATACAGTGTCCAAGAGTAGTATGTTAAAACATTGTTTTTAATATAAATATGTTTAGTACAAGTATGTCCCAGACTAGGATCGCCACTCTTAGCAAATAAAAATACAGGACGTCGGCCGGGCGCGGTGACACGCCTGTAATCCCAGCACTTTGGGAGGCCAAGGCAGGCGGATCACGAGGTCATGAGTTCGAGACCAGCCTGACCAATATGGTGAAACCCCCGTCTCTACTAAAAATACAAAAATTACCTGGGCGTGGTGGCGCATGCCTGTAATCCCAGTTTCTCAGGAGGCTGAGACAGGAGAATCACTGGAACCGGGGAGGCGGAGGTTGCAGTGAGCCGAGATTGCTCCATTGCACTCCAGTTTTCCAGCGTGGGTGACAGAGCGAGACTCCGTCCCCCCACCCCCAAAAAAAAGAAAGAAAAAAGAAACCTCAGTTATATGTAAACTCAAGAAAAACAAGGAGGCCGGGCGCGATAGCTCACGCCTGTAATCCCAGAACTCGGGAGGCCGAGGCAGGCGGATCACCTGAGGTCGGGTGTTTCAGACCAGCCTGGCCAACATGGTGAAACCCCGTCTCTACTAAAAATACAAAAATTAGCCAGGCATGGTGGTGCGTGCCTGTAATCCCAGCTACTCGGGAGGCTGAGGTAGGAGAATCGCTGGAACTGGGGAAGCCGAGGTTGCAGTGAGCCGAGACCTGCCAACGCACTCCAGCCTTGCCTGGGCAACAGAGTGAGACTCTGTCTCAAAAAAAAAAAAAAAAAAAAAAAAAGAAAGAAAGAAAAAGAAAAACAAGGAATTAGTATCAATGTGTCCTATATTTCATATACTTTAACGAAACCTTACATAAGAACATTTCATATAAATAAGTTTTAATATTAATGTCTACAATGTAACCATGTGCCAGAATAGTAGGGTTCCACAGATACTCGTTTTGTATCTGAAATCAGGTGGGGGTGAGATCATGATGCAAGGAGGGTCCTCAGCTCTGGGACTGAGCTCAGGATAGCTGAAGCTGCTCATTGCTGAAGAAGAAGCAGGAGAGTGTGAGCTAAGAAAAGAGAGGAGGACCCACCTCCAGGGGGTCCAGCATCTGCTGGACAGCTGTTTATTGAGGGCCTATGTGTACCAGGCACTGTTCTGGACACTGGGGTGGGAGCACATCAGTGAGAGGGACTGATAGGGCTTTAGTCCCTTGGAAGCCCATGTTCATGGGGCAAACACCAGTAAACAAAGCAGATGCTTCATGGAAATATAAATACCTAGAATAAAATAAAACGAGGCCTGGAGATTAAGAGTCCCAGGAGTGGCAGGGAGGGGAGGGGCTGCCTCAGCTGGATAATCAGAGCCGTGTCTCCGCATCTTTGCTGCTGGCGGCTGGTCCCTGGAATGTTGTGTGTGAATGCCACTTTGTGCAGAAACCACTATGGGAAAACCAAATTAGGGTGCTAAGGGCTTATTATTCTCCTTCTTGAAAATTAGGCACTTGTAATGACATGGTTCATTTTCTTGGTAGCTGAAATTGGCGTGGCCCTTTGGGGCAGTGAAGGCTCATGTGTGCATTTATAACTGCCACCCATTTGGGAAATCTCCCTTGAGAGAACACTGACTTAGTCTGTCTCTAGAGTCTGGATCTAGACACCATCATAGGCCACCTGGTAACTCTAGATCCATTGGGAGGCAGCCTGGTGTCTAGCAGAGGTTTCAGTTTTTTTTTGTTTGTTTGTTTTGTTTTTTTTAAAAAGAGTCTTGCTCTTGTTGCCCAGGCTGGAGTGCAAAGGCGTGATCTTGGCTCACTGCAACCTCCACCTCTCGGGTTCAAGTGATTCTCCTGCCTAAGCCTCCAGAGTAGCTGAGATTACAGGTGCCCACCACCACATTCAGCTAATTTTTTTGTATTTTTAGTAGAGACGGGGTTTTACCATGTTGGCCAGGCTGGTCTTGAACTCCTGACCTCAGGTGATCCACCTGCCTCGGCCTCCTAAAGTGCTGGGATTACAGGCATGAGCCACCGTACCCGGACCAAAATTTTTTTAAGCAGTAGAAATCTTTGTCCCAAATTAAATCTTACTCGAAATCCCAATTAAAAGTAAATCAGCTAAAAGCAGAACTGTTATGGGTGCCAGGGGCTAGAAGAAGGGGCAAGGGGAATTCTTTTGGGGGCGATGAAAAGATGCTGGAATTAGATTCCAGTGATGATCGCACAATCTGGAGAATGTACCAAAAACTACTGAACTGTAAAAGGTTCGGCTGGGTACAGTCACTCACGTCTGTAATCCAAGCACTTTGGGAGGCTGAGGTGGGCAGATCACTTGAGGTCAGGAGTTCAAGACCAGCCTGGCCAACATAGTGAAACCCCGTCTTTACCAAAAAATTTAAAAAATTAGCTGAGCATGGTGGTGGGTACCTGTAATCCCAGCTACTCTGGAGGCTGAGGCAAGCAAATTGCTTGAACCTGGGAGGCAGAGGTTGCAGTGGGTGAGTGGGTGGAGATTGTGCCATTGCACTCCAGACTGGGCGACAGAGTGAGACTCCATTTCAAAAAAAAAAAAAAAAAAAAAAGAAGGGTGAATTTTATGCTGTGTGAATTATATCTCAATAAAAATGTTATTTTGGCCAGGTGCAATGGCTCACACCTGTAATCCCAGCATTTTGTGGGGCCAAGGTGGGAGGATCCCTTAAACCCGGGAGTTTGAGACCAGCCTGGGCAACATGGCGAAACCCCGTCTCTACAAAAAAATAGAAAAATCAGCCAGGCATGGTGGCTATTTCTGTAGTCTCAGCTCCTCGGGAGGCTGAGTCAGGAGGATGACTTGAGCTCAGGAGTTCAAGGCTGCAGTGAGCTATGATGCATTGCCACTGCACTCCAGCCTGGGTGACAGAGTGAGACCTCATGTCTAAAAAAAAATGCAGAACTGTTTGAGTTGAAGCTATGGGAGAAGACCTAGAATCCCAGTTTGAAGGACCCCTCTTTGAACCTTTCTAAGGAAGACCGAATGTCACCCCCTTACACTCAAAAATCAACTCCAGATGGAACTGGGCCCCATCTCTACAAAAAATTTAAACATTAGCCTGGCATGGTGGCACATGCCTGTAGTCCCAGCTACTTGGGAGGCTGAGGTGGGAGGATTGCTTGATCCCAGGAGTTTGCCAGCCTGGGCGACAGAGTGAGACCTCATCTCTGAAAAGAAAAAAGATAAAAAAGGAAAAAAAAAGCTCACCAAGCCTACCCCAAGCTTAGAAAGATACTACCCTCTTACATACATGGGGCTAACCAATGTGAAGAAAAGTCCCATCTGACTAGTTAGTGATCAGGGACACACAAATCAAGAACGTGGTGAGGTTTTTTGTTGTTGTTGTTGTTGTTTTGTTTGTTTGTTTGTTTGTTTTGGAGACTAAGTCTTGCTCTGTCACCCAGGCTAGAGTACAGTGGCACGACCTTGGCTCACTGCAACCTCTGCCTCCCAGGTTCAAGCAATTCTCCTGCCTCAACCTCCCAAGTAGCTGGGACTACAGGCATGTGCCACCACGCCCAGCTAATTTTTGTATTTTTAGTAGAGATGGGATTTCACCATGCTGGCCAGGATGGTCTCGATCTCTTGACCTCGTGATCCGCCCGCCTCGGCCTCTCAGAGCGCTGGGATTACAGGCGTTAGCCACCACGCCCAGCCTCCTCAGTTCACTTTTTAGTGTGGTATTTTCTCCAAAGTGATAAGGTCTGGAATTTTTTTTTTTTTTTTTTTTCTGAGATGGAGTCTTGCTGTGTTGCCCAGGCTAGAGTGCAGTGGGGTGATCTCGGCTCACAGCAACCTCCACCTCCCAGCTTCAAGTCATTTTCCTGCCTCAGCCTCCTGAGTAGCTGGGACTACAGGCGTGTGCTACTATGCCTGGCTAATTTTTGTATTTTTAGTAGAGATGAGGTTTCACCATGTTGGCCAGGCTGGTCTTGAACTCCTGACCTCGGGTGATCTGCCTGCCCCCGCCTCCCAATATGCTGGGATTATGGCATGAGCCACTGCACCTGCCCATATTTTGCTTTTTGCTTACCTGTCCCTTCACCTTGCTTCTGCTTTTACTCAGTTTGCCCTTTATTTAACCTCCAATTCCCTCTATTTTCCTGCCTCACAGCCGCATCTCCTGGGGTTGTAAGCACTATGTTAGGGAGTCACTTTGCAGCCTACCCTCCACCCTCCGCCTGGAACTGGACTTCCTGACCACAGAAACGCACCAGCTTAGCCTGGGCCAGCCCTCTGGGGGCTGAACATGCTTTACCCTTGCCTGGGACCCTCTGGGAGCCCCCAGGCAGGAGGTGTTAACCCAGGGCCACTGAAGCTCTGGGGATGTCCCTATCTCCAAACACTGCCAACTGAGGCAGGAGGGCTCAGGAGAGTCTTCGCCTCTTGTACCCTCCTTGGGCCTCTCCAAAACCAGTGACCTGGGGACCCTAAGTGCAGCTGCTCCTGGGTTTGCAGAGTCCCTGAGGACACAGTCAGGACTCATCAACCTCCCTCTCTGAAGTCTGCAGATGAGGCCTGGGGGCTGTTACCCCTGGCCTGGGCAGAGACAAAGAAACCACAGGAGGAGGAAGTACAAGTTTTAATGGCCCTGGGACTGAGTGGCCACTGTTCTCCCAGGGCCTGGATGCCTGGAGCTCCATCTGTGTCCCCAGCCCCCAGGTCCTGGATTGAGGGGTGAGCTCCCAGATGAAAGCCCCCCATCACTGTTGGAAGCAGCCCACACGGGGGCTGCCGTTGCTGGCTGTCAGCACACCACAGACATGTTGCTGTGCTCTCTGCTTCCCGCCCTTGTGGGATCTCTCTCTGGGGCTGCTGTTTCTGGCCCAATAGGCTGGCGGTTGCCAGGGAAGAGCCCCCGCTTTGACTGTCCAGGGGATGTGGTGGTCAGGGCCAGCTTCTCCATCTTCCACCTGTACAACATCACCCTGTTTGATTTCACTGCTCCACCAGCTGGCTTGGAGTCTTCAAGGTAAGCAGCTACCAGGGTGTTTGGTGGAGAGCCCCTGAAGGCTGGGCACCTTCAGGAGTGTCCTTCTAAAGCCTCAGGCAGCAGCTGATTCTCAGAATCCCTCCTGGATGGCCGGGACTCATCCTGTCTGTCTGGATGCTGGTCAGCCTGTCTCACCGGCCCTGCCTTAGCACCTCACTCCGTTTTTCCTTCTTGCTTTCTGTCTGTGTCTGAAGCATGGGTTGCTTGTCTCCTCATTGTGCTGCAGCGACTGCACAGGTGAGGCAGAGATTCTCCCCTCTCTTGTCCACCGCCAACCCTTGGCGCTTAGAGCAGCGCCAGGCACAGGTAAGTGTGTTTGTTGAATGAACAAGTGTTTGTGGAATGAACAAATCTCTTCATGAGTTGATCAGCCCAGGGAATTTCTCTTTACCTGTGTGTGCCATCACCCATTTCTGTCCCAGGTTCCCAAACTGTCTCTGCGGACAGTTCTTCACATAGTCCCTCCGGTGATTTTTTTCTTTTTTAAAAAATGAATATGTTTATCATTTTACTTTATTTTATTTTTGGAGACAGGGTCTGGCTCTGCTGCCCAGGCTGGAGTGCAGTGGCTCAATCATAGCTCACTACAGCCTTGACCTCCCAGCTCAAGTGATCCTCCCACCTCAGCTTCTGAGTAGCTGGCACCACAGATGCATGAGACCAGACTCGGCTAATTTTTTAATTTTTTATTTACTTTTCATTTTCTATAGAGACAGAGTCTCACGTTGTGACCTAGGCTGGTTTCTAACTCCTGGGTTCAAACAATCCTCCCGCCTCAGCCTCCCAAAGTGCTGGGACTACAGGCTAGAGCCACCATGGCTGGCCTGTTTACCTTTATTTAAACATTGCCACAATGTTTTCCAAAGCAACCATTTCATTCTGCATTCTCACCAGACATACACAAGACTTCCAATCACTCCACTTGCCATCACTTGATGTTGCCAGGTTATTTTTTCTAATCAATGAATAATAATTGTATATATTTATGGGGTACAATATGATGTCTTGATATATGTATACATTATGGAATGATTAAATTGGGCTAATCAACATATCCATATCCTCACATCCTTATCATTTTTTGCAATGTGAACATTTAAGATATGATCTTTTTGCAGTTTTGAAATATACATTAATTATTGATAACTACAGTTTCCATGCTGTGCAATAGATCTGGAAACCTATTCCTCCTTGTCTAACTGAAACTTGGAGCCCTTTGACCAACATGTCCTACCCCCCGCCCCCCACCCCTTTTTGGCTGTTCTGCCCATTTTGCTATGCACATGTCATGATCAGTGCAAGGTCAGAGATAACCAGGTCCACACGTTCGTGTCTTTCCGCAATGTCAAGTGTTTACTGATGTTATTTCTTTTCTTTTCTTTTCCTTTTTTTGAGACAAAGTCTCGCTCTTGCCCCCAGGCTGGAGTGCGATGGTGTGATCTTTGCTCACTGCAACCTCCACCTCCCAGGTTCAAGCGATTCTCTTGCCTCAGCCTTCTGAGTAGCTGGGATTACAGGTACCCTCCACCATGCTCAGCTAATTTTTGAATTTTTAGTAGAGACGGGGTTTCACCATGTTGGCCAGGCTTGTCTCGAACTCCTGACCTCAGGTGATCCGCCCGTCTTGGCCTCCTAAAGTGCTGGGATTACAGGCGTGAGCCACCGCACCCGGCCTACTGATGTTATTTCAATCACAAAAGCCATGAGCTACATGGAGTTCCCAAGGAGCCAATTATCCCTTGTGCTTCTCATTCACTTGGTAGTCAGAGCCACAGGCACGGAGGCTCAAGCCACTCCACAAGCAGTTAATATTGCAAACCATACATAATAGTATACTTAATATAGAAATGTTATAGGTTAAACATTCCACAACCAACAAAGTGACATTTAACATCAAGAGAAAAAAGAGATAGGAGAAAGAGTTAAGGAACCAGTTCAGAGGCAGCGAAGAAGACAAAAGGCATCCTGGTCTGGGCCAGGCGGTGGGTGGGTGGTCTGTGAGGTCGGTGGTCTGCCATCCTGCAAGGAAGTCTTTGAGGTGGCAGAGCCTTTGGCCACAGAGGCTGAGTTATCATGAGTGACTGCAAAACAGTGTCAGTTAAAACAGCCATTTTGAGCTCCTGAAGGCCTAATTTTCTTTTTCTTTTATTATTATTTTTTAAGACAAGAGTTTTGCTCTGTCACCCGGGCTGGTGTGCAATGGCACGATCTCGGCTCACTGCAACCTCTGCCTCCCGGGTTCTTGTGATTCTCCTGCCTCAGCCTCCCGAGTAGCTGGGATTACAGGTGCACACCACCATGCCCGGCTAATTTTTTTGTATTTTTATTAGAGATGGGGTTTCACTACATTGGCCAGGCTGATTTTGAACTCCTGACCTCAAGTGATCCTCCTGCCTTGACCTCCCAAAGTGCTGGGATTACAGGCATGAGCCACCGTGCCCGAGAAGGCCTAATCTTTTATAGTCACCTAGTAGTCCCCTGGTGAGAACTGGCAGTGGAAGAGTGTGCTTGTGTCCTTACCTGGTTAGGTGCAGTCTTTTTTTTTTGTTGTTTAATAAACAGAACATCCTATCCTTGATGGCAGAGTGTCCTATGAAATATAAAATGGAGTCTTTTGCTAAGATGTAGTTATGTCAAGTCTGATGTATAGGCTACATCGTGCACAAGCGCTTGTGGAGACTTGTGGCCTCATCCCCTTTGAGTGTGCATAAGCCATAGCCTCTGCAGCTACAGCATGCGGTAAGCCTGGGCTTCTCCTTCCCTCAGCGTTTCCACCTGGGGCTACTGGGAAGCCCAAGGATTCACATTTGCCATGGAGGAGATCAACAGGGACGCCCACCTGCTCCCCAGCCTCAGGCTGGGCTTCTCCATCCGGAACTCTGGGTGAGAGGTGAAACCGGTTGGGCTTCCAGGTAGGGTGGTGACTTGGAGAACTTTTCTGTCTAGCTAAAGGATTGTAAGTGCACCAATCAGCACTCTGTGTCTAGCTAAAGGTTTGTAAACGCACCAATCAGCACTCAATCAAAACGGACCAATCAGCTCTCTGTAAAACGGACCAATCAGTGCTCTGTAAAATGGACCAATCAGCAGGATGTGGGTGGGGCCAGATAAGGGAATAAAAGCAGGCCACCCGAGCCGGCGGTGGCAGTCTGTTGGGCTTTCCTTCCAGTTTGTGGAAGTTTGTTGTTTTGCTGTTTGCGATAAATCCTGCTGATGCTCTTTCTGTGGGTCTATACTACCTTTATGAGCTGTTATACTAACTGCGAAGGTCTGTGGCTTCACTTCTGAAGCCAGCAAGACCACGAATCCAACGGGAGGAATGAACAACTCCAGATAAGAACTGTAGTAACACTCGCCGTGAGGGTCCGCAGCTTCATTGTTGAAGTCAGCTACACCAAGAACCCACTGGAAGGAACCAATTCTGGACACAGGGGGACTTCGTGCACGCAGCACTCCATGAGACCATGAGCTTTCTCACCGGGCAGGAGGAGCCCATCCCCAGCTACACGTCTGGGCCCAGCGCTCTCGGAGCTGCTTTGGAGAAACATGCTTGGCGTTGTCTATGCCAATGGCCAGGCTCCTGGGACTCTACAGGTTTCTCCAGGTAAGTACTCAGAGCCGTACCCTCCCCTAATATTTGCTGTGGTATTGGCCACAATGGGGGTGACGCTGAGGCCCTACCACGGAGGGTCCTGGCTCCCCGCCAATGCCCTACAGCCTGACGCCATCCTCCCCCTCACCATGACCTCTCTGTAAGAGAATGGTGATCGCTGCTGCATTCACCAGGACACTGAGATTGAGGGAACTAGCAGTGACACGTTGCAGCTCACCCAGCACTGGGGCGCTGAAGCTGGGTTTTGAGTCCAGGCCATAGGGCTTGTGCCGCCAGCCTCCACACGGCCCCGCCCCGCTGGGGCCTCCTGACTCTCAGGCCCTCGGGTGTCATTCCCATAATAGTAGCTATGTCTAGAGGCAACTTTTTTTTTCTGTTTATTTTATGTATGTATGTGGGTGTATTGAGATGGAGTCTTGCTGTTTCCCAGGGTGGAGTGCAGTGGCACGATCTCAGCTCACTGCAATCTCCGCCTCCCGGGTTCAAGCGATTCTCCTGCCTCAGCCTCCCGAGTAGCTGGGTTTCCAGGCGCCCCCTACCACCTCCCGGCTAATTTTTGTATTTTTAGTAGAGACGGTGTTTCCCCACGTTGGCCAGGATGGTCTGGAACTTCTGTCCTTAGGTGATCTGCCCACCTCGGCCCCACGAAGTGCTGGGATCACAGGTGTGAGCCACTGTGCTGGGGCATTTTAATTTTTTTAGTGATGGGGTCTCTGTCGCTCAGGCTGGAGTGCAGTGGCATGATCACGGCTCACTGCAGCCTCGATTTGCTAGGCTCAAGCAGTCCTCCGGCCTGAGATATAATCCACATACCGCGTAACTCACTCATGGCTTTTGGTATGTTCGAGTTGTGTAGCCATCCCCACAGCCAATTTGAGAACATTTTCATCACCCCACAAGGAAACCCCAACCCCTTTAGCCAGCAGTTTCCATCAGCTCCACCTGCCGGCAACCACTAATGTATGTTTTGTCTGTACAGATTTGCTTTTTCTGGATACTTCCTATAAACGGAATCATACGCTGTGTGGTCCTTTGTGACTGGCTTTTCTCACTAAATATATTTTCAAGGTTCATCCACGTTGCAGCCTGTGTCAGAGCGTCGTTCCCTTCTATTGATTAATTTTCCATCATAGGCTGGGTATAGTGGCCCTGTGGGAGGCCAAGGTGGGAGGATTGCTTGATGTCAAGAGGTCAAGACCAGCCTGGGCAACATAGGGAGACTCCATTTCTACAGGAAAAAAAAAAAAAAATTAGTGGCATGCAGCTGTAGTCCTGGGTACTCAGAAGGCTGAGGCAGGAGAATCACTTGAGTCGGGGGGCGGGGGGGGTGGGTCAAGGGTGCAGTGAGCTATAATCGTACCACTATAATCCAGCTTGGGCAACAGTGCAAGACCCTGTCTTAAAAATCCGTTGTATGAATAGAGCATGTCGTGTGTATCCATTTATTAGTTGATGTATATTTGAACTGTTTCCATTTTGGGCCTACTGTGAATAGGGCTGCTATGAACATTTATGTATCCGTTTTTGTGTGTATGTTCAGTGTGTTTTCAATTCTCTTGGTTGTATGGGTAGAATTTCTGGGCCAAATGTTCATGCTATGATTAACTATCTGAGGAGCTGCTGGAGTGTTTTCCAAAGCAGCGCACCATTTTACATTCCCACCAGCATTGTATGACGAGTCCAATTTAATAGATTCATGTTCCACTGAGAAACCTGTAAATTTGGGTTTACAGGATTCCTCTGCCCTTGAACGCCTTAAATTTGCAAAGTTTGCTGGCCTGCTGGGGGAGAGGCCTGCCTTCCTACCTGTGAAGCAGGGGGCCCTGTAAATCACAGAACAGGTTGGAAGGGTTTTCCTGGGGCGGTGTGAATGTTGGGGCCACAAAGAAAGCTCACCCCTTCACCCCTTACTCCTTCAGGGTGGGTTGTCATGTATTGGGGAGTTTATTCTGAGGTGTGACACTTCAGGTATGGGCTTGATCGTACGATCAATTTAGTCCAGTCCTATCCTGATAAAAAGGAGAGTTGATTTCTATAGAACCTCTGCAAATAACCGCATAGCTATTCTAGGTGCTTTTAACCCCAAAGTATCAAGCCAGGCTGATTTTTTTCCAAGAATTCACCTTGATTACTTCCCACTTGGATTCTTACATAAAATGCTTCTGAACTAGAAGTTTCTATATGTAGACTTTCTTTTCTTTCCTTTTAATTCAAGCACATTTAAAGGATTAGAGACTCAATTTTTTTTTTCCTTTTTGAATTTTTTTGAGACGAAGTCTGACTCTTGTCGCCCAGGCTGGAGTGCGGTGGTGCGATCTCGGCTCACTGCAACCTCTGCCCCCTGGGTTCAAGCAATTCTCCTGTCTCAGCCTCCCAAGTAGCTGGGACCACAGGTGCCCGCCGCCATGACCGGCTAATTTTTGTATTTTTAGTAGAGATGGGGTTTCACTATGTTGCCCAGTCTGGTCTCAAACTCCTGACCTCAGGTGATCCACCCGCCTCAGCCTCCCAAAGTGCTGGAATTACAGGCGTGAGACACTGCGCCTGGCCTTTTTTAAAACAAAACAAAACAAAACAAAACAAAACTCTCCCTGTGTTGCCCAGGCTGGCCTGCAACTCCTGGGCTTGTGATCCACCTCAGCCTCCCAGTGTTGGGTTTACAGGCATGAGCCACTGCGTGCAGCTGCAACTGCATTTCTTGACTGCAGCTCAAGAAGCTGTTTTCCTGTACCTGTAGGGTTGCCAGATAAAACAGTACCCCCAGTGAAATTTGGTTTTCAGATAAACAATGAATAGTCCTTTTTAGTAGAATTTGGTCCCAAATATTGCACAGGACATACAAGACATACTTATGCTAAAATATTAGATGAATTTATCTGAAATTTAAACTTAATTGGGTATCCTGTTTTTTTATTTTCAAATCTGTTAGCTCTACCTGTTGCGTCAGCCTTATGGGTCTGTGTAAACCAATCAGACCAGAGCACCGTTCCGTTCAGACCCCATAACCTTTGCATAGCCTATTTCCTTACTACCCTCTGGCGGTAGGAGAATGTTTTGCACCCACACGAGGAGCGTGTTAAAGTCTCTGATCCAACAGACCCCAGAGACCGAGCAGTTTCATCCTGTGCCTCAGCCACAGGTCAGAAGCAAACACAGACACAAAACCTCGTTGACCCCGATTTCATAGAACTTTATCTTCCGGGGCACGAAGAGTAGTCTCTTCATTGGCAAATCGACAAGCAGGCAAAAACTGACAAAGATCACAGCGTGGCCAAACAACACAAGTAGGTTCCGAGTCATTGCCACTGCCAGTGAAGAACTGTCCGTCCGCGCTGTGTGAACCGTAACTAGAATCCGAACCCCAGGCCCGGCATGGTGGCTCCAGCCTGTAACCCCAGAGTTGTCCACGCTGTGGAAACCGGAACTAGAGTCCGAATCCCAGGCCCCGCACGGTGGCTCCAGCCTGTAGCCCCAGAGTTGTCGGCGCTGTGCAAACCGGAACTAGAATCGGATCCCCAGGCCTGCTGAGGCAGGAGGATCACGTGAGCCCAGGAATTTTAAGACCAGGCTGGGAAACATAGACCCCATCTCTACAAAATAATTTTTTTTAACTGGGGGTGGTGGGTGGTGCACATCTGTAGTCCCCTGAGGCAGGAAGATCTCTTGAGCCCAGTAGGTGGAGGATGTAGTGAGCTGTGTTCCTGCCACTGCACTCTAGCCTGGGTGACAGTAAAACCCTGTCTCAAAAAAAACAAACAAAAACCCAGCTTGGCAAAGGAGCAGAAACGTAAGTTTGAAGTGGGCAAAACGAGAGGAATGAACATTAAGTTCAATTATTCCTTGGGGCTGGGTGCTGCGGCTTACAACTGTAATCCCAGCACTCTGGGAGGCTGAGGCAGGCCGATCACGTGAGGTCAGGAGTTTGAGACCAGCCTGGCCTCAAGTGATCTGCCCACTTCTGCCTCCCAAGGTGCTGGGATTACAGGTGTGAGCCACCACATCTGGCCTTTTTCTTTCTTCCTTTCCTTTTCTCCTTTTTTTTTTTTTCTGTGCCTGCTTGGCTCGCTCTCTCTCCCCTCCTCCATCCCTCCCTCCCTCCCTCCCTCCTCTCCCTCCCTCCCTCCCTTCTTCCCTTCCTGCCTGCCTTCCCTCCTGTTTCTCTGTCTGACTCTGTCTCTCTGTCTCTGTCTCTGTCTGTCTCTGTCTGTCTCTTCCTCTGTGTGTCTCTGTGTCTGTCTCTCTCTCTCTCTCTCTGTGTGTGTGTCTCTCTTTCTGTGTGTGTCTCTTTAGAGTAGGGGGTCATACTGTGTTGCCCAAGCTAGTCTCGACCTCCTGGGCTCTAGCAGTCCTCCCACCTTGGCCTCCCAAAGCCCTGGGATGTACGTGAGCCACCATGCCCAGACTTATGTGGGAATTTTTTTTTTTTTTTGAGACGGAGTCTCATTCTGTCACCCAGGCTAGGGTGCAGTGGTGCGATTTCGGCTCGCTGCAACCTCGGCCTCCAGGGTTCAAGCGATTCTCCTGCCTCAGCCTACCAAGTAGCTGGGATTACAGGCACCCACCATCATGCCTGGCTAATTTTTGTATTTTTAGTAGAGATGGGGTTTCACTATGTTGTTGGCCAGGCTGGTCTTGAACTCCTGACCTCAAGTGATCTGCCCGCCTTGGCCTCTCAGTGCTGTGATTATAGGTGTGAGCTTTCAGTGACAAAATTGGGGGACACACCCAGGGCCACCAGGGACGTGTGGGTCAACCTGGCTTTCTTTTGAACCTGGTGGTCAGCAGGTGCCTGAGCTGCTCCTCACCCCTCCCCATTGCCCTGGCCTCTTCCTGCACAGGTCAGCCCCTCCTCCACACTGGCCAGCCTCAGCGACAGGACCCAGTTCCCATCCTTCTTTCAGACCCTGCTCAGTCACCTCACGACCACCCATGCAGTGGTGCAGCTGATGCTTCACTTCCGATGGTCTTGGGTGAGCGTCCTGGCGCAGGGGGACGACTTTGAGCTGCAGGGCAGGTCTCTGGTCGTCCAGGAGCTGGGCCAGGCTGGGGTCTGCATTGAATTCCAACTCTGCATCCCCACCCGGGAGTCCCTGAAGATGAAAAACATCATCTGGCTGATGGAGAACTGTACGGCCACCATCATCCTGGTTTTCCTTAACAGCTAGCACTTCAGACTCATCCTGCAGTGCCTGGCAGGCCGAGGCATCCTGGGCCAGGTCTGTGTCAGCTGGGACACTCTGCACATGGCGCTGGTCCTGACTGTGCCAGTGCCTTCTGGGTTCTGCAGGGCTCATTCAGCCTCCTGCTTTGCAACAGCCAGCCCCCCGACTTCCCTGCGCCTTGCCAGGACCCCAGAAGACATGTTCATATGGAGATTCTGGGAGGTCACCTTCAAGTGCACATAGCCCCATAGCAGCTGGGGGCCAGCAGGGAAAAGCACAGCGGCTGCAGGAGTCCAGTTCTGCTCAGGAAATGAGAGTCTGAGGGTTGAGCACTACCCTTTCCAGAAGGAAAGCAAAGTACACATCGCCTACACAGTGGTCTATGCCATCGCCCAGGCCCTGGCAGGCTGCAAGCATGGGGACCAGGGGTGTGCCGATGCCTGGGACTTCCAGCCCTGGCTGGTGAGAGGCGAACGTGTGGAGTGGGGCTGAGCATGGTGGCTCACGCCTGTAGTCCCAGTACTTTGGGAGACCAATGTGGGAGGATCATTCGAGCCCAGGAGTTCAAGATCAGCCAGGGAAACACAGTAAGACACTGAATCTACAAAAAAATTTTTAAATCAGCCAAGCATGGGCTGGGCACAGTGGCTCACGCCTGTAACCCCCACATTTTGGGAGGCAGAGGCAGGTGGATTACGAGGTCAGGAGATCTCGAGACCATCCTGGCTAACACAGTGAAACCCCATCTCTGCTAAAAATACAAAAAATTAGCCAGGCGTGATGGTGGGCGCCTGTAGTCCCAGCTACTCAGGAGGCTGAGGTAGGAGAATTCCTTCAACCTGGGAGGGCAGAGCTTGCAGTGAGCCGAGATTACACCACTGCACTCCAGCCTGGGTGACAGAGCGAGACTATCTTTAAAAAAAAAAAAGTCGTGATGGTGCACGCCTCTAGTCACAACTACTTGGAAGGCTCAGGTGTGAGGATCGCTTGAGCCCAGGAGGTTGAAGCTACAGCAAGCCATGATGGTGCCACTGCACTCCAGCCTGGGCAACAGAGTAAGACCTTGTCTCAAAAACAAACTGTGGAGTAGATGATTCAGGGAAGGGGAGACAGCAGGAAACTCACTTGGTCTCCTGGTGGGGAGGACAGGGGCAGTGCTCCTCAGTGAGGATATCTTGTATTCACAGCCCTAAGCCACATCTTAGCAGGAGCACTGGACGAAGATTTTTTTTTTTTTGAGACGGAGTTTCGCTCTGTCCAGGCTGGAGTGCAATGGTGTGATCTCAGCTAACTGCAACCTCTGCCTCCTGGGTTCAAGCAATTCTTCTGCCTCAGCCTTCTGAGTAGCTGGGATTATAGGCATGTGCCATCACGCCTGGCTAATTTTGTATTTTTAGTAGAGATGGGGTTTCACCATGTTGGTCAGGCTGGTTTTGAATTCCTGACCTCAGATGATTTGCCCACCTTGGCCTCCCAAAGTGCTAGGATTACAGGCATGAGCCACCGTGCCGGGCTGAGGAATTTTTTGTTTTGTTTTGTGTTAAGACAGTGCCTTGCTTTGTTGTTCAAGCTGGAATACAGTGATGCATTCACAGCTCACTGCAGTCTCAACCTCCTGGGCTCAAGCGATCCTTCAGCCTCCCGAGTAGCTGGGACTACAAGCATGCACCACCACGCCCAGCTAATTTTTGTATTTTCACCATGATGCCCAGGCTGGTCTCAAACTTCTGGGCTCAAGCGATCTGTCCACTTTGGGGTAAGTGTTGGGATCACAGGCATAAGCTACCATGCCTGGCCAGGATGAGGGGTCTTAAGTCCATGCTAGGTTTGTGACTGAGGGATCAGGATGTCTAGGTGTTCAGGGACTGACCTGTGTAGGTCCCGCCAGGATTTTACTCCACTTGGAGTGTGATGGGAAGGCCAAGGAGGAAGTGTTTGCTCAGACGGAATCCCTGGAGCAGGGGCCACACTGTGGCTTTTGTGCGTTCCTTCCTCCGTGGAAAAAAAAATTCTTAATTCAATTTTACCATTGCCTTGGTCTAAAGATGAATATATCCTGGGTTGGACTCATTATTATATGTTCATTATTACTTTTTTTTGAGACAGAGTCTTGCTCTGTCGCCCAGGCTGGAGCGTAGTGGCATGATCTTGGCTCACTGCAACCTCCGTCTCCCGGGTTCAAGTGACTCTTCTGCCTCAGCTTCCTGAGTGGCTGGGATTACAGGCGTGAGCCACCACGCCTGGCTAATTTTTGTATTTTTGGTAGGGACGGCATTTCACCATATTGGTCAGGCTGGTCTTGAGCTCCTGACCTCGTGATCTGCCTGCCTCGGCCTCCCAAAGTGCTGGGACCACAGGCTTGAGCCACCGTGCATGGCCCATTAATTACTTTTTAATTTTTTTCTTTGCTTTTACAAGCAGTTAACATTAGAACATTTTCATGGGACCCTGCAAATATCACAGCCCTGGGTCTCCCGTGCCTCATGGATACGTTGGCCCTGCCTGAGGCAGCCCCTGCTCACCACGGTGGCTGAGGACCTGATGCATTTTGCACAGGCCCTGGGACTGGCCCTGCCCATCTACAGTGTCATCCATCCTTCCCCAGCTGCTTCGTCCTCTCAAGAACGTGCATTTCAAGACCCCTGATGGGACAGAGATCATGTTTGATGCCAACGGAGATTTAATTACAGAATTTGATGTTGTCTATGGACAGAAGACCACTGAGGGCTGATTCCACTTTGTCCACATAGGCATAGTCAACCCGTGAGCCCCTCTGGGAGACAGAATGACAGTGCATGTGACAAAGGAGGACCTCTAGGTCAGTTTCCAGGGTGCAGAAATGATCCCAGTTCTGGTGTATTCGAGTCAGAGGGAAGCACAGAGGCCAGCGGTGTCCCTATTTGGTACATGAAGTTGGTGCAGCTCTAAATTAGGCCAGTCATAACTCAGCTATGCTGTTTAGGGATACTGAGCCCTTCTCTGAGTGAGGAAAGACATTTGCTCACCACCCAAAATGAAAATATTAGTGTCACACAAGCTGAATCAGAGTCTCCATCAGGAGTTTTTTCTGTAGTATTTTTCAGTGTGTCAGTATTCCAGGATCTGCCCAGTGAATACACTTTGCCAAACACATAGTTAATCTATAATCTGTAGAAACAATGCTTATCACTGGTTTGCTGTCAATAAATATGTGGGTAAATCTCTGTTGGAGGCTCTCAGCTCTGAAGGCTGTGAGATCCCTGATTTCCCACTCCACACCCCTGTATTTCTGTGTGTGTGTCTTTAATTCCTCTAGCACCGCTAGGTTAGGGTCTCCCCGACTGAGCTGGTCTCGGCACTTATTATTAACAGTGGCTGAAAGAGAATGAATAAAGGTCATTATTATTAGGTAAATGTTTTATTGAAATATATAGACAAATGCATAGATCATAAGCGTGCAGCCCAATGAATTCTCACCTGGCAAACATTCCGTGTCCCTGGTCCTCTCATCAAGAAACAGGGCACAACCTGGCCCTCCCAGAAGCTTTCATACCCCTCCCAGCCATTGTCTTCTCCCTGCGACCCATCCACCGCCCTGACTTCTATTGGTGTCAGTGGGTTTTGCTTGATTTTTAAACGTCCTATAAGTGGAATCACACAGTGAGTGTTCTTTTGTGTCTTGCTTTTTCCTCCCAGTTGTTTGTGAGATTCATCCTAGTGGTGGTTATGTGTGGTTGTGGATCTCTTGTTCTAATGACTGGTGAGATCCCATTGTGCGGACGCACCACGGCTGCTTCATCCACTCCAACAGGGATGGGGGATTTGAGAAGCCTGCTGATCAGCGGCTGCAATGAGCCGTGTCTCATTGTTGTGTCTTTTGGGGACATACAGGTGAATTTCTGTTGGGTGTGGCATTGCTGGGCCACAGGTAGACATACCTGCAGCTTTTTTTTTTCTTTTATTTGAGAAGAGGTCTCACTCTGTTGCCCAGGCTGGAGTGCAGTGGTGTGAACGTGGTTCACTGCAGCCTTGATCTGGGCTCAAGAGATCCTCCTACCTCAGCCTCCCGAGTAGCTGGGACTACACGTACATGCCACCCCACCATGCTTGGCTAATTTTTTAAAAAATTATTTTTATAGAGACAGGGACTCATTATGTTTCCCAGGCTGTTCTTGAACTCCTGAGCTCAAGCAATCCTCCTGCCTCAGCTTCCCAAAGTGCAGGGATTATAGGCATGAGGCACCATGCCAGGCCATACCTGTGGCTTTAACAGACACTGGTGGTGCTTCCAGTTCACACTCCCACTGTGAGTGTAGGCAATGCCCAGTTGCTCCCTGCATTAGTTTCTATAGCTGCTGTTAACAAATTACCACAAGCGTATGAAACAAAGCACATTTCTTATCTCACAGTTTTTATGGTTCAAAAGTCCGAGTGCAGCCGAGTGTGGTGGCTCAGACCTGTAATCCCAGCACTTTGAGAGGCCAAGGTGGAAGGATTGCTTGAGTCCAGGAGTTCAAGACCAGCCTGGGCAACAGGGTGAGGCCCCTGTCTTTACAAAAACAATAATAAAAAAAATAGCTGGGTGTGGTGGTGCATGCCTGTAGTTCCAGCTACTTGGGAGGCTGAGGGGGAAGATGGCTTTACCTGGGAGGTGGAGGTTGCAGTGAGCTGTGATCGAGCCACTGCTTTCCAGCCTGGGTGTCAAGAGTGAGACCCTGTCTCAAACAACAAAACAAAAAGAGCAGTTGTTGTTACTACTTGGAAAAAATTAACCATTTTAAAAAAACATGCAAACATGTATACGGGGCGTGTATTTTTCCTTGTGCCTCAGGATCTAATGTGGCCCATCCCATCACTGGTATCTCAAAATTATAAATCTGTGGGGGAAAGAAAGAGATCAGACTGTTACTGTGTCTATGTAGAAAAAGGAAGACATAAGAAACTCCATTTTGATCTGTACTAAGAAAAATTCTTCTGCCTTGAGATGTTGTTAATCTGTAACCCTAGCCCCAACCCTGTGCTCACAGAAACGTGCTGTATTGACTCAAGGTTTAATGGAGTTAGGGCTGTGCAGGATGTGCCTTGGTAAACATGTGTTTGCAGGCAGTATGCTTGGTAAAAGTCATCGCCATTCTCCAGTCTCGAGTACCCAGGGACACAATGCACTGCGGAAGGCCGCAGGGACCTCTGCCTGAGAAAGCCTGGGTATTGTCCAAGGTTTGCCCCCCTGAGACAGCCTGAGATGTGGCCTCGTGGGAAGGGAAAGACCTTACCGTCCCCCAGCCTGACACCTGTAAAGGGTCTATGCTGAGGAGGATTAGTGAAAGAGGAAGGCCTCTTTGCACTTGAGATAAGAGGAAAGCCTCTGTCTCCTGCTCCTCATCCCTGGGAATGGAATGTCTCGGTAGAAAACCTGATTGTACATTCCATTTACTGGGATAGGAGAAAACTGTCTTACGGCTGGAGGTGAGACATGCTGGTGGCAGTACTGCTCTTTACTGCACTGAGGTGTTTGGGTAAAGTCAAACATAAATCTGGCCTACGTGCACATCCAGGTGTGATACCATACCTTGTTTTAATATGAATACTCTCTCTTAGCTGAGAAAGCTGGATGGACTCCATTTAGCTCCTTCATTTGCAAGACCTCAAGGGCTCCTTACCCACTCCCTTCCTCAAGGACTTAACTTGAGCAAGCTGACTCTCAGCATATCAAAGAGTGCAATTAACTGATAAGGTACTGTGGCAGGCTATGTCTGCAGTTGCCAGGAATTCACTGGGGTAATAGTACCCTAAAGCCCCCGCGTTTGTGTCTGGCAGATAGCACCCAGAGCCCCCGCACCTATCACCTTGTGATGGATTTAAAGCCTCTGTACCTGGAACTGTTTGTTTTCCTGTAACCATTTGTCTTTTTAACTTTTTTTTTTGCCTGCTTTACTTCTGTAAGATTGCTACAGCTAGGTTCCCCCTCCTCTAAACCAAAGTATAAAAGAAAATCTAGCCCCTTCTTCGGGGCTGAGAGAATTTTGAGCACTAGCCATCTCTCGGTCACCGGCTGATAAAGGACTCCTGAATTAGTCTCAAAGTGTGGCGTTTCTCTATAACTTGCTTGGTTACATCACAGGCACAGCACCTTTCCTTAAACTTATTTATGACACAGAGTCCTTTGCTCACATGTTTTCCTGCTGACCCTCTCCCCACCATTACCGTGTAGTCCTGCCACATCCCCCTTGCCAAGATGGTAGAGATAGTGATCAATAAATACTGAGGGAACTCAGACTGCTGCTGGTGTGGGTCCTCTGTATGCTGAGTGCCGGTCCCCTGGGCCCACTTTTCTTTCTCTACACTTTGTCTCTGTGTCTTATTTCTTTTCTCAGTCTCTTGTCTCCACCTTGCGAGAAATACCCACAGGTGTGGAGGGGCAGGCCCCCTTCAATCAGTAATGAATAGGTGTGAAACGCTGGTAAGGCTGGTTTAGTGCATAGGGAGCCTTCCTTCACATGGCTGGTGTCATTACGATCCTGTGGCAGACGCAGGGATGTGTGTCTCCCACAGGTACGAAGAGATGTCTTCTGTGCCCAGAGGAGCAGTACTCAAGCCGCACCAGAGATGGCTGCCTGCCCAGGACAGAGACCTTCCTGGCCTTTGACGACCCCCTGGGACTCATGCTCGCCTTGGTGGCGCTCATGCTGGCCAGCCTGGCAGTGCTGGTCCTCAGACTGTTCTGAAGCACCGAGACACACCTGTGGTCGGGGCCAACAACAGAGCTCTCAGCTGCACGCCGCTCACCTCCCTGACCCTCTGTGCCCTCTGTCCCTTGCCTTGCCTTGGTTGTCCCACAGCTGCCACCTGCCGCCTCTACCAGACCACAGTTGCTGTTGTGTTCACCATGGCTGTCTCTTCCGTCCTGGCCTTCAGGGTCACCAGGTGACAGGGTCTGGGTGTGCCTGGGACCTGGCGCTTCCACCTCGGTGGTCCTTGCTGCTTCCTTGGTGCAGGTTGTTCTCTGTGGCATCTGGCTGGGCACTTCCCCACCATTCCCAGATGGGGACATGGCCTCAGAGCCCAGCCACATTGTCATCCAGTGCTGAGAGGGCTCTGCTGTCGCTTTCTCCTGTGTGCTGGGCTACCTGGGCCTCCTGGCTGGGGGCACCTTCTTTGTAGCCTTCCTGGCCAGGGGTCTGCCAGACGCCTTCAACAAGTCCAAGTTCCTCACCTTCAGCGTGCTGCTGTTCTGCAGCTTCTGGACAACCTTCCTGCCCCTGTACCACAGCGCACAGGGCAAGTCCACTGTGGCCGTGGAGATCTTTTCCATCCTGGCTTCCATGGCAGGGCTGCTGGGTGGCATCTTTGCCCCAAATGTTACATCATCCTGCTAAAGCCCGAGCGGAATGCCCCAGACTGGGTGAGGCGAGGACACTGG
This sequence comes from Homo sapiens, assembly GCF_000001405.40. NCBI lineage: Eukaryota > Metazoa > Chordata > Mammalia > Primates > Hominidae > Homo > Homo sapiens. The sequence goes on along the minus strand of NC_000019.10, from coordinate 58,012,558 downwards.
GATCGGTGGGAAACGTGGAGCCAGGAGCTCCTCAGACCTGCGCCATAAACCCACGAGCCAGGCCTTGTTGAAGATATCAGGGCCCCTGATTTGAGCTCTGGGCTTCTGTGTGGATTAAAAGATAGTTAAAGGATGGGCGTGGTGGCTCACGCCTGTAATCCTACCACTTTGGGAGGCTGAGATGGGCAGATCACTTGAGGTCAGGAGTTCAAGACCAGCCTGGCCAACATGGTGAAACCCTGTCTGTACTCAAAATACAAAAATTAACCAGGTGTCGTGGTGTGCACCTATAATCCCAGCTACTTGGGAGGCTGAGGCAGGAGAATCACTTGAACCTGGGTGGCAGAGGTTGCAGTGAGCCAAGATCATGCCATTGCACTCCAGCCTGGGTGACAGAGCAAGACTCCATCTCAAAAAAAAAAAAAAAAAAAAAAAAAAAGAATAAAAGATAAAATTCAACAATAAGAAAACAAGCAATTTCAGCTACTTTTTTTTTAAAGCCAAGCAAAGCATTTGAACACAGTTCACCACAAAATATGCAAATGGAAAGGAAGTATATGAAAAGATGTTTAATGTTAGTAATTAGGGAAATCAAAACTACAGTGCAATACCCAATACACACCTATTAGAATTGCAAAAAATAAACCATATCATGTTGCCAAGGATATGGAGGAATTACAACTCTTATACAGTCCTTGTCCATGATTCAACTTATGATTTTTCAAAATTATGATGGTATACAAGCTATACAAATTCAGTACTCTCCTCAACTTGACGGATTTATTTGGGTATTGTAAATCATTTGATTCATGGTATTTTCAGTTTACCATGGGCTTATTTGGACCTAACCCTATCGTAGTTCAGGAGCATCTGTGTATTGCTGGTGGGAATGTGAAACGGTACAAACACTTTGGAAAACAAATGGAGAGTTTCTTAAAATGTTGAACTTTCGTGGGGCATGGTGGCTCACGCCTGTAATCCAGCACTTCGGAAGGCTGAGGCGGGTGGATCACGAGGTCAGGAGATTGAGACCATCCTGGCTAACACGGTGAAACCCCGTCTCTACTAAAATGAAAAAATTAGCTTGGTGTGGTGGTGGGCGCCTGTAGTCCCAGCTACTCGGGAGGCCGAGGCAGGAGAATGGTGTGAACCGCGGAGGCGGAGTTTGCAGTGAGCCGAGATCGCGCCACTCCACTCCAGTCCGGGCGACAGAGTGAGACTCCATCTCAAAAAAAAAAAGTTGAATTTTCATTTCCTATATGATCCAGCCATTCTACGCCTAGGCATTTATCCAACAGGAAAGGAAATGCGTGTCCTTAGGAAGACTTGTACACGAATGTTCACAGAAGTTTATTTTTAACAGCCGCAAATAGAAAACAGTTTACATGTCCACGGACAGATGCGTGATAAACAATGGTGGTGCATCCATGAGATGGAACACCACTCAGCAATAGAAGGAATGAGCTACTTACATATGCAACAAAATGGATAATCTCAAAATAATTATGCTGAGTAAAATAAACCAGATCACAAAAGAGTACACTCAAATGTGTCACTGCATTTATATACAACTGTTAGAAAATCCAAACTAATCTGTATATATAACAGAAAGCAGATTGGCGGTGGTTTGAAAGCAGGGCAGAGAGGGGCGTGGAATGCTGAACGGAGGGGCTTCAAGGATCTTGGGAAACCAGAGCTAGTGATGGTTTTGCGGGTTTAGATATTTGCCAAAACGCATGCAGGCGAGCGCCGTGGGAGGGAGGGAGGGCGGGTGCACAGCCGCCGGCCGCCCGGGGCTGGAGGACGCGCTTGCTGCCTGACAGGGTTCCCCCAACATCCCCGGGGCCGCGACTGAAGTGGCTGAGGCCAACCGAGGGCCCAAAGCGCCCGTGGCTTCGGCTGGGCGGGTTCTTAATATTTTATTACATATATATATGCATATATATATTTACGCATATATTTATGTATGTGTACACATACATGTATATATTATAAACTATATACAAATTATACAAAATATATGTAATTAAATATACATACATATGTACATAATTTTATTTATTTTGGAGACAGGATCTCACGCTGTCGCCCAGGCTGGAGTGCAGTGGCAGGATCATAGCTCACTGCAGTCTTGACCTCCTGGGCTCAGGTGATCCTTCCACCGCAGCCTCCGGAGTAGCTGGGAAAACAGGTGGGCGGTAACCCCCCCCACGAATTATTTAAAGTTTTTTTAAGAGATCAGGCGGGAGGGCCATGTCTACCCATGCTGCCGGGGGTGGCGAAACCCCATGTCTACTAAAAATAGAAAAATTAGCCGGGCGTGGTAGCGTGCGCCTATGATCCCAGTTACTCAGGAGGCTGAGGCAGAATCGCTTGAACCTGGGGGGCGGAGGTTGCAGTGAGCCAAGATGGCACCATTGCACTCCAGCCTCCCATAATAGGTGCACCCAAGATGATGGTATGGCCCTGCCTCTGCCACCTCTCCATGCTGCCGGGGGCTCAAGCGATTCTGCCGCCTTGCCCTCCTAAAGTGCCGGGATTACAAGCGTGAGCCACCGCGCCCAGGCCTAGAGGTTTAGATCCACCTAGAGCAAGTGACTAAAGCGGGCGGGCAAGGTACTGCCGGTGGGTCTGGCCTGGTCGTCCTGGATTCGGCCAAGCCTGGATTCCACTGTAGCCACATGACCTAGGGGTCCAGGACCCGCTGGGCTGGTGTTCGGGGCGGCCTGGAGACTACACATCAGGGCGGCGCCACTACGCAAGCGCGGGTTACGTCATCGGCTGGGCGCCGAGCCCAAGCGGCGCGTTACCCAGGTAACCCTCGTGGACGCTGAGGCGCGCGGCTGTTGGCTGGAGCCAGCCTCTAGTCGCTCTGACAGGCTTCTGGTTTTCTGGTCCTCTGGTCTTTCTAGGCGGGACCGAATGAGGTGAGGCAGCCCAGGCCACAGGGTGCGCCACCATCGTCTGGTATTTTGATGCCAAAGAACGGGCAGCCAGACGAGCATCAGCGTCAGGGCGGAGAGGCGCTTGTGCCCCGGAGCCAGGATGCAGCGCCTGGGGAGAGTCATTGCCTCCTGCCGGCATCCCAAGCCCGCCCGCTTCTCCGGCCTAGAATGCGGGGTGAGTCTCCAATCCGTTTGGCCGTGGCACCTTTTCCACCACTGGGCCGCCGCTGCTTGGGCTGGGTGAAAGGTGCCGAGAGGAGCATGGGTGTGGAAGTCCTGTCAGCTAAGAAATAAAAGTTTACCTCAGGGCTCCAAGACAAAAAAACTTACATTACTCACTTCAAACATGTGCAGTTTATCTGCAGTGTGCAATTATACCACAATTAAGTTGATTAAAAAAACAATAGGTAGGATACTATTTTTAGGACCTAGATCTAGTTGGGATCTTGAAAGTAATACATAAAACACAAGCTATGAAAGAAAAAACATTTCTAAAGAATCTTTTTCTTCAAAAGACACCACGGATGAGGTAAAAGGCAAGTCCAGGCTGGGCACGGTGACTCACACCTGTAATCCCAGCACTTTGGAAGACCAAGGCGGGCGGATCACTTGAGGTCAGGAGTTTAAGACCAGCGTGGCCAACATGGCGAAACCCCATCTCTACTAAAAATAGAAAAATTAGCCAGGCGTGGTATCGCGCGCCTGTAACCCCAGTTACTCAGGAGGCTGAGGCAGAATCCCTTGAACCTGGGAGGCGGAGGTTGTAGTGAGCCAAGATGGCACCATTGCACTCCAGCCTCCCATAATAGGTGCATCCAAAATGATGGTGTGGCTCTGCCTCCGCTACCTCCCAGAAGAGAATAGGGTGCTGCCCGCAACACTGGGTAACTGGAGTGGGAGGGAGCTTGGGCCAGAAGGGAGCAGTATCTCCACACACTTGCAACTTACTTCCTCCCCATCAAGGCCCTTGGTGAATAGCTCTGTATTGAGAGGCCTCCTTTATTTCTTGACTCCTTCTGAACATTACAGGCTATATTGCCCCTTATGATGCAAAACCTTGAACCTACGGTCTGTTGGCTCTACCTTTAAAGTATCAGCATGTCCGCAATCCAGCCACTGATCACCAATCTGATCCGAGCGGCTATCATCTTCCACCTAATTACTACATTGGTTTCACACATGACTCTACTGCTTTCCTTGGTTACTCTCCATACAGAGGCTAGAGCTCATCAATGCTCTACTCAGAACCCTGCCAGAGCCCTCATGATGCCTTCAACTTTCTCTACCATCTGGCCCCCTTATTGCCTCTATGACCACTGTTGTTCCCGCAGCTGACTAGGCAGGCCCTCACACCAGGGCTTTTGTTCTAGCTCTTCCCTCCGATGTCTGCATCTCTTATTTTTATTTATTTATTTATTTAGACGGAGTCTTGCTCTGTTGCCTAGGCTAGAGTGCAGTGGCGCGATCTCGGCTCACTGCAAGCTCCGTCTCCCAGGTTCACGCCATTCTCCTGCCTCAGCCTCCCGAGTAGCTGGGACTACAGGAGCCCGTCACCACGCCTGGCTAATTTTTTGGATTTTAGTAGAGATGGGGTTTCACCATGTTAGCCAAGATGGTCTTGATCTCCTGACCTTGTGATCCGCCCGCCTTGGCCTCCCAAAGTGCTGGGATTACAGGCGTGAGGCACCGCGCCCAGCCATCTGCATCCCTTCTTTCCAGTCCTTGTTCAGATGTCACCTCAATGAGGTGACTCTGACTCACTCTTAGCACCCAATTTTATACGGCAACTTGCCCTTCCCATCTGGGCACTACATCACCTACTCTTTTTTCTTTCTTCCAAAGTTGTTGCCTTCTAACTACTCTTTAATTTACTTATGTTTATTGTTTATCTCGTGCTTCCGTAAGTGCAGTGTTTGTTTTTTTTCACTTTAGGGTCTGGCACAGAGCAGGTGCTTCATAAATGTTTGCTGATGATTGAGTGATGTATGATCCTTCTCTTGGGAAAGTCATTTCCTCCGCTGGTTTCCAGAGGATGAAGCACTTCTTGAGAGGCCTTCATCTTGCTGCTGTCTCCAGGGAAGGGGCAATTCTAAGGCAAAAACCCTCTCTCACTGGTCTCACTTGTCCCCCACCAGGGGGCAACAGCTTCATAGCCTCTCACTACTGGGCTGAGAAGTGGAAGCCTAAGGGAGCACCTTCCTCTCTGTTCCCTAGTGCTTCCAAATTCCCCAGTACCCAGTGACACCCAAGTGAGACAGTGGAGCTGGGCTTTTCTTCCAGCCTTCCTCTTCCTATTGCTTTTCTCCTCTTCTATTCCTCCTACCTTTTAATTCATCCAACCATTATCACGCAGGAGATACAGAAGCTGGGGCTACAAATGTGGAAGCAAAAGACACCCCCGTTTTTTCTTTCACATTTTAATTGAAAGACAGTGTAATGCCATTACAGTACACTAAGTATACAGCCTGATGATTTCTTAACACGCGTATACCTGTGTAACCACCACCCAGATCAAGATATAGAACATTTCCAGGCCCCAGAAGACTCCCTTGTACCTCTTTAGTCAATGCTGCCACCCCCAGAGGTAAGTACTTCTTTCATCATGGATTACTTGCCTGTTCTTGAACTTCATATAAATGGAATCATACAGTATTTATCACTATACCTGTGATAATGCAATATTGTTGTGTGGATATGTGGCTAATTATTATTTATTTATTTTTTTGAGACGGAGTTTTGCTCTTTTTGCCCATGCTGGAGTGCAATGGCGCAATCTCGGCTCAATGCAACCTCCACCTCCCGGGTTCAAGTGATTCTCCTGCCTCAGCCTCCCGAGTAGCTGGGATTACAGGCATGCGCCACCACCCCGGCTAATTTTGTATTTTAGTAGAGACGGGGGTTCTCCATGTTGGTCAGGCTGGTCTTGAACTCCCAACCTCAGGTGATCCACCTGCCTCAGCCTCCCAAAGTGCTGGGATTACAGGCATAAGCCACCGCGCCCAGCATGGCTAATTATTTTTATTGCTAAGTAGTAATCCATTAAATTGACGTATCAAAATTTCTTTATCCATTCTCTTGGTTACAGACATTTGGATTATCTCCTGGTTTGGACCGTCATAAATAATGCCACTGTGAGCATTCTTGTACATATCTTTTAGTGGACAGATGTTTGCCTTTCTTTTGAACAAACAGGAGTAGAATCTCTAGGTCATAGTACAGGTTTATGTATAATTTTATAAGAAATTGTCAAACTTTTTTCCAAAGTGACTGTACCACATTATACTCCCATCAGCAGGGTATGAGAATTCCAGTTGGCACCATGTCGTCCCATTTGATGCTGTATTTTTATTTTTGGTCATTCTAGAGGATGTGTAGTGGCAATGTCCTTTATTTTAGGATAAGAATCAGCAATAATAAGAAAAGAATCTATGTAGCAATTACCTTGCCCTTTGTTTATACAGAACAGTTCCAGCTCCTTTACTGGACTAAGATCGAAAACCCCAACTCTCATTGCATTTACCTTACCCCTTCCTATCTCGGGGGTTGTCTTAGTCCATTTGTGCTGCTGTAACAGAATAGCTGAGACTGCGTAATTTACAAAGAAATGTACTGCCTTACGGTCTGGAGGTTGGGAAGTCCAACATCAAGGTGCTCACATATTTGGCGATGATGAGTTCAAGATGGTGCCTTGGACACTGCATCCTCACCTGACAGAAGGTAAAGGGCAGGGTGGTGGAGGGTGGGGGTGGGGGGAGAGAAAGAAAGAGAGAGAGAGAAAGAGAATGCAAGCACATGCAGAATCTCTCCATGAACCTTTTACAATGGCATTGTTGACGAAGAGTCAAACTCTGTAAAATATTTGAAGAGATTTACTCTGAGCCAAATATGGTGACCAGTGGCCCCTGACGCAGCTCTCAGGAGATCCTGAGGACATGCCCAGGGTGGTTAGGGTTCAGCTTGCTTTTATACATCTTAGGGAGACATGAGACATCAATCAATACATATAAGATGTATACTGGTACAGAAAGTTTCCAGGTTATAGGCAGATTTAAAGATTTCTGATTGCCAATTGATTTAAAGAGTTATTGTCAATAGAAAGGAATGTCTGGGGTTGTGGAACTCAAGGTTTTACCAAGCAGATGAAACCTCCGGAGATAACAGACTGTAAATGTTTCTTATCAGACTTAAAGAGTCTGTTCTATCACTAATTCTAGAAGGGAGGAGGGTATAATGAGGCAAGTCCAGCTTCTGCTTCCCATCATGGCCCGAACTCATTTTTCAAATTAACTTTGGAATGCCCTTGGCTGAGAGGAGGGGTCTATTCATATGGTTGGGGGGTGGGGGGCTTAGAATTTTATTTTTTGGTTTACAACATTAATCCATTCATGACAGCAGAGCCTTATGACCTCCATAAATCCCATTAGACCCTGCCTCCCAACACTACTGCACTGGGGAGTAAGTTTCAACATGAATTTTGGAGAGGATAAAAACATTCAAATCATAGCAGGGGTGTTTTTCTTCATCTGGTTTCCTGACACCTTTAGGTCAAAGGTATCTCTCTCATTTGAGTTCCCTCTCAAAAGTGAACAGAGCTACCTCATCTCTCTTTAGAATATGAATTCTAGTCTTATTTTATATGAACATTGAGGTTTGTGTAGCAGGTATTTGGTGATTGCATATCTTAAAACTTGGCTTCTGTACTGTATGAGACTATCAGTTACGATACGAAGAAAATAAAAAGAGAGTAATACAATTGAGAATTAGGGAGATGAGTCACAGCTGGCTGTTACCAGGATGTGACATCTGTGCTGTGATCTGGATGAAAAAAAGAAAACCCTGGGGCTGTACAAGGAAGAAGATTCCAGGAAGAGGAAACAATACGTACAAAGGCCCTGAAGCAGGAATGGACTTACCCTGTTTGAGGAGTGGCTGGGGTCCAGAAATGGGCAGGAATGACAGGAGATGAGCTTGAGGGACTGAGGTGGGGTGTGGGATAGGACAGAGGCCAGTCCTGCTGAGTTTTCTAAGCTGTGAGCTGGAATTTGGATTTTACTTTAATTACTTGGGAAGCCAGTGCAGAATGTGAGGCAAGGACCTGATGTGAGATCCTAAAAGTGCCCTTGGCTGCCTGCTGGAGGATGAGCTGTAGGGGGCTGGAGTGGAAGTGGAGAGACACTCTCTTCTTACTTCTGTCACTCTTCCTTCTCCAGCCTCTCTTTCTCTGCTTGATCCTGAGATGGAAATTGTGGCTGTACCATCCATAGATTGCTTTCCTCTCAGTGCCCACTCTGACTGGGTTCACCTTCCTGCCAGCTGGGGCCTGTCCCAACACCTTGCCCCTTCCACCTTACCTCTCTCATGGTCCTCTCCCTCGAATTCAGCCTGTCCTACTTGAAATTTTCCTCTCCCTTGAATTCAGCCTGTCCTACTTGAACTTTTCCTCTCCCTCTGAAAGGGCTACTCCCCTTTGCCCACCCACAGTGAGTGCCAACACCACCCAACAACAAAAGCCCAACCCACAGGCCAGCTTTTTAAAATGATCCTCCATTACTAGTGGAAATATCTTCAAAATCTCTCTTGCCCACTGCTCACTCAAGTCTAGCTTCCTAAATGGCCATGCTTTCTTTGGTATCACCACCTACAGTCCCTCAGTCCCTTTTTTTGAGACAGAGTCTTGCCCTGCTGCCCAGGCTGGAGTGCAATGGCTTGATCTCGGCTTACTGTAGCCTCCGCTTCCCGGGTTCAAGCGATTCTCCTGCCTCAGCCTCCCAAGTAGCTGGGTACAGGTGCCCTCCACCAAGCCCGGCTAATTTTTGGTATTTTTAGTAGAGACGAGGTTTTATCATGTTGCCCAGACTGGTCTCGGAACTCCTGACCTCAGGCGATCCACCTGCCTTGGCCTCCCAAAGTGCTGGGATTACAGCTGTGAGCCACCGCGCCCGGCCCGTTTTTGTTTGTTTTAATGCCGGGTCTTGCTCTGTTGCCCAGGCTGAAGTGCAGTGGTGCGATCATAGCTCACTGCAACCTTGACCTCCCAGGCTCAAGCAATCCTTCCACCGCAACCTCCTAAGTAGCGGGGACTACAGGCGCGCGCCATCACACCGGGCTAATTTTTGTATTTTTTTTGTAGAGATGTGGTCTCGCTATGTTGCCCAGGGTGGTGTCGAACTCCTGAACTCAACTGATCCTCCCGCCACAGCTTCCCGAAGTGCTGGGACTACAGGAATGAGCCACCGCTCCCGAACCGCTCCATGCATATCGATAGAGGAAAACTCACAGGGTGCGTCGCTGGTAACCCATGCTCCCATAAAGCCTGGCCTCTGGAAAGAGACTTGGGAACGAGCCCTGACGTTCTCAGCCGTCGAGCTTCACAGAGAAGGGTAGCTCGAATTAGGTTCCTTATCTTAAAGAGAATAACAGCAGTCACTTTCTCACAATCTTGCGAACGCCAAATGGAAGGATCCCTCGAGAGCGCTGAGAACTCGCCGAGCTCCTCCCGGGAAACCCGGTACCACGAGGCGCCATTTTGCGGATGGGCAAACCGAGGCCCGCGGGGCCGCGACTTACCCAGGCCTTTTTGCAGTGGGAGGCGACGGTGGAGGAGGGTGGTCTGGGACCGGGACAACAAAGTCCATCCTGCCGCCGGCTTCGACGCAGGTGCCAGAAAGGTCCCAACCCCGCCCAGGCAGGGCGAGGCGGCGCGGCCCAGGAACCTGTCATGGCGGCGCCGCTGCCCGACGCCGGAAGTGCCCGCCTGGAACTACAGCTCCCAGCAGACCCCGCGGCGCGCTCCGGTCGACGCCGGGGAAGCAGCCGCCATTGTCCGCGGCTGAGGTGAGGCCTTTGCTCAGGCTGTGGGGCCGCCGTAGCTGCGGGGCTTGGGGGGTCAGGAGAGCCGGCTGGGAGAGGCGGCGTCAGGGTGGGTCCTGCGCCTGCCCTTTCCGCGCCGGCTTTGCGCCGTCGTTGCCGTCGGTTCTCCAGCCAGCAGCCTGCCTCCGGCCTCCCGCCTCCGGGCGTTCTTCGTTTTCTGGTCGGACGGGCCTGGGTGAACTCTGCTGCACGTCGGCTCCGCGGGCCTTTGTCCCCGAGGCCGCGCCGGGAGCTCCCAAGCGCACTCCTGGGCCGGACCTCGGCGCGGGACAAAAGCCAAACGCCCCAGGCGGGCAGACCCCGATCCTGCTGCGCCGCCTTCAAGGGGGACCGCCGGCCGCGAGCCAGGTGAGGCCGGGACGAGCTTTTGCAGCGTCGCGGCCGCGTCGGTCTTGAGGAGGAAATTTGGGTCGGGAGCTCTGGAAGCAGGTGATAAGGATGCTTCTGAGGCCATTGATGGGACGAATAACCCCGTTCGTTCCCCAGCCGTCGTTTCTCCCCCTGCCAGTTCACACAAAGCACTGTGAAGGACGTCAGACCTGGGTTGGAAACAGCTCCGGGTTCCCTTAAACATGCAGTGACGGCGGCGGTCACTGTCAAGTTGCAAATAATGGTGCAAAGTACGGTTTGCATTCTGCGTTTTCGCGCTGATTCCGGTGCTCCTGAGGCCCACTGTGTGTTCTAGTGCTTTATACACATACCCAGGAATCCATTCGAGAGGTTGCTGACTTGTACAAAGATCTGGAACCTGAGGAGTTAGGGGTCTGGGCGCCAGGCCCATCTCTAAGTCCTCCACACACACACAAGCTTAGGCTTAGTAAATCTTGGAGGTGAATTTTTTTTGGAGGTGGGATTAAATTTGCATAACATAATGTTCACTTTAAGCACTTAAAAGTGTGCAATTCACCGGTTTTATTGTATATTAATAAAGTTGTGCAATCATCCCCATTATCTAATTTTAGAACATTTCATCACCCCACAAAGAAACCCTTGTTCCCCTTAAGCAGTCACTCCCCATTTCATTTTTCCCCCAGCTCTAGGCAACCACTAATATATGAGGATTGCAAGTTGATTTTACAATAATTGTCAGATTAATCCAAAAGTTCCATCTGTGTTGTGACTGGCTGTCTCTTGGGAATAGCTGACAAATTTGTACCCTCTCATTCAGGATCATGCTCTTTTTTCCAGCTTATGCAAATTACCTTTCATTTCTCTCCAGGAATTGTGTTACTTTTTTGACATGTAAATTCTCTTTTCTTACGATGCTCCTTACAAGTTTTTTTGTTGCTTCGGTGGATGGATTCCCTTCTTTGTTCCCACTTGGTCTTCTGTGAGAAAGGACTAGTTTTGTCTTTTTTCACTTTTGTCACTAGGTTGGGATTTGCTGTGTTCCTGGGCAGGTGCCTGGTCAATCAGTCCTCGGGATGGCAGCCATCAACCCGTGGGCCTCCTGGGGTGAGTCCAAGTTGTGTTTCTCCTGGGCCTCCCCTATCATTAGCTGCTGCAGTCATGGGTCAGAGCTGGTGATGGGCTGAGGACTTTTGAGGATGGAAGGGGGTCTGTCTATCTTGGTACAAAATTAGAACTGATTGGTGGTAAAGGAGGAAAATTGTTGGCATAAAAGACACTAACTTTTATGTTTTATAGTCATCTCCTGAGAGGTGTCATTAGTTTTAAGGGATTTTTCTGGTGGTTTGTGGGGTTTCCTAAACAACAGTGATACATATAATAAAATATTGTCTCTACTGCTCTCATATATATTTTTACCTTTATTGTTTTTACTTATATAGCATTGGTTGGTAATTTTAAAACGGTGTTAATTAATAGTGACTCACCTGTGCATTGCCTGTGTGAATCCAGCTTATGTTGCATTTTTTTTACACACCCTTGGGCTCTGTTTATGGAATTTTGTAGTGCCCATTAGCGAGTCAGCCTCCTCTTGTATTTTGTCGCCTTGAATCACTAGGTTTGGTGTCACAGTCCTAACCTGATCCTTCTGTGCAGGTGCCCTTACGGACCAATCTTGGGGGATGACAGCTGTTGACCCATGGGCCTCCTGGGGTGAGTCAAGAGCCTGGTCAGCTGTGGGCTGCCATATTGTGGCCTCTGGCTGTAGTGCTCTGCCACAGCTGGGGAATAGAATGGGGACCAGGTGGGGCTTTAGGGCAGGTGGTCCAGATCTGTCTCTGTGCAGAGCTGGAACAAGGAGGAATCAGAAAACTAGTGGCCAGGCGTGGTGACTCACGCCTACAGCACTTTGGGAGGCCGAGGCGAGTGGATCACGAGGTCAGGAGATCGAGACCATCCTGGCTAACACGGTGAAACCCCGTCTCTACTAAAACAAAATACAAAAAATTAGCTGGGCGTGGTGGTGGGCGCCTGTAGTCCCAGCTGCTCGGGAGGCTGAGGCAGGAGAATGGCGTGAAGCCAGGAGGCGGAGCGTGCAGTGAGCCAAGATCGTGCCACTGCACTCCAGCCTGGGCGACAGAGCGAGACTCAGTCTCAAAAAAAAAAAGAAAACCAGTGAGCAGTAAGGTGATGGTGACATCTCAAGATGCATGAGAATTCATGTGTGGCCGTTTAGGGTTCAGGCCCAGGAAGGTTGTGACCAGACACTGCTTCTCAGAGATGGTACCCAATAGCACAGGGGGGGCCAATGAGAGATTCATGTGTTTAGGTACTTTCCTAACCTTCTCTGAGCCCTAATTCCTTCATCTATAGAATGAGGAAGTGGGTCTCTTTCCTCATTCAAGGGGGAGGGGCAGGGGCTGGTTCTCAGCCCCCCAGAAGAAAAGGTGAGCTCCTGGCAGCGAGAGCTGCCTCCATGACTTTTTTCTCGTTTCCTAGCTCTGTGTCCTCAGTATCCTGCCTGGCACGTGGAGGGAAGCCTGGAGGAGGGGAGGAGGGCCACTGGGCTCCCAGCAGCCCAGGTTCAGGTGAGATGGGGCTGTCCTGTTCCCAGAGGATGATGTCCAGGTTATCCCTGGTCATCCCAGTTGATGCGGCTCTCCAGTTTACAACAGTTGGAGTTTGGGTAGGGAAGGAAGCAACTGGAAGTTAATCCTTCCTGAGAGCAGGTAGGGAGAATTAGGCCGTTTTTAGTGATTCGGAGCCTTAGTGTCAACCAGTCTGTCCACAGTACTGAGCTCCAACTCTCCCTGGCTTGTTGTGGGGCATGAAGGGCAGCCCTTTTGGCTGGCAGCCCCACTTCTCTATTGCCACCTTCACTCATGTCTTTAGCACCCGATTTAGGCTGATGCTGTGCAGTGCCTGCTGTGCCTGCTGTGAAGGGAACAAGGACAGGTGTGAGCCTTCACCCTGAGGAGCTCCCAGACCCTTTTCCAGGGTTATTCACTCAGCTAAGGAGATCTCACGGCCTACCTGGAGCCACACGTGCAGTGTGGGACAGGAGAAACCTGAGACGGGTAGGGTAGGCCTGCAGGAGCACAGTCACCTGATGAGTCGGGAGATGGGACAGAGTCTGTGTGGAGCTCAGCTTTTACTGTGGAGGGGAAGGCTGCTTCGTAGACCTGGGCCAAGAGGTGAAAAGAATGCATCAGCCAGTTGGGCACAGCCTGGTGAGTGGGGGTCTGGCCTCCTGCAGCACCACAGGGGTCAGGGGTGGCAGGCAGCACACTGTGTGACCAGTGTTTGAGTGAGACTGACTCCAGTTAGATTTTAGGCTGGAGAGGCCAGGCCCTGAATGCTTGCTGCAGAACCTCAGAAGTCTTGGGATCAGGCGGCACCAGGGTCCAAAATGTGGTGATGGGTGTGGAAAGAAGAGGGCTGTGGGAAGCAGGCTGGTGTTTCAGGCTTCAGTCTGACCAGGGCCTTGGAGCTATGGAGGAGAGGTATAAGGAAATCAAAGCAGGGGCCTTTGTGATTATGGGGACAGGGTGGCTCCTGAGAGAAATAGGACAATGGAGTTACTTAGGAAAGGTGTCATCTCTCTGCCGTCCTCCTGCCCAGCCTCCTCACCAGATGCAGCCACTTAAAAAAATTTTTATAATAGCTTTATTGAGATGGTACTGACATATTATAAAGTTTATCCTTTTAAAGTGTGTAATTCAGTGGTTTCTCGTATAGTCACAGAATTGTGCAACAATCACCAGTATCTAATTCTAGAACATTTTCATCACCCTAAAAAGAAATCCTGTACCCATTAGTAGTCACTCCCTGTTTCCCCTACTCCCTCCCAACCACTAGTGTACTTTCTGTCTCTATGAATTTGCCTAGTCTGGACATTTCATAAAAATGGAATCATAATATGGCACAGCCTTTTTTGTCTGGCTTTTTTCACTTAGCATAATGTTTGCCTTCTCAAGAGTTACCCATATTGTAGCATTGTGTCAATATTTCTTTTAATGTAATGTAATTACAATGTAAATGTAATAAGTGTAATTACAATGTAATTACATTGTAAAAAATGACTGAGGCAGCCATTTTTAACTTCCTGTTTTCAGTTTTTTAGAGTTGTCTCTGTATTTCTAAATGGGAGATTTTTTAAATTGGTTTTTTCCTAATTCATTAAAGTTATATTTACTCTGTTAACTCCCTGCTATGAAAGATGAAGAAAAAGAGTTTCATTACTTATTTTTAGGTCTTTTATTTTTAAGTTAAGATAATGAATCAAGCAGATGTGAGATACTTGGATATAAAACAAGATTTAAAAATGATGTCTCTACTTTGTGCCTCCCCCTCAAATTAAAAAATATTATTGAAACCGCCCACAGTTTCAAATCTGGTGGGTGAAGTCCATCATAAGTATGCTGTTCCCACTTGGCAGTGTTGCTATCCCTGGTCCAGGTGAGATGGGAAGCAGAAGGGCCTGAACCATATGATGCAAGGTGATTGTTGCCTGGCATCAGAACTTGGGCAACTATGAGGTTTGCTGCTCTTACAATGTACAGTCATTATTAAATCCTAAGACAGAATAATCAGTAGTGAAGCTAGACTAGCCTGAAAGATGGCCCCTGAATCAGACTCTGAGGAGTAGAAGTTAGCTGTAATAAAACACTGCGAAGAAGCCCTGTTAACCACCATGCTACACTCTGCTGTTAATTTATGCTAGGCTTTCTGAGAATTATCTAAGTTAATGCTGAGAAAATAAAACAGAATTAAAAATAACAACACCCTCCAATGTCTGAAGAGTTGTGATTTCTGATAACATGCTCCTGGCTGGCCCCCCTCCCCACACTCTGGATTTTTTCCTGTGGGAAACTCGGATTTGACTGCTGTGTGTTTTTAACTAAGTGAGATCTTCAGGAATGCAAAAGAACCCTGTGTCCCTTTATTGTTCCCTCCAAGTTAAGTATTTATTGAAATAAAGCATTTATCTGGTGAAAACATCAAATGCTGTCATCCCTCATTATCTGAATAGTCCATTCATGGAAGTATGTTGAATAGTGAGGTTTTAACTACAGAAGCCCAGATCCCGTTATTTCTAGGAATAGGGGAAAATAATAATTGTAATGATAATATCTCATTTCATCTAAAAAACCCCAACCAGCCTTTCCAAATACGGAAGCATTCAAACCCCTCTGTTAACAGTCCACCTAGGATATCTGCATAACAAACATTATGTACATAAAACACCAATAATAGTCTGCACCCATGCTTGGTCAGACTTGAGGATGTGCACAATCTATTTATGTTTTCCTTCTCTGCAATGAAATCTACCACAGAAGCCATCTGAATTGCCCCAGGTTCCTTGAAGGGGGAGCAGTTGGGCAAGATCTGTCAGCAAACATCTGAGACCCAGCTCAGCACCTTTGGTCTCTCCTTCAGACTCTCAAAGGGTTTAAATGTGTGGCTGGTTTGTTAGCAGATTCCATGAAGTGCTTAGAATGCCTAGATAAATGCTTATATGTGTGTACAAAGTGATGTGTGCAAGAATGTTTATGAGAATTTGGGTGAAACACTTTTGCAAGTCATCCTAGGATGTGATTGGAAAATACAAATGCAGCTCATGAGGGTGACCTGTGGACCAGAAGGGTTTGCTCCTCCCTGTAGCAGTACTCTTCTCTCTTTAGCACCCTTTCCCCTTAGCATCAGGCAACAGTGAAACCTGCATTTCCTCTCCTACCCTTGAAGGGTCCCTCTCATCTCCACAGCCTGTGAGACTAGGTTCCTGTCTTCCACCATCTCTTCCTTCTGGCCTTTTGGTTTTGCATTTTCCTTTGCAATTCTAGGCTGAAGGTGTTTACTGTGTCCCCTTACCAGCCATTTATTTATTTTTATTTTTGAGGCAGAGTCTCATTGCGTTGTCCATACTGGAGTGCAGTGGGACGATCTTGGCTTGATGCAGCCTCCCCTCCCGGGTTCAAGGGATTCTCATGCCTCAACCTCCCGAGTAGCTGAGATTACAGGTGTGTGCCACCACACTGGCTAATTTTTGTATTTTTAATCGAGACAGGGTTTCACCATGTTGGTCAGACTGGCCTCAAACTTCTGACCTCAGGTGATTTGCCTGCCTTGCCCTCTCAAAATGCTGGGATTACAGGCGTGAGCCATTGTGCCCAGTCCCCTTACCATCCTTGAGGTGAGGCCTCCATGATTTGTGGGCCCAGACATGGTTACATATTCAGCTGGGGGCAGCTCTTTTTTTCTTCCTGTTTTTTAGCCCATGGGGCTTACAGTTTGAAAATGTCCCCTTTTTCATTTCTAAATTTTTAAAAATTTATTTTAGTTTTAATTTTGGCACATTTCATAATTACAGAGAAGTGTAAAAAGGAAGCAAATGGCATCACCATCAGTGAACAATATTACTGTTTTGTCGTATTTGTTGTTTTTCTTCTTTTACTCTTTGTCTTTCCACCATTTCTCAGGCAACCACTCATGGATTCAGTTTGTACACAGCTAATTCATTTTCATATGCATACATAGATGATAAACTATATAGACATAGACAGTCTTTTTCTTTTTTTTGAGACAGTCACACTGCATTGCCCATACTGGAGTGCAGTGGCATGATCTCAGCTCACTGCAGTCTCCGCCTCCCGGGTTCAAAGGATTCTTGTGCTTCAGCCTCCCAAGTAGCTAGGATTGCAGGCGTGTGCCACCATATCTGGCTAATTTTTGTATTTTTAGTAGAGGTGGGGTTTTGTCATATTGGGCAGGCTAGTCTCAAACTCCTGTCCTCAGTGATCTGCCTGCCTCAAAGTGCTGGGATTATAGGTGTGAGCCACTGCACCCAGCCCAACAATCTATTTTTTTTCCCAATGATTTTTTTCTATATGTAGTTTTCCTATAGTTTTCTTTTTTCAACTTTGAGGTCCATCCATGTTGATAGATACAGAGAAGTCAGGCTTGTTCCTTTTGCGCTGCCGAGTGTATCCATTAGAGAAGTGCACCTCTGTGTTCATAGTTTCTTTTATGGGCAGGTTTATAAGTTCCTCTTTCCCCCATTGTTTTTGCTGCTCCAGTGAAAGCTGTGTGAACATTCCTGTGACTTCACTTTGTGCACGTGTTTATGTAGTTTTTATCTAGGCATACCCCTAGAAGCAGAATTGTACCTGGTTTTAGGTATGTACTTTTTTTTTTTTTTTTTTTTTTGAGTCAGAGTCTCATTCTGTTGCCCAGGCTGCAGTGCAGTGGTGCCATCTCAGCTCACTGCAACCTTGCCTCGCGGGTTCAAGTGATTCTCCTGCCTCAGCCTCCCAAGTAGCTGGGAGTACAGGTGCATGCCACCACGCCCAGCTAATTTTTTTATTTTTAGTAGAGGCAGGGTTTCACCATGTTGGCCAGGATGGTCTCAATGGTCTCCATCTCTTGACCTCGTGATTCACCTGCCTCGGCCTCCCAAAGTGCTGAGATTACAGGCATGAGCCACCATGCCCGGCTAGGTATATACTTTCAGTGTTACTAGTGCTGCCGCATGTCTCTACAAGGGGGCGAAGCTACTTGTCAGTCTCCCCACTCTGGGAGAAAATACCCCTTTTCCTGCATGTTTGTCGACACTTGACATTATCAGGTCTTTTAAATGTTTGCTTACCTCAGGACCAGAAAGGTATATTGCATTCCTTTAATGTGCATCTTCTTGATTGCTAGTGAGCTTAAGTACCTTTTGATGTCTTTATTGGCCATCTGTATTTCCTTCTCTCTTTGTTTCTCTTCCCCCATCCCTAGATTTCTAGGGACTGACTTTAATATAGGTATTTCACATGCATTCTGAATCCTAATTCTTTATCACATATCAACTAACTCCTCCCAGTCTGTAGCTTGTCTTAACTGGTGGTGTCTTATCAGTCAGATATTTGAATGTTGGTATGTTTTTGTCAAATGTGTCTATCTTTGTTTATGGCTAGTGTTTCTGTGTGTCTTATTTTAAGAAGTCTTGTGTTATTTAAAAAGTAATAATTCCCTCTTGTCCTTTTCCTTTAGGTTCTCTTTCTGGGCTCTTCTGTTAGCTGCTGGACCTCCTGAACAAATTGCCGTGTCTCTGATCTCTCTATATTCCATGTCCTTTTCTTGGTGGGGGTTGGGGGCCTGATGATCATGTTCTCACCACAGCAGAACTCTCTAGGGCCTCCTGAACTAGTTGCTGTGTCTTCTGTTCTTTTCTTAGTCTGTGAAGGCTTTCCTATTCTCTCAGCCTCTCTTGTAGCATCCTGTCCCACTTTATACTGAAATCACTCTGGTCTGAGAATCTGAGAATAGGAATTAACAGGTCTTTGAAAGTTGAATGTGGCTGTTGTCTGGATTCTCTGGCCTTGTGGCTACTTAGTTCAGTCGCTTTATCTGTGCATCAGGTGTTTCTCATGTCCAGGAGACGTCTGGTCTGTGTGTGTTTCTCAGGGCAGGGCTGTGAGGCTGGAAGTCCTGTTCTACTTCAGCTGCATAGATCTGATTCATGATTGGTGCCTTCCACTCCGCTCTGTGCTCCTGGTGAGGCATGCCCTGGGTTTCGTGGGCCTGCATGGGCCAGGGTCAGCTGGTCAGTTCTGCTTCCAGTTTCATAGATATAGAGCTGTGAGGCCACAGACTCCCTTCTCTTCCCCACCTGGTGGGACTGAAGAGGTCTCCACTCACCTGGGCAGCCTGAGAACCTAGCCGCGGTCTCAAGTCTGAGGAGGCTCCTGGGACTTTTGCCCGTGTATAAGTACATGGCTGCTGGCAGTACTACCCACAGGCACTTGCAAAGCTGTGCGAGTGCAGACTTTCACCTGCCCTGTTTTCAGCCTGACTCACTCCTGCCTCTCCCAGAGTCCTCTTGCAGGAAGCACCTGCTTCACCGTGGTGCCTCCTAGTGTGGGGCTGGAATCGCTTCTAGTCTAGTTGGTCAGCCTTACCTTCATCTATCTGTTCTGCCTCTTGGAGGAATAAGTGGAATTCAAGGTGCTGACGCCCCCATTTTTTTTCACTGGCTGGGTTATTTCTTTAACGTTCTTTAAAAAAAAAGCCAACTGTTTATTTAGGAGATTTTTGAACCCCAAAGTAGAAGATGAACCCTGTATTAGTTTAGTTTTATGTCTTAGTTTAATGTTGCTATTGTAATAGACTACCACAGACTTTATAGCTTAGAACAACATGAATTTATTCTACTGTTCTGCAGCTCAGAAGTCTAAAATGGGTCTGCAGGGCTGTGTTTCTTCTGGAGGCTCAAGGGGAGACTGCTTCCTGACTCATGCCCTGTCCTCCATCTGCAAAGTACATCACTCTGACCCCTGCTTGCGTCATATCTCCTGTGACTCTGACTCCTGCCTCCCTCTCTCACTGATAAGGACTTTGGTGATTACACTGGGCCACCTGGATAATCCAGGGTAATCCCTCTAAAGATTCTTAATTATATCTGTAAAGTTCCTTTTATCATTAAGATAACAGTCACAGGTTCTAGGATTAGGACATGGGCATCCTTTGGGGGGTGTTATTCAGCCTGCTGCAAGCACCCATGTTGACCAGCTTCAGCAGCTGTCAGCTTTCCACTTTCTGCATTTCTTTTCATCTATTCCAACACAACCTTTTTTAAACTGGAGGATTTGAAAGCAAATCTCAGAATTGTATCATTTCACCTGTGAGTGTTTCTGTGTATCTAAGAGATATGTACCCTTAAGGAAGAAACCACAATACCTTTATCATACTCAGCAAATTACCAATAATTCCTCAATGTCACCTGATATCCAGTTCATATTGTTTTCTCTATGTGTCTCTAAAATATGTTTTTACAGTTGTTGGTTTGTTCAAATCAGGATCCAAACAAGGCCCACACACTGCACATGCTTCATATGCTGAAGAAACTAGGTCACTGGTCTTGTTGGTTTGCCTGATTTTTGCCTTCATGATGTCATTGAATAAGTTCCTCCATCCCCTCGTCTCCTGTTAGCTAGTATTTGGACTAGAGGCCTGAGTAGATTCATTTGGTATTTTTGATAAGAATACTTCATAGGTGGTGCTGGGTTCTTCATACTGCATTGCATCAGTGGGCACATGGTGTCTGGTTGTCCCATCTTCAGGTATGATGGGTTAGTGGGTGCAGGTATTGTCAGACTGACCCCTCCATTATAAAGCTCCCTGTCTGCCTTTCACCTGCAGCTGAGCAGTCATTGATGGTCATTGCCACTGTCCACTGTTTTATTAGGGACTGCAGAACTGCTCCAATGATTTCATTCCTCTTGTGTTTATTAGATGTAATTCCTCTATTTTTGAACATATAATGATTCCATTGGGGTCTTGGGAGGGGTGGGAAGTGAATTTGTGGCTTAGTCTACCAGCTGGTCAGCCATTAGGGTGTGGGTTTGCACCTTGTTAAGTGTAGGTGAACATTGAAGCCATCTAAGAAGGTGCCACCCCAGGGAGGTTAGGATGTGTAAGACAAGCACAGGGTCAGAGGCACCCTGGGCCATCAGCACAGCTGCCTAGCTGGTTCCCCAGGTGCCATTGCTCTGTGAAAGTGCATCAAGCATAGGTTTTGTGCACTTCTGTGGCCATATTACATTTATTTATTTATTTATTTATTTATTTATTTTGAGACAGAGTTTCACTCTGTCGCCCAGGCTGGAGTGCAGTAGTGCGATCTTGGCTCACTGCAACGTTTGCCTCCCAGGTTCAAGAGATTCTCATTCCTCAGCCTCACGAGTAGCTGGGATTATAGGCGTGCACCACCATGCCCAGCTAATTTTTGTACTTTTAGTAGAGACGGGTTTTCATCATCTTGGCCAGGCTGGTATCGAACTCCTGACCTCCCAAAGTGTTGGGATTACAGGCATGAGCCACCACTCCCAACTCCATGTTACATTTAAATAAAAAAACCTTACATTACCATAAAATGTAGAAACAGTAGTCATCAAGCATACTGAGGTCTGGGCAGTCTGTAAGAGGAAAACCAAGAAGTTGTCATTGACCATGGGGGTTGGGGAGTGTTTCATAGAGGGAGGTTGTGGCCAGCACTTCCAAATGCTGCATAGGCCAAGAAGGTAAAGGCAGAAATCAAACTTTGGACTTGACAATCACAAGACATTGGGGAGATCTTGGTGAGAGCTTGGTAAAAATAAGAATCATATAATTGTTGCTCCAAGATCCTTCAATATAGATCAGCAAAAATGATAAATATAAAGAAAAAATTTCCAATACCAAGGAACAGGAAAACGGATAATAAAGGCAGAGGAGGAACTGCACTGGGGTAAGGCTGGAAGACAAGGAAGGAGAGAAGGCGAGGGTGCACTGTACCTTGCAGGAGGAGATGGACTGTCAGAAGCAGTGGGACGAGGGTGCAGGAGGCGTCTCTACATGGGGTGTGAGGCTGCAGGAGGGATGATTCTGTGTCTTCGAGGTTGTGAGACACAGAGATGAGGTTCAGCCGTGGAAAAGAGGATGGACAGTCCTTGTCATGGGGCACAGTAAGGCTGAGCCTGGGGGGTCTTGAGCAGGAGTTGACTTTTCAGGGTATGGTATTTATTGGAGCAGAAGCAGTTCTTTGTTTTAAGCCCATCATGTGAAGGTAGAGGGGAAGCAATTGAGACAGAGTAAAAATGGATACACTGAAAATTCAGCAGGGAGGTCTGGCCCAGATCAGAGACAGCAAACTCAGTTCATAAGCTGTGACTAAGAGGGCCACAGGAAACGCTGTATTTGGGTAGAAGTGATATGATGTAGCTGTGAAGAGGAGGGGCACAGGTCCAGAGGACCCTTGGAGTGGGAGCGGTATACTGCACACGTGTCTGTTGAGCGGGTGTCTTGCGGTTGATTTTTTTTTTTTTTTTTTTTTTTGAGACTGGGTTTTGCTCTACTGCCCAGTTTGGAGTGCAGTACTACGATCTCAGCTCCCTGCAGCCTCCACCTCCTGGGCCCAAGCTATCCTCCCACTTCTTCAGCTTTCCCAGTAGCTGGGACTACAGGTGTGCACCACCACACTTGGCCTGAGTTGATTTCTTTTTTTTTTTTTGAGACAGAGTCTTGCTTTGTCGCCCAGGCTGGATTGCAGTGGTGTGATCTCAGCTCACTGCCAGCTCCGCCTCCTGGGTTCACGCCATTCTCCTGCCTCAGCCTCCCGAGTAGCTGGGACAACAGGTGCCTGCTACCACGCCTGGCTAATTTTTTTGTATTTTTAGTAGAGATGATGTTTTACCGCGTGTTAGCCAGGATGGTCTCAATCTCCTGACCTTGTGATCCACCTGCCTTGGCCTCCCAAAGTGCTGGGATTACCGGCGTGAGCCACTGCGCCCGGCTCTTTTTTTTTTTTTTTTTTTTTTTTTTTTGAGATGGAGTCTCGCTCTGTCATCCAGGCTGGAGTGCAGTGGCACGATCTCGGCTCACTGCAAGCTCCGCCTCCCTGGTTCAAGCGATTCTCCTGCCTCAGCCTCCCAAGTAGCTGGGATTATAGGCGTGTGCCACTGCGCTGAGCTAATTTTTTTGTATTTTTAGTAGAGACGGGGTTTCACCATGTTGGCCAGGATGGTCTCATCTCCTGAGCTCGTGATCCGCCCACCTAGGACTCTCAAAGTGCTGGGATTACAGGTGTGAGTCACTGTGCCTGGCGAGTTGATTTCTTAAAAGGACTCGAAGCTGGGTGCAGTGGCTCATGCCTGTAATCCCAGCATTTTGGGAGGCCAAGGTGGGCGGATCACTTGAGATCAGGAGTTCGAGACCAGCCTGGCCAACATGGCAAAACCCTGTCTCTACTAAAAATACAAAAATTAGCCAGGCGGGGTGGTGCACGCCTATTGTCCCAGCTACTCGGGAGGCTGAGGCAGGAGGATCACTTGAACCTGGGAGGCAGAGGTTGTAGTGAGCTGAGATCACACCATGACATTCCAGCCTGGGCGACAGAGCGAGACTCTGTCTCGATAAAATAATTAAAAAATAATAATAAAAGGACTTGAGGGATGTATTCATTGGAAAAATCAGACTTAGATTACCTTTCCTTTTTCCTTCTCGTTTTCCAGTTAGTTTTCTTGCTTTCATTAAAAAAAAAAATCAGTTTAGATTGCTTGTAACTAATGTGCTTTTAATGGCAGCTGTAACCGATTCTCCTTGGCCTGGGCTGCTCTGGGGCATCCTGCTCACCCTTAGCTTCAGTCCTTGGGACAGAGATGAACTGAGAATGGAAACCTCCCCACCATGGCTGGAAAGACAACTTGTGAATGTACAGATCACCCTTTCAGGTCCTTTATCTGGGTGTCGGAGCAAAGACTCCATCCTCAAGGTCTCGCTTGTAGCCAGTGCTCATAGCCTGTTGCTGCACTGGTCCAGGCCTTTTTATATGACTGCCTTTCCAGAAGAGGGGTGTTGCCAAGGTGGGGGACATAGCCAGTGTGCTGGAATTTGGCAAGAGTCTTCGAAGAGACCTGCTCAGCTTTGCTGTGGTTATTGTGGACCCAGGTATCTAATTCCCTAAGAGTATATAACAAATATGAGGTCTTGGGTGGTTCTCAATGAGACCTGACTCACATTAGTCAGACTCTTGAATAACCAGGAGAGTTTCTCTACATCCTGTCTTCTCTCCCCAGGGCTGTCAGCCTCACTCCATCCCTGGAAATATTGGAGGGGGTGGTCACAGGCTGAGAAGGAACGTTTGTGTTCTTTTAGGAACCAGTGACCTTCAAGGACGTGGCCGTGGACTTCACCCAAGAAGAGTGGGGGCAGCTGGACCTTGTTCAGAGGACCCTGTACCGTGATGTGATGCTGGAGACCTATGGTCACCTGCTCTCTGTGGGTAAGGCAGGTGCTGCCCAAGTAAACGAAGCTGTTCCCATGGTAATGCCTTCAGCTGCTCCATGTTTAGAAGCTCATTGCAGGGGCGAGGGTGGTGTCTCAGAAGAGCTGAGATGATCTTGGGCCCTGAGGTTCAGGGATGAAACTCCTAATGCTTAAAGAGCATGGAGTGGGAAGGACCTTGCATATTCTGCCCAGGTTGAGAAGTCACAGGGAGGAATAGGCAAGAGAAGCTTTCTTTGGCTGTCCTGAAGCCTCATGACATGATTTCCATGCTTTTCCTCCATGCATAGGAAATCAGATTGCCAAGCCTGAGGTCATCTCCCTGTTGGAGCAAGGAGAAGAGCCGTGGTCAGTGGAGCAGGCATGTCCTCAACGCACTTGTCCAGGTGAGGGCAGACCCCAGGCTGAACAAGGAACTTCCCCCCAAGCCCTCTTTGTTGAGAAATGGGATAAGGCCATGAAGAGTTACCTTCCTCAGATGCATTTAGAATTCCCTCTAAGGAGCTTTCTTCTCTTGCTGCTTTTGATTTAGAGCAAAGAAGCATCACCATCCTAATAAGGTAGCCATTTTCCCTCGCTGTCGGCTCTTGATGGCTCCTGTTTTCTGCGGTCCCTTCCTCTAAGGTTGCCTCTAAGGTTACCTCTTATCCATGTAGCTACTTCAAATATTTTCCTTATTTCCTGTATTGCCAAACTTGTAACCTATAGCTATAGATGCTTATTTCAAAAAAATAGTCTTTTTGGGCTTTTTAGTTTGTTTGTTTTGAAATAAAGTCTCGCTCTGTCGCCCAGGCTGGAGTGCAGTGGTGCGATCTCGGCTCACTGCAACCTCTGCCTCCCGGGTTCAAGCGATTCTCCCACCTCAGCCTCCTGAGTAGCTGGGATTACAGGCACCCGCCACCATGCCTGGCTAGTTTTTGTATTTTTAGTAGAGACGGGGTTTCACCATGTTGGCTGGGCTGGTCTCGAACTCCTGACCTCAAGTGATCCGCCCACCTCGGGCTCCCAAAGTGCTGGGATTACAGGCATGAGCCACCGTTCCCGGCTTGGGCTTTTGTTCTTTCTTACTTAGATCTTGTGGGTACCAAACAAAATAGATTTTTAAAATATAGGTAATGTTCAAATATCTGAAAGCTACTTAAAATGTATAAGCTAAAAAAAAAATCTCCTTTATTAAAAAACTTAGCTGGGCTTTATGGTGCATGTCTGTGGTCCTAGCTACTCAGGGGGCTGAGGTGAGGATTGCTTGAGCCTGGGATGTTGAGGCTGTAGTGAGCTGTGATTTCACCACTGCACTCCAGCCCGAGTGACAGAGCAAGACCCTGTCTGAAAAACACCACCAAAAATAACTCATTTTTACTCCCTGCTGTTACTCACATTACTGTTATTCCCCCAAAACACAGATACACAGAGGCATACACACAGGTAACTACTTTTCTTTTACTATAAAATCTTGAGTTATTTTCTTGGTAGTTGCCCTGGGGATTACAATTAAC
Source organism: Homo sapiens (assembly GCF_000001405.40). Classification (NCBI taxonomy): domain Eukaryota; kingdom Metazoa; phylum Chordata; class Mammalia; order Primates; family Hominidae; genus Homo; species Homo sapiens. The sequence continues at coordinate 57,987,096 of NC_000019.10, read as the reverse complement.
ATCTTTTGAGACAAGGTCTTGCTCTTCTGCCCAGGCTGGAGTGCAGTAGTACAATCTTGACTTACTGCAGCCTCTGCATTGCAAGCTTAGGCAGTCCTCCCACCTCAGCCTCCTAGGTAGCTGGGACTACAGCCATGCACCGTCATGCTCAGTTAATTAAAAAAAAATTTTTTTTTGTAGAGACAAGGTCTCACTATATTGCCCAGGCTAGTCTTGAACTCCTGTGCACAAGCAATCCTCCTGCCTTGGCCTCCCAAAGTGCTGAGATTATAGGTGTGAGCCACCACGCCTGGCCCTACAATTAACATCTTAATTTATGACAATGTAGTTTGGATTAATACTAGTGTAATATTAATAGTATACCAAAACTTTGTGTATAGCTCTGCCCTCCTCCTTTTATGCTGTTTTGTCACAAATTACATCTTTATACATTGTGTGTTCATGAATATGGATTTATAATTATTGCTTTATGCAGTTGTCTTTTAACAGACTGAAAAAAAGGAGCTAGAAACAAGAATTTTACTTATATTGTCTTTTTATACTTATGTAGCTATCTTTATTGCTGTTTTTTATTTTGAGTTACTGTTGAATGTTCTTTCATTTCAGCCTGAGGAACTCATTTTAGCATTTCCATTTTGTTTTTTGAGATAGAAAAGACACTCTGTTGCCCAGGCTGGAGTGCAGTGGCATGATCTTGGCTTACTGGAGTCTCAACCTTCTAGGCTCAAGTGATCCTCCCATCTCAGCCTCCTGAGTAGCTGGGACTATAGGTGCACACAACCACGCCTCACTGTGTTGCCTAGGCTGGTCTTAAACTCCTGAGCTCAAGTGATGCCCCTGCCTCAGCCTCTCAAAGTGCTGGGATTACAGGCGTGAGTCACTATCCCCAGCCAGCATTTCCTGTCGGACAGGTTTGCTAACAGTGAACTGTGGCGTTTTGTTTATCTGGAAATCTCTTGATTTCTCCTTCATTTTTGAAGGATAATTTTACTGGGTATAGAATTCTTGATTGTCATGTTTTTTTGTCTTTCTTTCTGGCCTGAGTCGTTTCTGAGAAACAAGCTGTTAATCTTATTGAAGATCCCTTGTACGTGATGAATTTCTTCTCTCTGCTTTCAGGATTCTCTCTTCGGCTTTTATTTTATTTTATTTATTTATTTATTGAGACAGACTCTTGCTCTGTCGCCCAGGCTGGAGTGCAGTGGCGCGATCTTGGCTCACTGCAGCCTCTGCCTCCTGGGTTCAAGCGATTGTCCTGCCTCAGCCTCCTGTGTAGCTAGGATTACAGGGGCCCGCCACCACGCCCAGCTAATTTTTTTTTTTTTGTATTTTTAGTAGAGGCAGGTTTCACCGTGTTAGCCAGGGTGGTCTCAATCTCTTGACCTCATGATCCACCCACCTCGCCCTCCCAAAGTGCTGGGATTACAGGCGTGAGCCACCACCCCTGGCCCTAGTTTAATTATTATGGGTATGCATGTAGCCTTCTAGGTTGGAGCTTCTCAGAGTCCCTATAGACATCTCATTCCTCAGCTCTTTCATTCTATCTTTTTGACTCGTGTGTTTTGGGCCCCACCTGTTTGCCATCACCTCAGGCAGTGGTGACTTTAAAACATTGCCTGTAAATGTTAGAAAAGTACCTCCTCCCTAGAGGTTTTGTAACACTATGAGAGTTCTCTGTCAGGCAAAATAAAGACCAGCTTTTCCAGTGGAGTCTTCCAGGGAGCCACTAGGCAGGTCTAGTAATGAGTGTTCTTTGAGAATGAGGCTTTGAAAAAGCTCCAGCTTTGTTCTGCTCACTGAAGTACCAGAAGTGGGGGCTGTCATTTTTCCAAGGCTGTTACTGAGCCAGAGATGGGACCGGGGTAAGTTAGAACACCATATAGCTTACTGTTCTTATTAAAATTTACTTTTCTAGAATACATGTTTTCCTGGTTGCTGCAAGGCTTTGGTTAATTTTGTTTTTTTGTGTTTTTGTTGTTGTTGTTGTTTTTGTTTTTGTTCTGAGATGGAGTCTCGCTCTGTCGCCCAGGCTCAAGTGCAGTGGCATGATCTCAGCTCACTGCAAGCTCCGCCTCCCAGGGTCACGCCATTCTGCTGCCTCAGCCCCCCTAGTAGGTGGGACTACAGGCGCCCGACACCACGCCTGGCTAATTTTTATGTATTTTTAGTAGAGTTGGGGTTTCACCATGTTAGCCAGGATGGTCTTGATCTCCTGACCTCGTGATCCGTCCGCCTCAGCCTCCCAAAGTGCTGGGATTACAGGCATGAGCCACTGCGCCTGGCCTAGGCTTTGGTTAATTTACAGAATTTTGAAAAATTGCCTTCTGACAGTTTTGCCAGTTTTTTAGTTGGTTTTACAGAGTGGTGAAATTTTACATGTCTTTACTTGGCCATTTTCACTGACATTCTGCCTCAGGTAATCACTTTTAGTAATTTCTGTTACATGCATAACAGAGTTTCTTTATGCAGCTACAAGCATGTAGGAATTTGTAGTTATTTTTCATGTTTTCAACAATAGGAGATTATACACATTGTCTTTATCTTATTATTTTTGGCAATGTGCCACAGCCTCTTCTTGAGTCCTGAAGTTGGATTATCTTCCACCCACTCTAATGGAGGGGACTTTTGTGGAGAATCTCTCCAGTTGTTTTCCATTCAGATTGGAAACTTTCCCCTAAGAGCTCATGAATTCCAGGAGCTTTAATTCTTCTACCTTCAGTGCTGCCCATTCTTAGTTACCATCCAGAGCCCTGCAATTCCAGCACCTCTGTCCTTACACTTCTCCCATTTTACAAAGCATCTCACCTGTCTCCTTGATCACAGCCGATAGAACCAGTAATCTTGTCTCTACTTTCTAGATGTTCTCCCATCTTCCTGAGGTGCATTTCTGCATGTCCCCTAAGCTGGAGATTGAGAAGTCATCTTGACTTCGAGCTCTTTCCTCTCCAAGAAGTAATCTCTCTTCTAACTCCCAAGATTTTCTTCCTCTGAAATGTTAGTTACGTCATTCAGCTTCCATCATCACTCTCACAGTCCGGCCCCTTTCTCGTAAAATTCCAGCCCAAGTTGATGAGGAAATTCTCACTTGTTATTAGCCACCTCAGGTACTATTTCTAGATTTATATCCCTGAAATCTTTGATTATGAGATCCCTGTCAGTAAACCTACAGTGATTCTAATTGCCTTGTAACAAAACAACTGGATTTCAAAACCTTCTATTTTTTCTATTGTTTCTCTCATTTCCTGAATAGCTCCTGGAGTTTTATTCAGCAGGTATCCTTATCTTCCTCCTCACACACTGGTCACGCCATGCATGCCTCTGCTCATGCTGAGTGACTAGTCAGTCTGTACCCAGGTCGTGCTTCAAGGCTGAGCTCATGTTGTTTCTCTTGTGTGAACCATCCTCGATCACTTCAGTTAGTGCTGATGTCCTTTTTTGATCTCCCACCCACTTAGCATCTGTTCTATAACCCCACCATCTCAGAGTGATATTTCTTTTTCTTTTCTTTTTTTTTTTTTGAGACGGAGTTTTGCCCTTGTTGCCCAGGCTGGAGTGCAATGGTGTGGTCTTGGCTCACTGCAACCTCCACCTCCCGGGTTCAAGCAATTCTCCTGTCTCAGCCTCCCGAGTAGCTGGCATTACAAGCGCCTGCCACTATGCCCGGCTAATTTTTTGTATTTTTTTAGTAGAGACGGGGTTTCACCATGCTGGCCAGGCTGGTCCTGAACTCCTGACCTCAGGTAATCCACCCGCCTCAGCTTCCCAAAGTGCTGGGATTACAGGCGTGAGCTACCATGCCCGACCTCAGAGTGATATTTCATGTATATTCATCACTGTTTGGTAGGATCTCTCTTCACATAGATTCTGACTTCCAGGGAGACCGTACTTTCTTGCCTTGTCTCTGGTGCTGGAAACTCAGTAGACTACAAGTACTGAGTGAGTATAAAGTTGGACAAGAACTGTTCATTTGGTCTTTCAGTTGGTCTTTCATTTGGTCAGGGAATTGGTCAGCTTCCATTTGTAAAAAGCTTTTACTGGAAGGATTTAAAAATCTATATGAAGATAATTCAGTAACTTTTAAGAGCTGAGCTTGAAATTGATAATAAATGCCAGTTGTGCAGAGTAGAACCTCTGTTATAATGGTCGTGGGGGCCAGGGATGGGGGTTCACATTTGTAATCCCAGTGCTTTGGGAGGCCAAGGTGGGAGGATTATTTGAGCCCAGGAATTTGAGACCATCCTGGGCAACATGGCGGGACCCTGTCACTATAAAAAATTTAAAAACATTTAGCCAGGCATGGTTGTATATACAGGATTCATGCCTGTAGTCCTGTTACTCGGAAGGCTGAGGTGGGAGGATTGCCTGAGCCCAGTAATTTGAGATTACAGTGAGCTATGACGGTACCACTGCACTCCTGCCTGAGTGAGACCCTGTCTCAAAAAAATTAAACAAAAAATAATGGACTTGGGTGGTAAAAGGGGGGAAATTACATATAGTAAAGAGAAAAAAAGAAGCAGAGAGAGAGGGCAAGGTCTAGTTCTTGTTGGGACCTGCCTGGGGCTTTAGACCCTGTAGCAATCTGGATAATGACTTCCCCCACAAAGATATCTGCATCCTAATCTCCAGAATTTGTGAATGGGGCACCTTGTATGGCAAAAGGGACCTTCAGATGAGAGTAAATTAAGGATCTTGCTGTGGGGAGATTATCCTGGATTGTCTGAGTGGATTCTAAATGTACTCACAAGGGTCCTTTTATAAGATTGTGGTGGGAGGGTCAGAGACATGGGAGAGGATGTGATGACAGAAGCAGAGGTTGGAGTGATGAGCTTTGCAGATGGAGGAAGGAGCTGCGAGCCAAGGAATTGGGGCAGCTTCTAGAAGATGGAAAGGGCAAGGATATGGTGGATTCCTTAGAGCTTCTGGAGGGAGCACAACCCGGCCAATAACTCCATTTTAGCCCAGTGAAAGCCGTTTTGGACTTCTGACTTCCAGAACGGAAAGATCATAAATTTGTGTTACCTTAAGTTACTAAATGTGTGGTAATTTGTTACAATAGCAGAAAGAAACTAATATAGCCTCCTTTGGTTGTTAGAGGATTGATACTTAAGCAGTGATAATAGGCAGTTCCTGTGTATTAAACTTGCCAGGAGTTTGGCTGGATTCTGAGTCTCGACTTTAGTCATCAGAAAAGCTCTCTAAGGATAGCAGCAGGGCCATTGTTCACATACAGATTAGCAGACTGTAACTCCTGTGTCTGTTTTTTCACACTATGCTGTCTTCCTAGTCCATCTATCATTGCTCTAAAAATATTCTGTGGTGGATAGAAGTGTAACTTTAGGGGTATCCATAAACTCTGGTGATGTTTGCCCTTTGGGTTGGTGGATCTTGTGTGATTGACTGGATTCTGTGACATAGGAAACAAAGCATTTTGTCATAGATAACATCCTGGCTTGAAGCCTCGCTTGGTGATACTCTCTAAACACCCCTCTCCTCCTTTTTTCTGCACTTGTCAAGATATGGGAGTAGAAGGACATTATAACACAGAAGTGAGAGCACTCATGATGTAAATATTACTTGCTAAAGGCCTTGTGTGCTCATCTACCTAACTTTTGTTAAGATGAAAGGCTTTATTCTTTTTTTTTCTTTTTTAACCTTAATAACATTCACTGGGTCCTTTTGTCAGGGGTCTTCAAGACCACCTCCAGGTTCACTGATTCACTATGAGTACTTATAGGACTCAAAAGTCATTATACTCAGGATTATGGTGTATTACAGTGAAAGGATACAAAGCAACATCAGCAAAGGAAAAAGGTGCATGAGGTTAGACCAGGTGCAAGCTTCCAGTAGCGTACATGGGGCACACTTAATTCCTCAAGCAAGGAGTTGTGACAACACGTGCGAAATTTCTACTAGGAAACTTGCCTGAGTCTAGGAGTCCAGTGTGTTTATTGAGAGGTTGCTCATCCAGGCACACAGTGCCTGCGTGACTCACTGCCATCGCTGAAACTCCAGACCACCCTGAGGGAAAGCAGGTGATCACTATGAATGACATTGTTTGCACACATATCTAAATAAGTTAAAAGTAAATGTGCTTCAATACCTTGAGCATGCAAAACACTCTTACTAGTTAGAACATTCCAAGATCTTAATTCCTAGGAGTTGGCTAAGGGCCAGTTAGGAAACAGGCTACCTTTGCAAGGTTTGAGCACGTCAGGCCTGCAGAGTTAACTCTTTCTTGCACATTTTTTTTTTTTTTTTTTTTGAGACGGTGTATCGCTCTGTCGCTCAGGCTGAAGTGCAGTGGCGCGATCTTGGCTCACTGCAAGCTCTGCCTCCCGGGTTCATGCCATTCTCCTGCCTCAGCCTCCTGAGCAGCTGGGACTACAGGCACCCGCCACCACACCTGGCTAATTTTTTGTATTTTTAGTAGAGACAGGGTTTCACTGTGTTAGCCAGGATGGTCTTGATCTCCTGACCTCATGATCCGCCCGCCTCGGCCTCCCAAAGTGCTGGGATTACAGGCGTAGCCACCTCGTCCGGCCTCTTTCTTGCACATTCTTATACTGGTCTTCCTTTTCATGGAAAGTACTTTTAAATGGTTTCATTAGTTTTCAGTACACACTTTGTATTCTGGTTAACTGTTGTTTACTTTTCACTATTCTTTTCCCTATTATGATCTTTCTCTGAGTTCTAAGCCTGGACTTGAAAACAAATTTATACTAGTGTTTTTGATAATATGGACAGTAAATCTCACCATTCCCACTTTATTCTAATGTCTTTCTCTATGCTCTCATAGCTTTTTTTCTGTCTGTTTCAGAATGGGTGAGAAATCTTGAAAGCAAAGCATTGATCCCAGCACAGAGCATTTTTGAGGAAGAACAATCCCATGGCATGAAGTTGGAAAGATATATATGGGATGATCCTTGGTTCTCCAGGTTAGAAGTTTTGGGATGTAAAGACCAATTAGAAATGTACCACATGAACCAGAGTACAGCTATGAGGCAGATGGTCTTCATGCAAAAGCAAGTACTATCCCAGAGAAGCTCTGAATTCTGTGGACTTGGGGCAGAGTTTAGCCAGAACTTAAACTTTGTTCCATCTCAGAGAGTTTCTCAGATAGAACATTTCTATAAGCCTGATACACATGCTCAAAGTTGGAGATGTGACTCAGCCATAATGTATGCAGATAAGGTTACCTGTGAAAATAATGATTATGACAAAACTGTTTATCAGTCCATTCAACCTATTTACCCTGCAAGAATACAAACTGGAGATAATCTTTTCAAATGTACTGATGCTGTTAAATCTTTCAATCATATAATACATTTTGGTGATCATAAAGGAATTCACACAGGAGAAAAACTCTATGAATATAAGGAATGCCATCAAATCTTTAACCAGAGCCCATCATTTAATGAACACCCAAGGCTTCATGTTGGAGAAAACCAGTATAATTACAAAGAATATGAGAATATCTTTTATTTCTCATCCTTTATGGAACATCAAAAAATTGGTACTGTAGAGAAAGCGTATAAATACAATGAATGGGAGAAAGTCTTTGGGTATGACTCTTTCCTTACTCAACATACAAGCACTTACACTGCAGAGAAACCCTATGACTACAATGAATGTGGGACGTCTTTCATCTGGAGCTCTTACCTTATTCAACATAAGAAAACTCATACTGGAGAAAAACCCTATGAATGTGATAAATGTGGAAAAGTTTTTAGGAATCGCTCAGCCCTTACGAAACATGAACGGACTCACACTGGAATAAAACCCTATGAATGTAATAAATGTGGAAAAGCCTTCAGCTGGAATTCTCATCTTATTGTACATAAGAGAATTCATACAGGAGAAAAACCTTATGTTTGTAATGAGTGTGGGAAATCTTTCAACTGGAACTCTCATCTTATTGGACATCAGAGGACTCATACAGGAGAGAAACCTTTTGAATGTACTGAATGTGGGAAATCATTCAGCTGGAGCTCCCATCTTATTGCCCATATGAGAATGCATACTGGAGAGAAACCCTTTAAATGTGATGAATGTGAAAAAGCTTTTAGGGACTACTCAGCCCTTAGTAAACATGAAAGAACTCATTCTGGAGCAAAACCATATAAATGTACTGAATGTGGAAAATCCTTCAGCTGGAGCTCCCATCTTATTGCCCATCAGAGAACTCACACGGGAGAGAAACCATATAACTGTCAGGAATGTGGCAAAGCATTCAGAGAACGCTCAGCCCTCACTAAACATGAGATAATTCATTCTGGAATTAAGCCCTATGAATGTAATAAATGTGGAAAATCCTGTAGCCAGATGGCTCACCTTGTTAGACATCAAAGGACTCATACTGGAGAAAAACCCTATGAATGCAATAAATGTGGAAAATCCTTCAGTCAGAGCTGTCACCTTGTTGCTCATCGGAGAATTCACACTGGTGAGAAACCCTATAAATGTAATCAGTGTGAAAGATCCTTTAACTGTAGTTCTCACCTCATTGCACACCGGAGAACTCATACTGGAGAGAAACCATACAGGTGTAATGAATGTGGGAAAGCATTTAATGAGAGTTCATCCCTTATTGTACACCTAAGAAACCATACTGGAGAAAAGCCCTACAAATGTAATCATTGTGAAAAAGCATTTTGTAAGAATTCTTCCCTTATTATTCATCAGAGAATGCATAGTGGAGAGAAACGCTTTATATGCAGTGAATGTGGAAAAGCCTTTAGTGGTCACTCAGCCCTACTTCAACACCAGAGAAATCACAGTGAAGAGAAACTGAATTGAATTTATGCGAGTTTTTCGTTTCTTGTACATTTGACAACACATTGAGGAAAACCCTATAAACATAATCAAGAGGGGACATTTTTCATTAAGAGTTCAGTAAGACTTCTCCCACATTATTTACTAGAAAATATCATCTTAGAAGAAACCCCATGAAGGAAAAGAATAGGGAAAAGCTTTCAGCAGTTATTTAGCCCTTACTCAAAATCAGATAATTAACAATGAAGGAAACTCTAAACTCCCCTTATGGTCTACCAGTAATTCATACTTGAGGACCATGACTGTGGGGAATGAGGCATCTTTTAGCAAGAGCTCTCACCAATTGTAGATTGGTGTGAATTGCTAAGGGAAAAACCTTATGCAGAGAAAAGTTTTTGACTGGAAATACACTGTTTTGCATCAAGCTGGAGTACTGGATGGAAAACTCTACAATAACATTTTGTGCATAATTGTAGAAATACAGATTTTGTTGTTATAAGGGGAGGGTCTGGGTGCCCAGGAGTAGAATATGAAGTGCTAAATCTGAATGTAAGAAAAATAATAGTATTGAATGGGGTATTTACTGTTGATTAACCTCCTTAGAGAAAATTAATGAATGAGATGACTAACGGTAGAAAAGTTATTGCCTAGGAGTGTGAGACTGATGTTGCTGGACAGAAAGTGATCCTTAGCCCAGTGTGTCAGCGTCCATTGTTACTCATCACTGCATTGTTGGGCAATTAGTTTGTAATTTGTTTTAGGCAATCACTATAAATTATAATTATGGACACTGCATCAGTATACATAACATGAAGGAATAAAAAGGATACAGAATTGTATATACATACTTACTGTAACACATCTAAAAAAATGTATATGGGTAAGGACCTGAAAGATCCATGGAAAAGTTAACCCAGTTGAGATTTTTAAAAAGTTTTACAAATACATATAACACTTATGTGCTGGGCTTTCTTTTAAATGCTTTCCAAGTGTTAACTTGTTTAGTCCCCTTTACTCTGAGATAGGTACTGTTACCCCAGTTTTACAAATGGCTAAGCTGAAGCAGAGATGTTGAAGGATCCTACCTAAGGGGCACAACTAGTAAGGGAGTAGAGCTGAGATTGGCTCCAGAGTTCTTGTTTTCAGCCACCATTTTATGCTGCCTCTCCAGTGATTTTTTTTCCCATTTTCTTCAGTGTTTCTATAGCAGAGATTTGATAATAAAAAGAAAATCCTAAACAATGAGAAATAAAGTTACCTGGTTTCTCTGTCTCGAAGGATTTATAGTAACATGAGAACTAGTATCCCTTTGGAATATGAAGTCTGTGTTGGACATTCAGAATCACTGCATTTTCTGGGACCTGAGTTCCCTAGAACTTTGCTGCCTGCAACCCCAAGGATAACAGGGCAGCAGGGCCTGGAGGACTTGCTGGAGGACTGGGCAAGTCCCTTGGTGGGTTTAGAATGCCACTTACAGAGCAGAGGGCAGGGGTGTTTGTTCCTTTCCATAACTAGACACCACTGCACTTCAGAGCACCATTACCCAAGGTTTACCTTGAATTCGGTCTTTTATTTTTTTGAAATCTTCTGCAGATGAAAGGCTTACTTGAAGGAGCAGGATTCAGAAGGGAAGAGAGCTAGCCAGTCCACCTAGAGTAATGAAGTCTCAGTGTTCACAGGGGAAAAGGGGAAAGATGGATCAGAAGACTTGGGTGGCTTCTCTCCAGTTCATAAGTATTTCTAAAACTGGGGGCCAAGGATCCTTCCTGGATAGGCTTCAAGGGTATTGAGTGGAACTTGGGCTCATAAAGCTCATCTAATTTTTAAAGGGCCCATGGCTTCCCAGTGGTTGAGAAATGATGGCCTAGTGATGTCATTGGGAGGCTGTTATTTTCACCTTCTGACTCTTCTAGCTTGGGCTCACTTAGGTGTGTAACATTTGATTGTAGTCCTTTCAAGGCCTGACACATTAGTGGTCACCTGATAAATGTGGCAGGGGCAAGTTAGTTATTGATGGATTTTTTTTTTACATGATTTGTGCAAAGGCCCTTGGAGAGAATGAAGTTAGCAGTATTATCTCATCTTGGAGAAAGCAGCATAATATATCCAGAATCATACTACCAGTAGGATGTGGATATTGTATTCTAATAGCCAGAGTGAATCCAAATTATCTGATTTAGAGATTCCAAAGGATTTCATAAGTCATATGCAATATACCACAAGCATCCTGGTAACTTATAACCTTATTACTAAGATTATTATCTTGAAAAAATTTCTAGGCCGGGCACCGAGGCTCATGCCAGCATTTTGGGAGGGACAGGAGGATTGCTTGAGCTGAGGAGTTCAAGGCCAGCCTTGCAACGTAGCAAGATCCCATCTCTGTTTAAACAGATAAGAGTTTTTTTAATGTCTTAAAGGGCCTCCTGGCAGGGCACAGTGGCTCACTCCTGTCACCCCAGCACTTTGGGAGGCCAAGGTGGGTGAATCATGAGATCAGGAGTTCGAGACTGGCCTGGCCGCCAACATGGTGAAAGCCCATCTCTACTAAAAATACAAAAATTAGCTGGGTGTGGTGGCAGATGCCTGTAATCCCAGCGGTTCCAGAGGCTGAGGCAGGAGAATCGTTTGAACCCAGGAGGTGGAGGTTGCAGTGAGCCAAGATTGTGCCACTGCACTCCAGTGTGGGTGACAGGGCAAGACTCCATCTCAAAAAAAAAAAAAAAAAAAAAAAAGGGCCTCCTGTTGGTCAGGTCACATCACGAGTCAAAAGAAAGTCCCAGACTTCTGCTTCTTCCTGGAAGTATTCCCTTCCTCTCACCTATCATGCACAGCCTGGACAGTATTGATTTCAGTGGTCCCTAACATCCAGCACTCCCAGGTCCCCTCTGTCTCCCTCATACATGACATAGTTCATTGCCTTTTTTGAGCCCGTCTTCTATTCCTCCCATCTCTGAAGCCTAGGGCCCACTTTCAGTCATCAGGAGTCCCCCTTTACCTTCCTGCTGTGGGTCTCCCCTGTGCACATTGCCTCCCTTCTAAGGGTGACTGCTTTCCTTCCACTTTCTTTTCTTTCTTTCTTTGTGCAGTGGTACGATTTTGGCTCACTGCTACCTCTGCCTTCTGGGCTCAAGTGATCTTCCTGCCTCAGCCTCCCGAGTATCTGGGACTACAGGTACACGCCACCATGCCTGGCTAGTTTTTGTTTTTGTGTTTGTTGTTTTATTTTTTTGAGACAGAGTCTTGCTCTGTCGCCCAGGCTGGAGTGCAGTGGCATGATCTCAGCTCACTGCAACCTCCACCTCCTGGGTTCAAGTGATTCTCATGCCTCAGCCTCCCAAGTAGCTTGAACTACAGGTGTGCACCACCACGCCCAGCAAATTTTTGTATTTTTAGTAGAGATGGGCTTTCACTGTGTTGGCCAGGCTGGTCTTGAACTCCTGGCCTCAAGCGATCTGCCCACCTTGACCTCCTAAAGTGTTGGGATCATAGGCGTGAGCCACCGTGCCCATTCCTTTTTTCCTGAACATTTTCCAAGTGAGGTTGTTGGAAATCACGGATGGGGAACTATGCATGCGGAGGGCTGACTGTAATTGATTTCTTTCTGCCTCCTCACTAATCTGCACACTGCAGGCAGGGACCTGGTCTCATCATGCCTGCACCTCCAAGCACTGCCCTCTTACACTGTAGTCTCCCCATTGGTCAGCATGGTTCCATGAAGGAACTCCATTATCACAGCAAGGACTGACCTCACACTGGTGGCTCCAAGTCACTGCCCAAACATTCTGAAGGGAGTAGAACTTCTTGATTCCTCAGATAAATAGAGGACAGATGCTGGACTGTAGCTAAGTATTTCCTTTCATCTACGGGATAAAATACTGATAATTTGAGAGTGATGGACAAGGTTCAGAGTGGTTTCCTCATTTTGTTTTTGTTTTTAATGGAATGCCAACTTCATTTATGCTTGCCGTATGCAGATGGACTCCATCCCACTGGAAACATAACAGGCTTACCAGGTAGCTTCAACCACTGGTTTTATGTGACTCAGGGAGAATTGAAAAGCTGTTTCAGGGGAGATAAAAAGAAGGTAATTACATTTCACCGCAAAAAGTTTTCTTTTCAAGGCAGTAAACGGTCACAACCACCCAGAAACATCACCAAAGAGCCCAAAGTGTTCTTTCATAAAACCCAGTTGCCTGGGATTCAAGGGGCTGCCTCGAGATCCACGGGTGAGTCATTGAATTCCTCATTCAGTGGAGTGAGAATCGTAGCCTGGAGTCCTCTTATCTGCCATGTGAATGTGTACTGTGTGCTTGCTGGTAGAAAGGTCCATAAAATAGAGTATAATTAGATAAACATTTGCTTGGAAATTAGATCTTATGCTCTTCACTCTCTGTTAACTGCTTTCTCTTTAGGGATTGCCACTTTCTTCTCTTTTTCATTTCACTTTAATAAGCGCACACAAAAACCTTGATCCCATCCAGATTACACAGGTATGCCTGTCTGACTTGAATTTGGTGCACATTTGGCAGTAGAGCATGCAAGTCTAGACACAGAAGGTTTGTGAGTGTACAGAATTCTTTTTTTTCTTTTTTTTTTTTTTGAGACAGAGTCTTGCTCTGTCGCCCAGGCTGGAGTGCAGTGGCGCGATCTCGGCTCACTGCAAGCTCCACCTCCTGGGTTCACACCATTCTCCTGCCTCAGCCTCCCAAGTAGCTGGGACTACAGGCACCCGCCACCACGCCAAGCTAATTTTTTGTATTTTTAGTAGAGACAGGGTTTCACTGTGTTAGCCAGGATGGTCTTGATCTCCTGACCTCATGATCCGCCCGCCTCGGCCTCTCAAAGTGCTGGGATTACAGGCATGAGCCACCATGCCCAGCCGAGAATTCTTTATAAGCATTTTCTATGGTTCCCTTCTAATTTGAGTACTAGAGGATGTTTGTTTATCTTATAACAGCAAAACCAACCCCGACAATCTTTGAAGCTCAGCAACCCTTTGTGGAGATATATGATGCTTGTAAATAATCTCCATTCCATGCAAGGGAAATGCTGTCTGTGTGATACATTTGCATGTAATTTGTGTCCGAGGAAAGGACACTATTGTTGGTTCCCTGGCCTCTCTGCCTGGCTCTCTGATCCTTTTTTTTTTTTTTTTTTTTTTTTTTTTTTTTTTTTTTTTGAGACGGAGTCTCACTCTGTCACCCAGCTGGAGTGCAGTGGCGCAATCTCGGCTCACCACAACCTCCACCGCCGGGTTCAAGCAATTCTCCTGCCTCAGCCTCCTGAGTAGCTGGGACTACAGGCGCGTGCCACCATGCCCAGCTAATTTTTGTATTTTCAGTAGAGACGGGGTTTCACCATGTTGGTCAGGCTGGTCTCGAACTCCTGACCTCGTGATCTGCCTTCCTCGCTGGGATTACAGGCATGAGCCACTGTGCCCAACCCTTGCTGACCTTCTAATGAGGTCGTAGCCCCTTCAACTCTAAGTCTCTCCAGGTCCTTAATTTGGGCAGAGATTTCCCAACTTGTATGACTGCAAAAGGAGACCAGAAACCAAAAGTATCCTGTTCCTAAAGGTCATTCTTCATGACAGGAAGCACCAGGTGCAAAAAGAACAGCAGGCTCACCAGGCTTCTGCAAATTAACCCACACATTGCTGCCAGGCATTGGGAGGAATGTATTAACACATCCCATCTTAGATATTTGGAAGCTGTGTGTTCGGCGTCCTTCTCTAATGCTAAGTTATTTCCTTGTTTTCCCAAGTTCATCTTAAACCATCTTAAAGTCTCTTCTTTTTGATCCCCTTTGATGGCCTTTTAGCTGCATCCCCTACGAACCCCATGAAATTCCTGAGGAATAAAGGTAAGCCAAGGGATCTGGGAGGGCGGGTGGACCCGCAACATTCCTGAAGCTGTCGTGATGTGTGGCTCCAGAGGGTGCTGGCTGGTCACCAAGGAGCCTGCACACGTGGTGCCTTCATGTGTGTTAGACAAGGTGCCCCCTCTGGAGGGGGATGCGCAGTGACACCGCTTGGGGCAGGTGAGAAGGTGGCTCAACTCCACGGGCTGATGTTGTAGTGAGTAGAGCACAGGCTGTGTCTGAGATCTCTTTGTGGAACACACAAAATGCATGGGCACACACAGCGGCCCTGTCAGCAGCCTTTCTAGCAACTCTCCCCACTGTGGCTTGTCCTGGAACCTCCTCAACACCTCTCGCTTCAGAGTCCTCCAAAGCAGAAGGCACCTTGTGTCCTGCTGCTGCTCCCGCCCCAGAGCATCCTTCCTTCTCCTCTGCACATTTGCTAAGTGCCTGCAACAGGGCGGCTTCTGAGTCAGCTCCCCCACCACCTACCCATCTCCACTGCTTTCACATGTAGCCAGCATTTTATTTAATCACATATGCTGAGTGAGACATGCAGACACAGAAATGACTGTCATGAAGGAAGAAGCCTGATACTCACGGGTCCCTAGAAGCAGGAGTCCACACAAGGAAGCACCAGGGTCTATCAGAAGGCAAAGGGAGCCAGGAAAGTGTGAGCAAAAGCCTTTATTCTGGGCCGGGTGCGGTGGCTCATCCCTGTAATCCCAGCACTTAGGAAGGCCGAGGTGGATGAATCACTTGAGGTCACGAGTTCGAGACCAGCTTGGCTAACATGGTGAAACCCCATCTCTACTAAAAATACAAAAATTAGCCAGGAGTGGTGGTGGGCACCTGTAATCCCAGCTATTTGGGAGGCTGAGGCGGGAGAATCGCATGAACCTGGGAGGTGGAGGTTGCAGTGAGCTGAGATTGGGTCGCTGCACTCTAGCCTGGGCAACAGAGCGAGGCTGTCTTTTTTAAAAAAAACAACTTTATTCTGGTTTTTACAGGAAGGCAGGTAGGGAAGGCGGGCTTGGGATCAGCTTGAGTGATTTGGTGGCTGTGGGGCATGGGGTATGTCCCTGGTTGTCTGGGACCTGGCCCTGGGGTGGTTGGGGGCAGGGGATGGTGGCCTGGAGCATGAGGGCTCCATAGAGATTGTTGGGGTGTAGGCTTTGGGTGTGTCGGCTTGCACATGAAAGGTGCACTTGCAGGCCAGGGTTTACTATCTTCAGGAATTGGCTGGACCTGGGAGGGCAGTCTCTTCAAGGGTCAGTTAAGGCCCCAAGATGTCAAAGTATCAGGAAATACAGAAAATAAAAAACGTGATGAATACATCCATCCACGCCAAACACATTATCAATCTTCCTAAAGCTCAGCTATGACTGTTTCACCTGCCCATTGACACCACCATCACCAAAGCACAGAGCTTGAGTCCTGGCTGGGGTATCAAAGGCCTGCACACTGGTCCTTCTTTTGACACTAGCTCGTTTTGTGTGCTGGTGCTAGAAGGTCACTGAGACCTCTGCCACCCCTGAGCTTCAGGTCCCAGTTGTAGGTAGGATAGAGACGGGACAAAATTGTTTATCTAATAAAGTTGATGGTCCGGGTGCAGTACAGGCTCATGCCTGTAATCCCAACACTTTGGGGGGCTGAGGTGGGTAGATCACCTGAGGTCAGGAGTTTGAGACCAGCCTGGACAACATGGTGAAACCCCATCTCTACTAAAAATACAAAAATTAGCTGGGCATGGTGGAGGCCAGCTACTCGGGAGGCTGAGGTAGGAGAACCCGGGAGGCTGAGGTTGAAGTGAGCAGAGATCGCACCACTGCACTCCAGCCTGGCAACAGAGCGAGACTCTGTAACAAAAAAAAAAAAATTATATGGAAAGATGTCTACCTTACTCATAGTAAGAATTGTGCATTGAAACTGCCAAGCTTAAATAATGAAGTTCGACAAATATGATTAAGTACAGAGTTTATTTGAGCACAAAGCTTGAGGATGTCCACCCACGAGACACTGACTCCAAACTAATGGGGACAGCATTTCCAAAGAGGAGAAGTTATGGTTTCACTTATATGTGCAGAGACTGACATTGTAGCAGGATTGTAACATTTTCCATATGAGACGAGTGCATAAGTTACAGCTATTTGATTGGTTATAGACGGCAACGTTCCAAGGAAGATTATTGCTCTGTGAGGAGGGGAAGCCATCTGAGGGGGCTCTCACAGCTGGCACCTCTTGATCTTCTTATTTACAGGAAAAAAGGCAGAAGTTGCCACTGCATCCTTGTGATTCAGGCTGCATAGCCACATTGCTCTCAGGTTCAGAGTAGTTCAAAGTTCCAACAGCTTTAAGTTTAAATTAGTTTAAGTTTGAATAATTTAATTTCATAAAACTACACTGTAATTCCAGTTTTCAGCTATCCTGTTGAAAGTGGGCAAAATGTCTCATAACTGTATTGGCAAAGGAGCTGGGAAACATAATCTCATGTCTTGTTTGTAGGCTAGCAGTGAGCACAACTTCTAGAGAGGGCAATTGACAGTTCTCATAAAAACAATGCTATTACTTTTTTTTTTTTTTTTTGAGATGGAGTTTCAATCTTGTATCTTGTCGCCCAGCCTGGAGTGTAATGATGCGATCTCAGCTCTCCTGCCTCAGCCTCCTGAGTAGCTGGGATTACAGGCACCCATTACCATGCCCCGCTAATTTTGTGTTTTTAGCAGAGATGGGGTTTCACCATGTTGGTCAGGCTGGTCTCAAACTCCTGACCTCAGGTGATCCACCCGGCTCGGCCTCCCAAAGTGCTGGGATTACAGACATGAGCCACCATGCCTGGCCAAGGTGCTTACTTTGTTTTTTTTCTTGGTTTTTTTTTTTTTTTTTTTTTTTTTTTTTTCTGTTTTTTTTTAAGACAGAGTCTCACTCTGTCACCCAGGCTGGAGTGCAATGGCGCCATCGCGGCTCACTGCAACCTCCACCTCCTGGGCTCAAGTGATTCTCCTGCCTCAGCCTCCCAAGCAGCTGGGATTGCAGGTGTGCACCACCACACCCGGCTAATTTTTGCATTTTTAGTGGAGATGGGGTTTCACCATGTTGGCCAGGCTGGTCTTGAACTCCTGACCTTGTGATCCGCACACCTCGGCCTCCCAAAGTGCTGGGACTACAGGCATGAGCCACCGCAACCGGCTGGCAATTACTTTTTAACCTAGAGTGTTGAAATATACCTGGGGGATTTATTTTAATCAGTTATGGCAAGACTCCCAGACATGCAAATGATCTTCATGAAGGAAAAAGTTTATACTTATAGATTCCTGGAAACAGGAGACATGGCCCACCACACACGGGTACACCAGTAACCTCAGGAAGCACAGGGAGTGAGGGTGAGCAAGGTCCCCGCCTCTACTGGGGTTTCTGAGGGAAGGAATGGGTGAGGCATGGCAGGTACTCTGAGCAAATATAGATTTGAATAGTTTTGGTAAATCATAGGGATGGTTTCTAGTTGTCCAGTATTTGGCCCTGGGGTGATTTAGGGCAGGCAGGGAGAGATTGGCTTATTGTGTGAGTTTGAAAAGGAGATGGTTGGGGTGTGGGCTGTGGATTGGTTGGTTTGTATTTCAAAGATGTGCTTGTAGGGGAGTTATTCGCTGTCTCTAGGAAATAGCTAGCCCTGGGAAGGGAGGTCTCCAGGATTAAGGCCCCAAATGCCAGAGCATCAGGAATACGGAAAATAAGAAAATATAATAAATACACCCAGCAATTCCATTTCTAGTAAATTTTATTAAAAATATGCTATTCATTTTCCTAGTCTATTTCTCCCATCCTGCTTGGTGACTTTCTCATATATTTCTCTAGCTCTGTAAATATCTCAATGTATTCTACCCCAGCCTTGCTCTCCCAGAATGACCTTGTTTGCCTCCTTCACAAACAAAATACAAGCAGTTAAAAGACAGTATCCACACCCTCCTGTCTACCAGCAATCACACCTCCTTTCTCTGTCTCTTGCTGGAAATTGAACCGTCCATGCCAAGGCTGGCCTGTGTCCCAGCTTCCATCCTCTTAGGCCAACTCAAGGACTTTCCTGACAATTCCCTCTCCCTTTCCTGCATGCTCTGGTCTGAATGCTGGTGTCCCCCAACCCCATATTCAAGTATTGAAATCCTAACCCCAAAGGTGAGGATATTAGGAGTTGGGGCCTTTAGGAGGTGATGCGGTCTTGAGGGTGGAACCCCCATGACTGGGAATAGCACCCTTACAGTAGAAGTCACAGAGAGCTGTCTCACTCCTTCCACCCTGTGAGGACACAACAAAGAAGGCACCCTCTGTTGAACCAGAAAGTGAACCCTCGCCAGCCACCAAAGCTGCTGATGCCTTGATCTGGGACTTCCCAGCCTCCAGAACTGTGAGAAACCAATGTCTGTTGTTTCTTTGTTTCTTTTTCTTTTTCTTTTTTTGAGACAGGGTCTCGCTCTGTTGCCCAGGCTGGAGTGCAGTGGCACGATCTCGGCTCACTGCAACCTCCACCTCCTGGGTTCAAGTGATTCTCCTGCCTCAGCCTCCTGAGTAGCTGGGATTACAGGCGTGTGCCACCATGCCCAGCTAATTTTATTTTGTATTTTTATTAGAGATGGGGTTTCGCCGTGTTGGTCAGGCTGGTCTTGAACTCCTGACATCCTGATCCACCTGCCTTGCCTCCCAAAGTTTTTTTTTTTTAAGACAGGGTTTCATTCCCGTCACCCAGGCTGGAGTGTAATGGCGCAATCTCACCTCCCTACAACCTCCCACTCCCTGGCTCAAGCAATTCTCCTGCCTCAGCCTCCTGAGTAGCTGGGATTACAGGCACCTGCCACCGCACCCGATGAATTTTTGTATTTTTGTAGAGTTGGGGTTTCACAATGTTGCCCAGGCTGGTCTTGAACTCCTGAGCTCACGTGATCTGCCCACCTCGGCCTCCCAAAGTGCTGGGATTACAAGAGTGGGCCACCACACCTGGCTGTGTCTGTTGTTTCTAAGCCACCAAACCTGTGGTGTTTTGTTACAGCAGCCAGAATGAACTGGCACCGTAGTATCACGATTCACTCTTTCATTCCCATTCACGAACATGCTGCCAGTGTTCACATGTTAAAAAACAAAATCCATCTCTCGATCCCTTAGACTCCTCCAGGAGCTGTGCCCATTTCTCTTCTTTCTTTTATACAAAGTTCCCCAAAATAATTTTCAAAATTCATGGTCTACAGTTACTTTCTTCTCACTCCCTCCTGAAACTGCTTCAGTTGTGTCCCCACCACACAGCTAATATGGCCTCTGCCCAGGTCTCTAGTGACCTCTTGGATGCCCAATCCCCAATGGTCTGTTTCAGTTTTCTTTCTTTTTTTTTTTTTTGAGACGGAGTTTCACACTGTTGCCCAGGCTGGAGTGCAGTGGCATGATCTCGGCTCACTGAAAATCTAACTTCAGTATTTTCTAAAATTAAGAGTCCTAGCCTGAGCAACGTGGCAAAATCCCATCTCTACAAAAACACAAAAAAATTAGGCAGGTGTGGTGGCGCATGCCTGTAGTGCCAGCTACTTGGGAGGCTGAGGCAGGAGAATTGCTCGGACCCGGGAGGCGAAAGTTGCGGTGAGCTGTGATCATGCACTGCACTCCAGCCTGGGTGATAGAGCGAGACTCAGTGTCAAAAAAGAAAACAAAACAAAAAAAAACAAAACAAGCTATTTTTGAAAGTGTTTCTGGTTTTGACTTCCATTCCCCTCTGTAAGGACAAATATATTAACTGAAAGACATAGCTAAAATGAACATTTTTGAGCACTTCTTTTCTTTTCTTTCTTTTTAGCAATAATTCGGCATAGACCTGCTCTTGTTAAAGTAATTTTAATTTCGAGCGTAGCCTTCAGCATTGCCCTGATATGTGGGATGGCAATCTCCTATATGATATAGTAAGTATCTGCTAAGTAATATCTGCTGTCCTTAAATGAGACATAACAAGTCAACTGATTATTATTTAATGTCAAAGGATGATGATGATACATCTTATAATTGCTAAAGTATTGGTCATTATAAATTTCCAGATTAGTGTTTTTCAACATGTGGATTGTACTCATGTTGAGGCATGATACACATGAAAAAAAAAGAAAGAAAGACACAGGACAGAATACAATTCAGCAGAATAGAAAATATTAGAAAATATTACGCCGGGCATGGTGGCTCACGCTTGTAATCCCAGCACTTTGGAAGGCCGAGGCGGGTGGATCATGAGGTCAGGAGATCGAGACCATCCTGGCTAACACGGTGAAACCCCGTATCTACTAAAAATACAAAAAATTAGCCGGGCGTGGTGGCGGGTGCCTGTAGTCCCGGCTCCTCGGGAGGCTGAGGCAGGAGAATGGTGTGAACCCGGGAGGCGGAGCTTGCAGTGAGCCGAGATCGTGCCACTGCACTCCAGCCTGAGTGACAGAGTGAGACTCGTCTGAAAAAAAAAAAAAGAAAAAGAAAAGAAAATATTACTTAAAGTATTAATGTAAAAGGCTGATTTTTAAACTTTTCAGATACATGTGAGACATGCACACACACACAGACACACGGTTGTGAAATAAAATATATTTCTTACTGGGAGTCATGATCAAAAATGCTTGAAAGACACAGTTTGAGATGCTAGCATCCTCCCAAAATTCAGTATTTTATTTTATTTTATTTTTTCTACTTTTTTTGGAGGGGAGGGGACGGAGTTTCGCTCTTGTTGCCCAGGCTAGAGTGTAATGGTATGGATCTTGGTTCACTGCAACCTCTGCCTCCTGGGTTCAAGCAATTCTCCTGCCTCAGCCTCCCAAGTAGCTGGGATTACTGCAGGCATACGCCACCATGCCAGGCTAATTTTGTATTTTTAGTAGTGATGGGGTTTCTCCATGTTGGTCAGGCTGGTCTCGAACTCCAGACCTCAGGTGATCCGCCTACCTTGGCCTCCCAGTGCTGGGATTAAAGGTGTGAGCCACCATTCCCAGACCCCAGAATTTGGTATTTTAAAATAAACTTGAGGCCGGGTGTGGTGGCTCATGCCTGTAATCCCAGCACTCTGGGAGGCTGAGGCGGGTACATCACCTGAGGTCAGGAGTTCAAGACTAGCCTGGCCAATATAGTGAAACCCCGTCTCTGCTAAAAATACAAAAATTAGCTGGGCGTAGTGGTGGGCACCTGTAATCCCAGCTACTTGGGAGGCTGGGGCAGGAAAATTGCTTGAACCTGGGAGGCAGAGGTTGCAGTGGGCAGAGATCACGCCATTGCAATTCAGCCTGGGCGACAAGAGCAAAACTCTGTCGCAAATAATAAATAAATAAATAAATAAATAAATAAAATAAAAAGAACTTGCTACTCTGGAAGGAATCTCAATAGTGCACAGCAGAAAAGAGCGACCACTCTCCCTTTCACTAGAAATGTGTCAGTGCAGTCTGGGGTGATAGCAGCTTTGGGGGAAGTTACATCACCGTCTTCGCAAATAAAGCTTGGGGTCAAGCTGTTTTGAGTGATGTAATCATTTTGAAATTCACGGTAGAAAAAGGTGAGACACACTGTGATCTCATGCGGTTCTGACCAAACCAACAGATTCTGACTCCTACTGTATGATTCCGTGCTAGGATTCCATTGTATCCCACCAGAAACAGCTTGAGAAGTACAAAATTGCTTGCTTCGTTGAATTAAGTGTGAAAACAAGATATATTGCCATGTGTGAGATATTTTCTGAGGCAGCTATGTTAAGACCACCTTGGAGTAGGTCACATGAAGGCAAAGTGACATTAAAGGTAAAAGGGGAATTTTGCTAATGAGAGCGTAACCTGCGTGCTTGGTTGTGGGTTATCTCCACTACATCCGCTTAATTTATGTAAATGTATAGGCCGGGGGCATTGGCTCACACTTGTGATCCCAACACTTTGGGAGGCCGAGGCGGGTGGATCCCTTAAGCTCAGGTGTTTGAGACCAGCGTGGGCAACATGGTGAAACCGCGTCTATACAAAAAATACAAAAATTAGCCAGGTGTGGTAGCACGCACCTGTAGTCCCAGCTACTCAAGAGGCTGAGGTGGGAGGATGGCTTGAGCCCTGGAGGTGGAAGTTGTAGTGAGCTGAGATTGCACCACTGCACTTCCTCCTGGGCGACAGAGTGAGACCATGTCTCAAAAACAAAAATTATGTAACTGTAGCTTCTGTATATTTCATTATTATAACAAAACTATTAATAAATATAAAGTTTTGTAATGCAACTCAGTAAAACATATCTCCTGGACACTCAGTGTTGAATTGAGTTGCTGAGCTAGTCAATTCTTATTGTTTTCACATTTGTATTAGCACTAAGCTATAGTGGAGCCTGGGGCCAAAACCAAAACCAAAACGAAAACAAACAAAAAAAACAAAACCACCTGTTCAAAAGTACAAGTTTTATGTAATTTTTAGTGGTTCATTTTTTCCAGAAGTAGATTTTGAAAATACTATTGGTAAGTTTGCTTTTATTTAAACCAGGAAAGTAAAATTACAATTAATTTTGTTTAGGGTAGAGATAAAATATTTATTTTTATTTTTATTTTTTTAGAGACGGAGTCTTGCTCTGTTGCCCAGGCTGGAGTGCAGTGGCGTCATCTCAGCTCACTGCAAGCCCCGCCTCCCAGGTTCACGCCATTCTCCTGCCTCAGCCTCCCAAGTAGCTGGGACTACAGGCACCCGCCACCACGCCCGGCTAATTTTTTTTTGTATTTTTATTAGAGACGGGGTTTCACCATGTTACCCAGGATGGTCTCAATCTCCTGACCTCGTGATCCGCCCGCCTCGGACTCCCAAAGTGCTGGGATTACAGGCGTGAGCCACTGTGCTTGGCCTAGATAAAATATTTAAACTTAATGTTGTGACTTTTCATACACCAGTTTTCAATTATTAAATATATTCTGAACTTCTTAAGTGTTTTGGAAAAGAATAAGCATTTAAAAATACATTAAAACGTGTATAGGGACTCACACCTTTCCTTTTGACTCAAGCTCCCCTGTGGTTTAGCACAGCACTGTTTGGATCCTATCTCTGTTTACAATCTTGATATTTGGTATATCCTGGATTTTGTTTTTTTTGCTTCATTTCAATTTTTAAAAATACTGAGTTAAGGACCGGGCGCGGTGGCTCACGCCTGTAATCCCAGCACTTTGGGAGGCCGAGGTGGGCGGGTCACCTGAGGTTGGGAGTTCGAGACCAGCCTGACCAACATGGAGAAACCCCATCTGTACTAAAAATACAAAAAAATTAGCCAGGCATGGTGGCACATGCCTGTAATCCCAGCTACTCGGGAGGCTGAGACAGGAGAATCACTTGAACCTGGGAGGTGGAGGTTGTGGTGAGCCAAGATCGCGCCATTGCACTCCAGCCTGGGCAAAAAGAGTGAAACTCCATCTGCAAAAAAAAAAAAAAAAATTGAGTTAAAATACTCATCTTCATTTTTCACTGTTTGGGGTACCTCCTTACATTTCGCACTGAGGCGAGCACCTCCCTTTTGTCACTCAAATCTTGCTCCTGTCCCAGCCTTTTGAGCAAGAAAAACAAAAAATAAACTAACCCTAAAAGTTTTTTGTTTTTTTTTTTGAGATGGAGTTTCACTCTTGTTGGCCAGGCTGGAGTGCAATGGCACCATCTCAGCTCATTGCAACCTCCGCCTCCCAGGTTCAAGTGATTCTCCTGCCTCAGCCTCCCAAGTAGCTGGGATTACAAGCATGTGCCACCACGCCCTGCTAATTTTGTATTTTTTTAGTACAGACGGGGTTTCTCCATGTTGGTCAGGCTGGCCTCCAACTCCTGACCTCAGGTAATCTGCCCGCCTCGGCCTACCAAAGTGCTGGGATTACTGGCGTGAGCCACCGCGCCTGGCCCCTAAAAGTATTTTTTTAATATATAATTCACACAGTACTGGGAAGGTAAGTATGTTAGGAAAACACTGTCATCCATTTCCACACCAAACAGAAATAGCTGTTCAGTGATCCACTTCCAGGATTGGACCTACAGTGAGGTAGAAAAATCAGTAACACCCATTCTGTCCTATTTTGTTCATCACGGATTTCTTGACATTAATTTTTATTTTGTAAAATATTACACTGAAACATGATTATGGCCGGGCACAGTGGCTCACACCTGTAATTCCAGTGTTTTGGGAGGCCAAGGAGGAAAGACAGCTTGAGCCTAGGAGTTTGAGACCATCCTGGGCAACATAGCAAGACGCAATTTCTAAAAAAAAAAATACAAAAATAATTAGCCGGGCATGGTGCCACGAGCCTGTGGTCCCAGCTACTTAGGAGGCTGAGCAGGTAAGACTGTTTGAACCCAGGAGTTGGCAGCTGCAGTGAACCATGATTGTATCAGTTCACTTCTAGCCTGGGTGACAGAATGAGACCCTGTTCCAAAGAGAGAAAGAGAGAGAGAAAGAGAAAGGGAGAGATACAGAGAGAGAAAGGGAAAGAGAAAGGGAGAGAGAGAGAGAAAGGGAAAGAAAAAGGAAAGAAAAGAAGGGAGGGAGGAAGGAAAGAGAGGAAAGAAGAAAGAAAAAGGAAAAAAAAGAGAAAGAAAAAGAGAAGAGAAAGGAATGGAAAGAAAGATGATTTGTTTGATTATGGATTTTTTGTCAACACCTTAAGTTTGGAACCCAATGTGAGTGCCTTGTTCACGTCTAGTCCTGGCTTTGATCCATGCTTTGGGATGATCGGAGTTACTCCTTACTCCAGGAAATGGCCTGACCATGTAGACAGTTGAGAGCTGACCATGATTAGTCTGGTTTCAAAGTCTTATGTCTGCACCCACTCCACAAGCGACTCCTTTCCTGTCAAAAAGTGGCATGGTTGAGAAATGAATTATTCATCATGAAAACTGTGCTTCTAAATTCATTTATATCATTCTCCAGTCGACTGGCACAGGCTGAGGAAAGACAACAGCTCGAGTCACTTTATAAGAACCTCAGGATACCGTTATTAGGAGATGAAGAAGAGGGCTCAGAGGACGAGGGTGAGTCCACGCACCTACTTCCAGAGAACGAAAATGAGCTGGAAAAGTTCATCCACTCAGGTAGTGTGACCTGTAAGAGCTATTCGCAGGAAAGCCAAGCTGGCAGCGGCAGCTTGCGTTTCTTTTCTTTCTTTCTCAGCGGTGGCTTGCATTTCTTTTCTTTCTTTCTTTCCTTTCTTTCTTTCTTCCTTCCTTTCTTTCTTTCATTTTTTTTTTAAGACGGACTCTTACTCTGTAGCCCAGGCTGGAGTGCAGTGGCGCGATCTCTGCTCACTGCAAGCTCCGCCTCCCAGATTCACGCCATTCTCCTGCCTCAGCCTCCCGAGTAGCTGGGAGTACAGGCGCCCGCCACCATGCCCGGCTAATTTTTTGTATTTTTAGTAGAGACGGGGTTTCACCATTTTAGCCAGGATGGTCTCGGAAGGCAGCTATGCTCACCACTATACCACCAACGCTCGGGTGCCAGGATGGTCTCGATCTCCTGACCTCGTGATCCGCCCGCCTCGGCCTCCCAAAGTGCTGGGATTACAGGCGTGAGCCACCGCGCCTGGCCTGTGGCTTGGTTTTCAAAGGCAAAGATAAGTGGGAGTTAAGGGAGTTTGAAGTAAGAGAGACAAATATTCACAGCCACACTTACGGAAATGAACCTTTCTCATCAAATCTTACAGAGGGGTGAACAGCTGTGGGGTTGCTCAGTTCCTTTTGCAGGGCAATTCCACGGATCTAACAGAGTTCAGGAAACAAACTTTTCCCAGCACAAAACATGTTTCCGTTAAACATACTCATTACCGTGATGTTATCCTGCATTCAGAACACAGACACGCAGATGTTTCACCTGCACCATCTGTCTCCATCTGACGTGAAAATGGGATCCAGACCCACAAAATAGAGGTCACTACCCCAGGGTAAAATTTCCCAGCATGCCATGCCCACCACAGACATGTTCTGCTGTCCTTGTGAGAAGAGGATGAAATTGATTATTTAAAACTGATTTTGTAGAAGTTCTTTTTTTTTTTTTTTTTTTTGAGGCGGAGTCTTGCTCTGTTGCCCAGGCTGGAGTGCAGTGGCATGATCTCAGCTCGCTGCAAGCTCTGCCTCCCGGGTTCACGCCATTCTCCTGCCTCAGCCTCCCGAGTAGCTGGGACTATAGGCACCCGCCACCACACCCAGCTAACTTTTTGTATTTTTAGTAGAGACGGGGTTTCACCGTGTTAGCCAGGATGGTCTCGATCTCCTGACCTTGTAATCCACCCACCTCAGCCTCCCAAAGTGCTGGGATTACAGGCATAAGCCAATGCACCCCGCCTGTAGAATTTATTTTATTTATTTATCTTTTTTTTTTGAGACAGAGTCTCCCTATGTCACCCAGGCTGTAGTGCAGTGGCGAAATCTTGGCTCACTGCAACCTTTGCCTCCTGGGTTCAAGCAATTCTCCTGCCTCAGCCTCCCGAGTAGCTGGGATTACAGGCGTGCACCATGACCCCTGGCTAATTTTTGTATTTTTAGTAGAGACGGAGTTTCACCAGTTAGCCAGGCTGGTCTCGAACTCCTGACCTCAATTGATCCACCCGCCTCGGCCTCCCAAAGTGCTAGGAGTACAGGTGTGAGCCACCGCTCCTGGCCTTTTTTTTCTTTTTTCTTTTTTTTTTTTTTTTTGAGGCAGAGTTTCACTACGTCACCCAGGCTGGAGTGCAGTGGTGCAATATCAGCTCACTGAAGCCCCAACCTCCTGGGCTCAGTTAATCCTCCCACCTCAGCCTCCTGAGTTGCTGGGACTACGGTGCATGTCACTATGCCGGGCTCATTTTTGTTTGTGGTTTCTTTTTGAGATGGAGTCTCGCTCTGTTGCCCAGGCTGGAGTGCAGTGGTGTGATCTTGGTTCACTGTAACCTCCGCCTCCTGGGTTCAAGTGATTCTCATGCTTCAGCCTCCCGAGTAGCTGGGATTACAGGCACATGCCACCACGCCTGTCTTATTTTTGTATTTTTAGTAGAGATGGGGGGTCTCACCATGTTGGCCAGGCTGGTCTCGAACTCTTGACTTCAAGTGATCCGCCCTGTTCAGCCTCCCAAAGTCCTGGGATTACAGGCATGAGCCACTGCGCCGGGCTAGTTTTTGTATTTTTAGTAGAGACAGTTTTCACCATGTTGCCCAGGTTGGTCACAAACTCCTGGGCTTAAGAGATCTTCCCGTCTTGGCCTCCCAAAGTGCTGGGATTATAGGTGTGAGCCACTGAGCCCAGCCTAGAAGTTCTGAGATTCGTGGGTACCTGTTTAAAAAATTCTAGAGAGAAAACTATAGAGAGTGTAGTGTGTGATTCAGACATACTAACCATCCTCACATGGACTCACTCTCTAAAAACTCCAGACATAGCCAGAAAGAGGCAGAACAGCCACAGCAGGAGAGATCACTGATGCTCACTGAGGCAGAGGACTTTGTCATAACCTGTAGAAAACATTTTCCCAATGTCTCTTTACCACATTGGATTATAAATTTTCTACATTCTTCTTCTTCTTTTACTGGGCATTTATACAACTTGAATACAAAATATGGGAAAATAATTTTAAAATTTAATTTTCACCATCCTTGTCAGACAAATAACATTCATTATGAATCCTCTGAAAATTCCACTGTTGGTACCTCTATTTTTCCAGGCTTTTTCCCTCACCCCTTTTGTCTCCATTTTTATTCCTCACTTATTACTATCTCAATAACATCATTTCTACATTTTAGTTATTATATCAAAAAGAAGCAAAAATATTAAGAAGAAACTGAAGGAAGAGCAAAACTCAGTAACAGAAAACAAAACAAAGAATGCGTCACATAATGGAAAAATGGAAGACTTGTGAACGCAGACGACAGAGGTGCCGGCTGAGGCAGAGGAGAAACTATGGGGGTGCTGGGAGACTGAGCCTGTGGGCGTGGCTTGCTCCCAGAGAACCTTATGGAAGAGGACATCAAAGAAAGAAATGCCAGACCTGTATCCCAGAAAATAAAGCCACATGATATAGCAACTCTTGCTTATTGGCTCTCATAGTTGATGAATAATTATAACTTAATTGGAAAATAGAATAGAATCCAACTTTGTTAAGGGTTAAGAGAACTTGTCAGGATTTTCTTCTCTTGCTCCTGACCAGAAATACCGCACAAGTAGTTTTGGGGGGCCATCTCCCAGACTAGCCAGGGAATAGCTTTCATGAAGCAAAACTTTCCTGGTGAGATTACCTGTCAGCTCCATACCTTGTTTCCTTTGTACACATGAGGAAACTGAGGATGTTAAAATAAATATGACTCCGGATTAAAACACACTCATCATTAGTCAGGCATGGTGGCATGCGCCTGTAATCCCAGCTACTCAGGAGGCTGAGGCAGGAGAATCGCTTGAATCCGGGAGGCGGAGTTTGCAGTGAGCCGAGATCGCGCCACCGCACTCCAGCCTGGTTGACAGAGCAAGATCCTGTCTCAAAAATTAATTAATTAAATAAAATAAATAAATAAAATAATTAAATAAAATAAGTAAAACACACTCATCCAGGCCAGTCATGATGGCTCATGCCTGTAATTCCAACACTTTGGGAGCATGAGGCAGGCAGATTGCTTGAGTCCAGGAGTTCAAGAGCAGCCTGGACAACATAGTGAGTCCCCGTCTCCACACAAAAAAGAAATACACACTCATCGCCGTCAGGTTCCAGCTCTCTTGAGGGAAACAGGCCCACAGGCAAGGAGCTAAGAAACACGGCCAGAGGTAGCAAGTGGACACCAAGGGCTGTGGGAATGCAAAGAGGCAAGAGTGAGTGAAACGGTGCGGCTGTTTTGGAAAACAATCTGACGGTTCCTCAGAAAGTTAAACATAGAGTTACTGTATGACCCAGCAAGTCCACTCCTAGGTGTACATGCAAGAGAACTGAAAACACATGTACACACAAAAACCTGCACACTAATGTTCTTAGCAGCACCATTCATAAGAGCCAGAAGGTGGAAACAACCCAAATGTCCATTAACCAACAAATGGATAAACAAAATGTGGTCTATCTGTACAATTAAATATTTTTCAGCAACAAAAAAGAATGAAGTCACTCTGGGAGGCCAAGGGGGCAGATCATGAGGTCAGGGGATCGAGGCCATCCTGGCCAACATGGTGAAACCCCGTCTCTACTAAAAATACAAAAATTTAGCTGGGCGTGGTGGCGGATGCCTGTGATCCCAGCTACTCATGAGACTGAGGCAGGAGAATGGCGTGAACCCGGGAGGCGGAGTTTGCAGTGAGTCGAGATCGCACCACTGCACTCCAGCCTGGGCTACAGACCGAGGCTGTCTCAAAAAAAAAAAAAAAAGAAAAAGAAAAGAAAAAGAAAAAAGAGTGAAGTTCTTACGCACACTACAATATAAACAAACTGAAAAACATTATGCTAAGAGCAAGAAGCCAGACACATATTGTGTGATTCTGTTCTTTAAAAATGGCCAGAATAGGAAACTGTATAGATGCAGAAAGTAGATTGGTGGTTCCAGGAGCTGGGGCAGCAGGAGGGGGAAGACTGCTTGTGGGTACGAGGTTTCTTTATGGGGAATGAAAATGTTAGAGGCTGGGCACAGTGGCTCATGCCTGTAATCCCAGCACTTTAGGAGGCTGAGGCAGGTGAATCACTTGAGCTCAGGAGTTTGAGAACAGCCTGGGCAACATGGCAAAACCCCGTCTCACAAAAAGTACAAAAATTAGTGGGGCATAGTGGCATGAGCCTGTAGTCTCAGCTACTTGGGAGGCTGAGGTGAGAGAGGATGACTTGAGCCCAGGAGGTGGAGGTTGCAGTGAGCCAAGATTGTGCCACTGCCCTCCAGCCTGGGCAACAGAGCCAGACTCGGTCTTAAAAAAAAAAAAAAAAAAAAGAAGAAAAGAAAAAAGAAAATGTTAGAAAATTTGATAGTGGTGATGGTTGTAAACTTTGTGAATATACAAAAAGCACTAAATTGCATATTTTATTATTTTTTATTTTTTTGAGACAGAGTCTCCCTCACTCTGTCACCCAGGCTGGAGTGCAGTGGCACGATCTCGACTCACTGCAACCTCTGCCTTCCAGGTTCTGTTTTTTTGGTTTTTTTTGAGACGGAGTCTCGCTCTGTTGCCCAGGCTGGAGTGCAGTGGCGCGATCTCAGCTCACTGCAAGCTCCGCCTCCCGGGTTCACACCATTCTCCTGCCTCAGCCTCCTGAGTAGCTGGGACTACTGGCGCCTGCCACCATGCCTGGCTAATTCTTTTGTATTTTTAGTAGAGATGGGGTTTCATCGTGTTCGCCAGGATGGTCTCGATCTCCTGACCTCATGATCCTCCCACCTCAGCCTCCCAAAGTGCTGGGATTACAGGCGTGAGCCACGATGCCTGGCCCTCTGCCTTCCAGGTTCAAGCAATTCTCCTGCCTCAGCCTCCCAAGTAGCTGGGATTACAGGCATCCACCACCAGGCCCAGCTAATTTTTATATTTTTAGTGGAGACAGGGTTTCACCACATTGGCCAGTCTGGTCTTGAACTCCTGACCTCAAGTGATCTGCCCACCTCAGCCTCCCAAAGTGCTGGGATTACAGATGTGAGCCACCACTCCTGGCCTGAACTGCATACTTTAAAAGAGTGAACTTTGCACTAAATGAAATAAATCTCAGTCAAGCTGTTAAAAAAAAAACATTAGCCTGGGCCGGGCATGGTAACTCACGCTTGTAATCCCAGCACTTTGGGAGGCTGAAGAGGGTGGATCACGAGGTCAGGAAATCGAGACCATCCTGGCCAACATGGTGAAACCCTGTCGCTACTAAAAATACAAAAAATTAGCTGGGCGTGGTGGTGGGCACCTGTAGTCCCAGCTACTCAGGAGGCTGAGGCAGGAGAATCGCTTGAACCCGGGAGGCAGAGATTACAGTGAGCCGAGATCGAGCCACTGCACTCCAGCCTGGTGACAGAGTGAGACTCCGTCTCAAAAAAAAAAACAAAAAAAAAACCACAAAAAAATTAGTCTATGTTGAGGATGAACTGAACTCAGACTCAGGTCTTCTAACCCTTCCTTTCAGTTTCCATCTTTCCTAAATTAAATTTTAAAAATTAGAACAGACAATGTGAGAAGGCAAAAGTCAGTGTGTATATTAGAAATTGGGACAGTGCAAAGCATTTCTCAAGCCGACAGCTTGGTCCTGCCTGCACAGTGCAGCCAGTAGGAATCACACATGGGATGGGCAGCCCCGGGGGCACAGGACAGAGCGGCCAGGGCACTGTACCAAGGCACAACTCCCAGGTCCTGGACAGGCCTCCATGTCCCTCCCTGCAACTTCAATCCTTGAGGCAAGAGCCATGCCCAGCCCTTGAGGCTCTGAGATCAAATCCTAACTAGGGAGACACTAGCCTGCAAGACTGCAGTTTTAGTTAGCTTGTCTGCCACAGATTGTGTGGCCTAAACAACAAACATGTATTTCCGACAGTTCTGGGAGTTGTAAGTCTAGGATCAGGGTGCCAGTATGGCTGGGTTCTCCTGAGCACCATTATTCCTGAGAGAGAGAGGAAGCTCTTTTCTGTCTCGTCTTGTAAGGGCACTAATCCCATGCATGAGGGCTCTATCCTCATGACCTAATCACCTCCAGAAGGCCTGTTTCTAAATACCATCACATCAGGACACATGAATTGATGGCGGGGAGTTGGGGGGGGATACGTTCAATCCATAGCAACTGCTTTTAAAAACATTTTACTATGCCACAAATATTTGTTGGGCAGCATGTTCCTATGATTGACAATGTGGCAAAGCATGTGTGGATATTTCTCAGCAAAGATCGCGACTTCTAGGGAACCTCTCTAGAAGGCACAGTGTGTTTTAGGGGAGACACCAACCCCAAGAATGTCTCTGCCAGTGCCACCTGGTTTTGCCCACAATTCAAAGCTTTCCTGGGAGCCGGATGAGGGGCAATGGAACCAGCAGATGCAGGGGTAAAATCTATTCCTTCATTGATAATTCTCAGAGCAATTCTATTCCAGGGTCCTAAATCAGATGAGGTGCCCAGGCTGGGCATGGTGGCTCATGCCTGTAATCCCAGCACTTTGGGAGGCAGAGGTGGGCGGATCACCTGAGCTCAGGAGTTCCAGATGAGCAGCCCAGAGAGAGGGAAGACAGGGAGGAGCCTCCTGCATGCCTTGGTGGCTCTGGAATCCACCAGGGACTATAGACTGTGCATGGTCCTCCAGGCAGTGGTAGCCAGCATGGTTCATGCTCCAGTTCTAGTTCTGCTGGGAACATGCCATGCCATACCTAGCCTCCAGCGTGGACAGACTGGGCTGCTTTGTAGCAAATATCAAGTGAACAAGGAAGGGAAGAACATGGATCTTCGTGGGCAGATGTCTATTAGCAAAAACTGCAATGGGAGGCAGAATTATAAGATGGCCCCAAGATTCTCACCCCTCAGTGCACTCAGTTGCCTAATTTCCTTCCATTGAGTGGGGGCTGTGAATCTGACAGACGTCACTCTTGTGATTAGGCCAAGGCAATAAGATACTCCCCCCCTTCACTGTTCTATAAGACTGCCTCAGCACACGGGAGCGAGATCCTCCTGCTGTGAGAGGGCCACGCCACGGGCCCCTAGCAGTTGAGATGGCCCCCAGCAACAGCCGACAAGAAACTGGGAACCTCAGAGCTCTTTCCTTTAGCTGCTGCTGCAGCCGAAGCCATGAGTATGCGCAGGCTTCAGAAGAGGCTCACCTCTCATGTCCTTTGCTGTGGCAAGGAGAAGGTCTAATTGCACTCCAAGGAGACCAGTGAAATCACCAATGCCACCTCCCATCAGCAGATCCAGAAGCTGATCAAAGATAGGCTGAACATCCACAAGCCTGTGACTGTCCATTTCCGGGCTCGATGCTGGAAAAATGCCTTGGCCTGCTGGAAGGGTGAGTACATGGACATAGGTAAGCTAAAGGGTATGGCCAATGCCTGAATGCCAGAGAAGGTAACTTGGATGAGGAGAATGAGGATTCTGCACGGGCTGCTCAGAAGATCCCATGAAGTTAAGAAGATTGACCACCAAATGTATCCCAGCTTGTACCTGAAGGTGAAAGCAAATGTGTTCAAAACAAGCAGATTCTCATGGAGCACATCCTCATGGAGCACGTCCACGAGCTGAAGGCAGAAAAGGCCCAAAAGAAGCTCCTGGCTGCCCAGGCTGAGGCCCACAGGTCTGAGAACAAGCAAGCACACAAGTGGCTGAAGAGTACACTCAGGCCAAGAAGGAGGTGATATCAAGACTTTGTCCAAGGAGGAAGAGAGAAGCAATAAAAGCTCCCCCTTTCTTGTCTGTACATACTGGCCTCCGTGATTACATAGATCAGCCATTAAAATAAAACAAGACGGCCGGGCACAGTGGCTCACGCCTGTGATCCCAGCACTTTGGAAGGCTGAGGCGGGCGGATCACGAGGTCAGGAGTTTGAGACCAGCCTGACCAACACTGAGGAACCCCATCTCTATTAAAAACACAAAAATTAGCCAGGCTTGGTGGTGCATGCCTGTAATCCCAGCTACTCAGGAGGCTGAAGCAGGAGAATGTCTTGAACCCAGGAGGCGGAGGTTGCAGTGAGCAGAGATCGCCCCATTGCACTCCAGCCTGGGCAACAAGAGCAAAACTCCATCTCAAAAAAAAAAAAAAAAAAAAGCAGGAACCTTATTCTTGCAACAAGACACTGAATTTTGCCAACAACTATGTGAGTTTGAAAGAAGGCTCCGAGCCTTGGAAGAAATTGCAGGCTTGGTCAACACCTTGATTATAGCCTTGTGAGAGTCAGGCTCTCAGAAGACCAAGATACTCGGCTAAGCTATCTTTAGGCAATTGTGAGATAATAAGTGGGTATTGTTTTAAACCAATAGCTTTGCGGTAACTTATTACACAAGAGTAGAAAACTAATACACCTGCTTGGTCAGGCACAGTGGCTCACACCTGTAATCCCAGCACTTTGGGAGGCTGAGGTGGGCAGATCACTTGAACTCAGGAGTTTGAGACCAGCCTGGGCAACATAGACCCCCATCTCTACAAAAAAAATACAAAACTTAGCCAGGCATAGTGTGCACCTGTAGTCCCAGCTACTCTGGAGGCTGAGATGGAAGGATCGCTTGAGCTCAGGTGGTTGAGGTTGTACTGAGCTTTGACTGCACCACTGCACTCCAGCCTGGGTGACAGAGTGAGACCCTGTCTCAAAAAAAAAAAAAAAAAAAAAAAAGAATGAAAAGAAAAGAAAGTCATAGAGCTGGAATCACACTATGTAGCCTTTTCAGAATGGCTTCTTTGCTTATTAATACACATTGAAATTTCCTCCATGTCTCTGACAAAGATTTTTCACATCCTACTTTATGATAGTACATAAATAATAGAAAACAACATTTTGTTTTGTATTAGGAAAATAAACATGTATTGATTTGAGATTTGGTGGGTTTTCCCCCCAGTCGAAACTCAAAAATCCTGCAGATTTAGCAAATTTAGAAGGGATCCCTATTAATTGTGTGAAAGTTGATCATATGAATTGGGTCATTCTTGTCATACCCACCTAAAACAGAGTTGAAAGAGCTGTGGGAAAAAAAGCACTCAGGGCATATAACCCTGATCCAAAAATGTAATTCTCCAGAAGCCTGGCTGCTGAAACTCCCTGCTGTAACTTGAAACAAGTTTTATTTAATGGCTGCTGACAGGACACACTGCAACTCTAAAACTAGTTTTGTAACTGAACAGCCTGGCCTGAAAAAGTTTTTTTCCTTTTTCTCATTTTTCCCTAGTCTTGTGATATAACCTTGAACCTTACTGCAGAATCTTTTCTTCTCATTAGTCTTAAAATACAGCCTTGAAATGTACTTTCTTTGAAATACCATGTCCACCGCTTCTCACCATACACTCCCTTAGACCATGCACATTTGTCTAATTGTATGCTAGTATCTAATTATGTGCTTACTTAGAAGTTCCTGGGGATAATCTTGAGACAGACTTGGTAGGCATAGGGACCTATCTGCAAAATTCCAGAGATTACTTCAAGGCAGTTAGTCAACCACCAGGCCATTACTGAGATGCAGCTAGCCCACACTCCAGGTGGACCATGGCTTGAGACAGCCACCAGAACAAGACACGCAGACCTAGTACTCAGCACCCCTCCTGCACACCTCCCAGTCCAAGTTCACATCCTTGGACTCAAAAACTCCGTTTTGAGCGAAACTCCGTCTCAAAAAACAAACAAAAACCAAAACAAAAGAGTTCTGTGAGACCTTCACTTTTTTCACCATCCGATATTTCCCAAACACGATTCTGCCACCATTTTTGAATGACTACATAGTCATTATAATGGCAGCAGTGGCTGATCTGGAGGGGCCGCTGTGATGATGCCGGCTGCAAATGGGGAGGCACGGCCAGGGCTGCATGCTCCGTGGAGCCCACGGGGACTGGGAACAGGTGATCCCAGTGGGAGCCTCGAGCCATACCGAGTTGTCAGGACGGGAGCCCTGTGCTCCCAGGCGCAGCTGCAGCCACCTAGTCGTGGCTCCAGACAGGGCATCCCTGCACTCTTGGGGACCTGGGAAGCACCCTTTTCCCACAGGCCCAGAAGTGCCTGCTCCCACTCCCTGGCCTCTCCCCACTCTCAGCACCTGCTCCACGGCAGAGCAAAGTTGTGGACATGTCAAGATAGCCAAACCTGGGCGCTATCACAACCCAGCCAAATGTGTGTGCCCTCGGGGCAGTGACGACATGCCAGCCCCCCACCATCTCGATTTCCTCCAGAAACTGCTTTTGAGGCTGAAACTTTGGGCACCAAGAAGCATGGGAAGGAGGCCGGGTGGTGGGAGGGGGGCGGCTGAGAGTGGCTCGGGGCAGGCCTGCGGGCAACCTTCAGCATGGACAGCCTGGGCGTCATGGACAGCATGTTGATGGCCATGAAAGGCAGACAGGTTCCTACGTGGGAAGGGGTGGGTTTTCTGTGAAACCCCACCTTCAAGCCACGAATGGCCTGAAGCCTGGAGGCCACGCTGCCAGTTCCAGGTGGAGTCTGTGACCCAGAGAGAGAAATTCCTTGACGCCTTTCGGCCAATGGTATGGTGTTTTTCCCAGGCCCGCCCATGACTGCCCATGGGCCAATCAGCATGCACTTCCTACCACCCATGGACCAATGAGCACACACTTTCTCCATTCTGAGCCCATAAAAAACCTGTAGACTCAGCCAGACTCAGACATCGGAGACTATCTGTATGCAGGTGTGAGCTACTCCCTTCAGGTTTCCTGAGGGCTGTTGGGTTGTCCAATAAAACCCTTCTCTGCCTTGCTCACCCTCCAGTTGTCTGCATAACCTCATTCTTCCTGGACGTGGGATAAGAACTTGGGGGACAAGAACTTGGGACCTAACGAACAGCAGGAGAGAAAGGGGCTGTAACACATTCCTGGCTGAGTAGCCATGCTTCTGGGCTGCATGAGTGAAAAATGGCGACTCTTCTGGAGGCCCAGACTTTGGGATTCCCCGAGCCAGAGCTGTAACACTATAGCCCTCCTGCCCTCAGCCAGCACTGGGTGGCCGCCCCCCACGATGGGAAGCAGCAGCGAGCCAGAGCAGGGCAGCGGGACTGAAAGAGCTATATCACAAACAAGCTGAAAACACACCCCACCCAAAACACACCTCCCCGCTTGCCAGGCTGCAAGCAACGGGAAGGAGAGAAGAGCTGTGGCTCTTCCGGGAGCCCAGGCCTCGAGACTCCGGAGCCAGGGCTGTGACATGCTGCAACACCCTCTTTGGGGTTCTGCTGTTCTTGGTGTCTCCGAGCTTTCCGGCGCCACCATTTTTCCCTCGTCTAGATGCTGGTGCCTGCAGCAGAAGCCGCCTGCAGTATGTCTGGTCCAGTCGCAGACTTGCAAGGAGCCGGCGCCTGTGCCAGCGCCTGGAGCTGCCCGCCCCGCCGCAGCAGCCAGCGTGCCTGGCTGTGTGCACTGGCTGGACCCTTCACTTGCTCGCTCACACACCCCTTGCGGCTCCGCGCCTGGCTCGCCCTTGGTAGGTGTGGGATCCAGGTGCAGCCTGCTGGGCCGAGTGGGTGGAACAAGCCCAGCGGGTGTGAGCAAAACTCAAGCAGAGGCGCGACCACAGAGGTTTCTGGCTGGCGAAGCGACACCCATTATTAGTAGCTTTCTGTAATTTGTATTTTACAATTCTTTTTCTGATATCGTATCAATTTTTTATGCAGAACAGCCCTATAATAATGGGGGCAAAGGGCCGGGCACAGTGGCTCACGCCTGTAATCCCAGCACTTTGGGAGGCCGAGGTGGGTGGATCACCTGAGGTCAGGAGTTCGAGACCAGCCTGGCCAATATGGCGAAACTCCGTCTCTACTAAAAATACAAATACAAAAAAAAAAAAAAAAAAAAAAGATTAGCCGGGTACGGTGGCGGGCGCCTGTAATTCCAGCTACTTGGGAAGCTGAGGCAGGAGAATCGCTTGAACCCGGGAGACAGAGGTTGTGGTGAGCCGAGATCGCACCATTGCACTCCAGCCTGGGCAACAAGAGCGTAACTAATGGGGGCAAAGATAATCATTTCAGCGTTGAGAAGAGATCTTGAATTTAAGATACACCCTACATTTGGGATTCAGAGCACCCTTTGTTCCACCTGTTAATGCTCTAGCTAGCCATCATGCCTTTTCAAAATACCATTCCTTTTGTTGTTCTCTTTCTGAGCTTGATGTCAAATTATTAAAAAGAAGTGAATATAAAGGCATGGAGAAAGTGAGATTAGATTCATGCAAGTGTTGCTTAGTGAATTGGACACAATGTTTGACTACACAGGCACGAGAGGGACCCAGAGACAGGGATCTACTTATGTCCTGCTGCTGCAGGGTGCCTCCGCATCCCACCTTCATCCTCTTTGTCATGAACCTGTGTGGAGTGTTTTTTTTCTTGTCCCTAATCAAACATACAGAGACTGAGAAAACTGACTCCAGTGCTTGAGTGCATGCGTTTGAATTGCAACATAGTCTTTTTTTTTTTTTTTTTTTTTTTTTTTTTTTGAGACAGTGGCTCGCTCTTTCCCCCAGGCTGGAGTGCAGTGGCGCGATCTCGGCTCACTGCAAGCTCTGCCTCCCGGGTTCAAGCTATTTTCCTGCCTCAGCCTCCGGAGTAGCTGGGGACTACAGGCGCCCGCCACCACACCCAGCTAATTTTTCTTTTTTTTTTTTTTTTTGTGGTATTTTTTGTATTTTAGAGACGGGGTTTCGCTGAGTTAGCCAGGATGGTCTCGATCTCCTGACCTCGTGATCCGCCCGCCTCGACCTCCCAAAGTGCTGGAATTACAGGCGTGAGCCACCGCGCCCGGCCGCAACATAGTCATATTTATTTGCTTTCTCAACCAGTGGATATATTTTGTGACTGACTGACTGTATGTAATAATATGTGCATCTGGATATGTGCCTCTGGGAACACATGAAATGACACGTCTCCAAACAAACACTGGCAGACAGCAATCGGTAGAAACCTGGGTACGTCTCCTTTAAGAAAGAACGAAGCCT
Source organism: Homo sapiens (assembly GCF_000001405.40). NCBI lineage: Eukaryota > Metazoa > Chordata > Mammalia > Primates > Hominidae > Homo > Homo sapiens. The sequence continues at coordinate 57,947,916 of NC_000019.10, read as the reverse complement.
CGCCTCCGCCCCAACCTGGAGTGTCCATTTCCCAGCGCCCCCTACAGGGGTTTGGCCTTTACTTCCGGAAGGAGGTGGAGGCGACCCTCACTCTCCCGCCGTGCGCCTGTGGGAACATTACCCAGAATGGCCTGCGTTGGGCGACGGCGACCTTCAGCCAATGAGGCCTCCGAAAGGTGGTGTTTCCGTAAGCGCACGCGCGGTCGCGGCGGGACTTCCGTTGTCCTCCTTGTGGCGGTCGTTTTGGCATTTGTCTGGACTGATTACTTGGTAGAAAGCCCCGGAGCGCTGGGTCAGCATCATCCGTGACTGACTGAGAAGGCGCGAGAGGAGTCTTCCCCGCTGCACAGAGGCGTGGCTGAGGCTCGGCGGCGCCCAGGGTACCCAGGCCCGGCCCGGAATAAGGACATCCTCTCTGGCCCCGCTCCGCTCACAGAGTCAGATGGCGGCGGCCGAGCTGACGGCCCCGGCCCAGGTATGTGCCGCGTCCTCTGGGCCTTCCCCGCCCTCCCCACGCTAGTCCTAGCACCCCCGAGGGCGCTTGCTCGCGGCCCTGCTGCCCAGGACAGGACACGGGGGCTCGCCGGAGGGGCTCCCGTTTCCAACACCTGGTGTGCTAGGGAAGGGAGGGCGCGACTGGCAAGGAGCCCCTGATGAGAGGCGCCACTGAGCCCTGGGGCACAGAGGTGACACAGCCATTGCGAGGGCACCCGGCTCCAAGGCCAGGCATGGGGCTACGGGGTGGCTTGAGCCCATCTAATACCGCCATAGATGCTCTTCTCTGAGGCCTGGCTCTTTCTACGTTTCCCTTGGCTGTAAAGGGTTATGAAATCTACGCCAGGAAGGGGAGGGTTTCCCAGTCTCTCACTAGCCCTAACTCCCACCCACAGGTTCTCTGGGTTGTGGAGTGCCATTCCCCCAGCCCTTAGTTCTGAAGACCTTGGGTGAACCCCAAGCCCAGGGTCCTATGTCCATGTTAGCCGGTATATAGAGTTGTTCCAATTTCTGGCAGCCATGTGAACGGGTGTGGAAAGTTTTTCCAGAAAGGTACAAGATGTGCAAATGCTTAGGTGCAGTACGGAGCTGGGTGCATTTATGAAGCCACAAGTCTCCTTGCTTTCTGGTGGGAAGCAAAGAACAGGAGGATAGGCGTCAGGACTGCAGTGGCTGCCTGAGAAGTTGAGTGTGTTTTCAGGAGGTAATAGCAAGTTTGAATCAGAAAAAAGAGGTAATTTACCAAGGTCTTCACAGGCTTCATCTGTGTGCACAGTGGGGCACAAACTGGGGGGTTGAGGGAGGAGGAAGGAAAATCAGGGTAGACTAGTCCAAGTGAGGGTTACTGGCCCAGGATCGTGATTTAGGAGATGTGGTTAGATTCCGGATGTGTGGTTTCAAAAGGGACAACTAAATTACATAATGTAGGTGGTGAGGGAGTGAAACAGAGGGTTCAGAGAAGACTCCAGGGTTTTTGGTATTAGCAGCTGTAGGGAAAGAAGTTTCATCAACTAAGATGAACAAATTGGCAATAGGAGTAATATTCACTAGGGATATCAGGTTTGTTTATGCCATGCTAAGAGTCAGATCTTTCAGAGCCTACTAAATGGAGGCGTTAAGTGGGCAGATGAACGTGCCGGTCTTGAAATCTAGGGAGTGGTTCAGGGTGCAGATATTCAAGATGTGGCTGTTGTGCGCACCAAGGTTAGTGAGCTGTGGGTCACAGTTAGGCGGGGCAAGCTCCAGGTTTTGGTTGTAAAGCTGTTAGTGGGCCAAGACTGGGAGGATGATGATAGAGTAAGTGGTCATGAAGGCAAGGTATGTAAAAGACAGTGTAGTTTGGCAGTGGCCACGGCTCCCAAGAGAAGAATGGACATGAGATGGATGCAAACGCATAGGACACTCAGGCCAAAACTCGTGCTTATTCACCACTTTATGGGTATCCAGGATTTTGTGATAACTTGATGGGGCCTGGGTGTTTCATTCAGGCTGGAAGATTAAGTTAGTGTCATGTGGTCATTTGTGAGAGTCATTGTGTGTGAGATGAACGACCAGTGAGGCTGGGATTTAAATGAGCTTTAGGTGGATATATGACTCTCAAGGGGATGGTAAGTGCAGCACAGAAGTGGAATAGGGCCATGGTTATCTGTGATTCACCTGTGGTTCTGTGTGGCTATGTCTGAGGCAAGGAATACAGCCTGGCAGGGAGGCCTTCAAAGAAATTTTTGAGGCTGCTTCCACTAGTGTAAGCTGTGGGAAGTCTGGGATTTTGGATCCTGTTTATATCCACACTCTGGATGCTGCCTGCCAAGTTGCGGTATAAGGCCGGAAATTAAGGCCCAGTATGATATGTCGCCTTGACATCTGATGAAAACGATACAGCCTTAGATGGCCTGAGAACAAATTCCCCTTCCCACTTTGCTCCCATGAATAAGCTCTCTTAGCCAAATGAACCCTTCTTATCCATTCTTATCCAGGGAACCAGAACAGTTCCTGCTTATTACTTTGTAGTGGGTTTCAGTTCCCTATCAATTTTTTGAGTTATTCAAACAAGCCAGTCCCCTCCTCTGGGGACCAGTGGAGCTTCTCCATCTTGATGCTACAAAACTTACATTCTACAGCACCTGGTTGTTACTCTTTTCTGGAGTACTACCTCCGTATGGCCCTGTGTGGAGTGTGGTATTCTTTCACAGGCTATGAGTATTTGTCTTTAATTAATAAGCTGTTCAGCCAGGCGTGGTGGCTCACGCCTGTAATCCCAGCACTTTGGGAGGCCGAGGCGGGCAGCTCACAAGGTCAGGAGATCAAGACCATCCTGGCTAACACGGTGAAACCCCTTCTCTACTAAAAATATAAAAAATTAGCCAGGCGTGATGGCGGGTGCCTGTAGTCCCAGCTACTTGGGAGGCTAAGGTAGGAGAATGGCATGAACCCAGGAGGTGGAGCTTGCCCCACTGCACTCCAGCCTGGGCGACAGAGCAAGATTTCGTCTCAAAAAAAAAAAAAAAATTAATAAACTGTTGATCTCATTTGTCCAATGTCACGTGTCTTATATTTGGCTGTTGGTTATCCACTCTTTTTTTTTGTTCTTTGAGACGCAGTCTCGCTGTGTCACCACGCTGGAGTGCAGTGGCGTGATCTCGGCTCATTGCAACCTCCACCTCTCCACCTCCTGGGTTCTAGTGATTCTCCTGCCTCAGCCTCCTGAGTAGCTGGTACTACAGCCGTGTGCCACCACGCCTGGCTGATCTTTTGTATTTTTAGTAGAGATGGGGTTTCACCCTGTTAGCCAGGATGGTCTCCATCTCTTGACCTCGTGATCCGCCCACCTCGGCCTCCCAAAGTGCTGGGATTACAGGCATGAGCCACTGCACCCGGCCCAGGTTATCTACTCTTTCACTCAGGTAGCATGTGGGGAAGCCAGGATTTGCCTGTGGTATAGGACGTAGTGGTGGTCATGGTCATGTGGCAGTGGGATCTGGAGACCTGAGGTATGTGCAGTGTAATGAATGATATGCACTTGGAGAGGGAGTGTGCCTGATGGCCCCAGTGTCCTGATTGAGACTTACATGACCTTGGTCATATGAGAGGAATGCTTGTCAGGAAGGAGTGGTTGCCCTTATGCCACGCCCACAGCTTAGATACATGTATTTGTTCACCTGCCTCTTGTTACTGATGGCTGCAACCAGTGACCAAGAGCCCCATTAGGAGACAACAGCACCAGCTGACTGCTTTCTCCTCTGAGCTGGGGAGCTTGGAGAGCTTGGAAAGAGGATGAGCATGGGGTAAATGTGTGAGGGGAAGGATTATGGATCCTGAGAGGAGGAACCGTTTGTGGTTTCATGTGTCCCCATCCTGGCAGGGCATTGTGACCTTTGAGGACGTGGCTGTTTACTTCTCCTGGAAGGAGTGGGGTCTTCTTGATGAGGCTCAGAAATGCCTGTACCACGATGTGATGCTGGAGAACTTGACACTTACAACCTCCCTGGGTAAGGTCCTCACACCCACCTCTATGCCCCGAGCTAGCCTTTGCTCTTACCCTTTCCCCAGAGTCAGATGTGTCTTCACAAGAGGACTATTGACACAGCTTCCTGTTCCTGGGCAGGTGCTGCGGTTGGTAGGGCTAAGGTTGTATGTTGCCTGCTTTTCTCCTTGAGCAAGCAACACCTGCTTCCCTTTCATGTGGAAAGATTCAGAGTTAGGCTTCTTATAGTCGGCCTCATGGATCTCACCTCGTTTGCCTCTCCTGGCCAGGTGACATTGTCCAGATTCGAGGCTCCTCAAGGCCCAGGTTCTACTTCCTTCCTCTAGGGGACACTTCCTCATGCCTGCCTCTGCCAGCAATTATCATCACTGACATTGTCACCACTTATGTGGACTACGAGTGGCTCTTGCAAAATCCTCCTCTGAATTTCTCCTTGTATTATTATTTTTTTTCCTGTAGGCTATCATGTGCAGAGTCATTCTGGGCTGGTCTTGGGTGCTTGCATATTCCAAGTTCCGTGTTCTTGATTGTAGGGGTCAGATGGACAGGCCCTGTGGTTCTGAGGATGGCTGTGATTCCCCACAGCAAGATGGACTCAGAGGGAGCCTGGCCCTAGGGACTAACACCTAAAGGAGGACATTCTATAAGGGTTATGTTCACATCATACCAGAAACATATCCTGTTTGACTAATATTTTGGTGCTAATGACATTTGGGGCCAAACCTCATTACTGCCTTTTCTTTCCCATTCTTGATACTTAGCTTGCTTGTCAGCTGTCCACCTGGTTACTACGTCTCTTACTTCCAGCCTGGGGTTAATCCCCACATCTCTGGACTCCATGTTTCACCCATTTTTCTCACTGCCTTATCTGCAGTGCTCTTCAGTGTTGGCCTCTACATAATATGTTATGAGGTGTCCACGTATGTCAGCCGCTATTTTGTTGTCACATTTTCTTGGGCCTGGACACATACCTGTACACAATGCATGTGTTAGCAGGACAGCAGATCTCACTGAAAATTGTTCTAGAGGAATGAGTTGTATATCCTGCCTCTTCTCCATGTTTCTCATCCCATGGCTGTGTTTTTTAACTCATGAGCCCTTCCCAGTTCTGTGATCTTTAGAGGCCCAGTTCTGCTAGGCAGCCCTATCTTCAACTTGAACCCAACACCTTGGTCCTGAAAACAACCCCATGGACTCAGTTCCTGGGTTTGTTGGATGCACATTTGTCTGTGGGCTACCTCCACTCCACTAAAGTCAGCATGCTCTTCACCAGCATTTTCTTTCTTTCAGGTGGTTCTGGAGCAGGGGATGAGGAGGCACCTTATCAGCAGAGCACTTCTCCACAGCGGGTGTCACAGGTTAGGATTCCTAAGGCCCTTCCTTCTCCCCAGAAGACCAACCCCTGTGAGATATGTGGCCCAGTCTTGAGACAGATTTTGCACTTGGTTGAACACCAAGGAACACACCATGGTCAGAAACTGTATACAGACGGGGCATGTAGGAAACAATTACAATTTACTGCATACCTTCATCAGCACCAGAAGCAGCATGTTGGACAGAAACACTTCAGAAGCAATGGGGGCAGAGACATGTTTTTGAGCAGCTGCACATTTGAAGTATCTGGGAAGCCCTTCACTTGCAAGGAGGTTGGGAAGGATTTCCTGGTGAGATCAAGATTTCTTCAGCAACAGGCTGCTCACACCAGAAAGAAGTCAAACAGAACCAAGAGTGCAGTGGCCTTTCACAGTGTAAAAAATCATTACAACTGGGGAGAATGTGTGAAAGCTTTCAGCTACAAACATGTACGTGTTCAGCACCAGGGAGACCTCATTAGGGAAAGATCTTACATGTGCAGTGAATGTGGGAAATCTTTTAGCACAAGCTGTAGCCTCAGTGATCATTTGAGAGTTCACACTTCAGAAAAGCCTTATACATGTGGAGAATGTGGGAAATCCTATAGGCAAAGCTCTAGCCTTATTACGCACCGAAGAATTCACACTGGAGTAAGACCTCATCAATGTGATGAATGTGGAAAATTATTTAACAGGAAGTATGACCTTCTTATACATCAGAGAGTTCATACTGGAGAAAGGCCTTACAAGTGCAGTGAATGTGGGAAATCCTTTAGCCATAGCTCTAGCCTCATTACACACCAGAGAATTCATACTGGAATGAGGCCTTATGAGTGCAGTGAATGTGGGAAATCTTTTATCCATAGTTCTAGCCTTATTACACACCAGAGAGTTCACACTGGTACAAGGCCTTATATGTGCAGTGAATGTGGGAAATCCTTTAGCCAGAGCTGTCACCTCATTAAACACCGGAGACTTCACATTGGAGAAGGGCCTTATGAGTGTAGTGAATGTGGGAAATTGTTTACTTATAGATCTCGTTTCTTCCAACACCAGAGAGTTCATACTGGAGTAAGATCTCATGAATGTCATGAATGTGGAAAATTATTTAGCAGGAAATTTGACCTCATTGTACATGAGAGAGTTCACACAGGAGAAAGGCCATATGAGTGCAGTGAATGTGGAAAATCCTTTACCTGTAAATCCTACCTCATCTCACACTGGAAAGTTCATACTGGAGCAAGGCCTTATGAATGTGGGGAGTGTGGGAAATCATTTACTCATAGCTCTACGCTCCTTCAACACCAGAGAGTTCACACTGGAGAAAGGCCTTATGAGTGCAATGAATGTGGGAAGTTTTTTAGCCAGAGCTCCAGCCTCATTAGACATAGGAGAAGTCACACCGGAGAAAGGCCTTATGAGTGCAGTGAGTGTTGGAAATCCTTTAGTAACCACTCTAGCCTCGTTAAACACCGAAGAGTTCATACCGGAGAAAGGCCTTATGAATGCAGTGAATGTGGAAAATCCTTTAGCCAGAGCTCTAACCTCACTAATCACCAGCGAATTCACAGTGGGGAAAGGCCTTATGAGTGTAGTGACTGTGGAAAATTTTTTACCTTCAACTCCAACCTCCTAAAACATCAGAACGTTCACAAGGGATAAAGGTTAGGTAACACACATAGGGCTGTTACGGACTGAGAAGTGTCCCTGCAAAATTCACAGACATAAATAAATAAATACGTATTTTCAATAACCATGTTTTATATTTAGTATATGTTCTCTGAATTTTGTTTTATACAAATAAGTTTATATGTGTACATACTACTTTGTCTCATATCCACACAGAAAACCAAATGGTTTCTTTTTTTAAAAAAATTCTTTGTGTTTAAATGGACAAATTATAATTGTACATGTTCCTGGAGTACATAGTGATGTTTTGATACCTATAACTTAGAGTGATCAGAGTAATTAGCATATCCATCACCTCAAACATTCGTCATTCCTTTATATTGGGAACAGTCAGTCTCAATTGCCATTCTCCTAACAACTTGAAATTATATATTATTAACTTTAGTTCTCCTGTAGTGGTATAGAACACTAGAACTTATTCCTCCTGTCTAGTTGTAATTTTGTAGCTTGTAACCAATCTTTGTCTATTCCTGCCTACCCACTACCCTTCCCAGCCTCTAGTATCCTCTGTTCTACTTTTTACTTCTAAGAGATCAACTTTTTTTTGTGGGGGTGGGGGACAGTCTTGCTTTGTCTCCCAGGCTTTTTTTTTTTTTTTTTTTTTTTTTTTTTTTGAGATGGAGTTTCACTCTTTTTGCCCAGGCTGGAGTGCAGTGGCATGATCTTGGCTCACCGCAGCCTCTGCCTCCTGGGTTCAAGCGATTCTCCTGCCTCAGCCTCCTGAGTAGCTGGGATTACAGGCATGCACCACCACCCCGGCTAATTTTGTATTTTTAGTAGAGACAGGGTTTCTCCATGTTGGTCAGGCTAGTCTTGAACTCCCGACCTCAGGTGATCCACCCGCCTCAGCCTCCCAAAGTGCTGGGATTACAGGCGTGAGCCACCGCACCCAGCTTTTTTTTTTTTTTTTTAAAGCTTCCACATATGAGTGGGAATGTGCATGTTTATGTTCCTGGCTTATTTCACTTAAATAATGTCCTCCATTTCCATCCATGTTGCCTCAGGTGATAGGATTTCATTCTGTTCTTTGAATAGTATTCCTTTGTGTGTATAAACCACATTTTCTTTATCCATTTATCTGTTGTTGGACATCTAGGTTGATTCCATATTTTGGCTATTGTGAATAGTGCTGCAGTAAACGGGGTGTAGATGTGTCTCCAATGTGATGATTTTCTTTCCTTTGGATAAATTCCCAGTAGGGGGATTGCTGGATGATATGGTAGTTGTGTTTGTAGTTTTTTGTTTTGTTTTGTTTTGTTTTTTGAGACAGAGTCTCACTCTGTTATCCAGGCTGGAGTGCAGTGGTGTGATCTTGGCTCACTGCAACCTCCGCCTCCCAGGTTCAAGCAATTCTCCTGCCTCAGCCTCCTGAGTAGCTGGGATTACAGGTGCGTGCCACCACCCCTGCTAATTTTTGTATTTTTAGAAGAGACGGGGTTTCACCATGTTGGTTAGGGTGTTCTCGAACTCCTGACCTCGTGATCCGCCTGCCTCAGCCTCCCAAAGTGCTGGGATTACAGGCGTGAGCCATCGCGCCTGGCATATTTGTAGTTTTTAGAGGGACCTCAATACTGTTCTCCATAATGGCTGTACTGGTTTGCATTTGCACCACCAGTGCATGAGTTCCCTTTTCTTGTATTTTGTTGGGTTTTTTTTTTTTTTTGAGATGGAGTCTTTCTCTGTCGCCCAGGCTGGAGTGCAGTGGCATGATCTTGGCTCACTGCAACCTCCGTCTCCCGGGTTCAAGCTATTCTCCTGCCTCAGTCTCCTGAGTAGCTGGGATTATAGGCACGCACCACCACGCCTGGCTAATTTTTGCATTTTTAGTAGAGACAGGGTTTCACCACGTTGGTCAGGCAGTCTCGAACTCCTGACCTCGTGATCCACCCAGCTCGGCCTCCCAAAGTGCTGGGATTACAGATGTGAGCCACCGCACCTGGCCATTAGTTCCCTTTTCTCTGCATCCTTGCCAGCGTCTGTTTTTGTCTTTTTGATAATAATTATCCTAAACGGGGAGAGTGATACCTCATTGCGGTTTTGATTTGCATTTCCCAGATAGTGATGAGTGTGTTTTAATATATTTTTGACCGTTTGTATGTTGTCTTTTGAAAAATGCCTATTCAGATCGTTTGACATTTTTAAATTGGATTGTTTGAGGGTTTCTTTGCTGTTGAAATACTTCAGTTGCTTGTGTATTGTATTCTGGCTCTATTTTTTTTTGAGACGGAGTTGCTCTGTTGTCCACGCTGGAGTGCAGTGGCACGATTTCAGCTCACTGCAACCTCTGCCTCCCGGGTTCAAGCAATTCTCCTGCCTCAGCCTCCCGAGTAGCTGGGATTACAGATGTGCGCCACCACACCCACCTAATTTTTGTATTTTTAGTAGAGACGGGTTTTTGCCATGTTGGCTAGGCTGGTCTCAAACTCCTGACCTCAAGTGATCTGCCCACCTTAGGCTCCCAAAGTGCTGGGATTGCAGGCATGGCCACTGCATCTGGCCTCTTTCTTGATTCTTGATTACACTGTCACTGAGTGGGTTCTACATCAGAAAAAGATGAATAGGCCAGGTGTAGTGGCCGAATCCTATAATGCCAGCACTTAGGGAGGCCGAGGCAGGAGGATTGCTTGAACTCAGGAGTTTGATACCAGCCTGGGCAACATGGCAAAACCACATCTCTCAAAAATTAGCTGGTTGTGGTGGTGCATGCCTATAGTCCCAATTACTCCTGAATGCTGAGATGGGAGGATCACTTGAGCCTGAGAGGTTGAGACTGCAGTTGAGCCTTGATCATGCCACTGCGCTTCAGCCTTGGCAACAGAGTGAGACGCTGTCTCAAAAAGGGGAGAAAAAAATAGAATGTGGAGATAAGCAGATTTCAAATGTGAAGTGAAAAAGAAGCTTTTCATTGTTCAAACCATATTGCTAAGTGAGAAAAAGTACAGATGTGTATAGAATCTATGACTTTTTTCCTATAAGATGAAAAACTTGTAACATAATTGACACACAGAATAATGAAGAAAGGGAGACACAATTCTATGAGGATAATACTATACTGCAGATTTCACCTTCTGTTTTTACTTATTCATTAAATTATTTATTTGGAGACAGAGTCTTGCTCTGCTGCCCAGGCTGGCCTCAAACTCCTTTGCAGAAGTGATCCTCCCTCTAAGCCTCCCAAGTAGGTAGGTGAACAGGCACAATTTTTCTCCACCTTGGTATTGTTCAATGTTTTTAATAAAGAAAAAAAAATCTCAATGACAAAACCAACAAGGGGGACATTTTTAATCACATGCTGACCTTAATTCCATCTCTTCGTAGACATCACTGTTAAAACTTCTGGGCCGGGCGAGGTGGCTCACACCTGTAGTCCCAGCACTTTGGGAGGCCACCTCGGGTGGATCACCTGAGGTGAGGAGTTTGCGGCCAGCCTGGCCAAAATGGTGAAACCTTGTGTCTACTGAAAATACAAAAATTAGCTGAGTGTGGTGGCAGGCACCTGTAATCCCAGCTACTTGGGAGGCTGAGGCAGGAGAATGAATTGCTTGACCCAGGAGGAGGAGGTTGCAGTGAGCTGAAACTGTGCCATTGTACTCCAGCCTGGACAACAAGAGTGAAACTCCTTCTCAAAACAAACAAACAAACAAACAAACACCTGTAAAGTCAGCTGGGAGCAGTGACTTATGCCTGTAATGTCAGCATTGTGGGAGAAGGAGGCAGGCAGGTCAGAGGTCAAGAGTTTGAGACCAGTCTGGCCAACATGGTGAAACCTTGTCTCTACTAAAAATACAAAAATTAGCTGGGCGTGGTGGCAGGCATCTGTTATCCCAGCTACTTGGGAGACTGAGGCAGGAGAATCGCTTGAACCCGGGAGGTGGAGGTTGCAGTGAGCCAAGATGGCGCCACTGCACTCCAGTCTGGGACAGAACGAGACTTTGTCTCAAAAAAAAAAAAAAAAAAAAAGAAAGAAAAACTTCTGTGAAGTGTAAATTTTTTTCACCATCCACTCATGTTTCAATTGACCTATTTCTGTCATCGCAGTTATTAGATAGTCGTTGGTAATAAGTTTCTGTAACTGGCATTTCACCTGTTTTTCTGGTATCATATTAGTTCCTCATGCAGAACACTCCCCGCTGTCACAAGAGAAACAAATGATAATCACTTCCCAGGAAAGATAACAAGCTCGATAATTTAACATACGCCTAGTGTCTCCAGGTGGAGATTATCACCACCATTACCAATACCAAGCTGAGATTTCTCTTTCATTGTTCTTTACCTGAGACTGACTTCAAGTTCCTAAAATGAGTTGAAAATATAAGTTAGAATACCAAGTAAGGGATATTACATGAATAAATGTTTTGCTGAATGAATTGGACACAATAATTGACTATATAAGCAGGAGAGTTGTTTTTCCATGGGAACGACTGATTGACCTTTGTACTCTTTCTTTAGCCTCTCCTCTATCTTCCTTGGCATGGTCCTATCTGGATTAGTTCTCTTTTGTCCCTGGCAGACTGAAAAACCAACTCTAATGCCTCAGAGTGAGGCAGGAGAATAGGGAATTAGGGTAACCAAGAATGAAGGCATAAGCAAAAGAACAGCAGGTGCAGCTAGTTCTAGGCAAGATGAGGCAGCACACAGGCCACGTCCTCACTCCTGTGGTAACAAGACAGAAGTCTCCACTTCAGCCTCTGATTGGTTGTGCACCAGTCCTTCATAGGATTGGAGGCCTTTAAAGAACTCTTGGGGTATTATAAAATTCTAGCTTATTCATGGCAAAAACCGCAATTACTTTTGCACCAACCTAATAAAACCCTAAAAAACATTGTAATCGGGGTTCTTGAGCCGCTTGGTCGCCTGCTCCCACACCTACATTCCACTTCTGTGGAGTGTACTTTCCCCTCAATAAATCTGCGCTTTCATTGGTCCGTTCTTTCGTTGCTTTTTTTGTGTGTTTTGTTCACTTCTTTGTTCAATGCGCCAACAACTGGACAACTCACAGCCAAGACATTCTATCCGGTAACAAGAGTGCATTCATGTGAATTATAACAGAGTAATGTTTATCAGCCTCTGCTTCCAGTGCAAGCATTCTGTGTCTAAACGATTGTATAAAGTGATACACGAATTTGGATTTGTAGCCTTTGGGGGCCTTCACAGTATTTTTAGCGCCTGGGAGCTTGAATTTACAGAAATGTGAATTAATATTTTTGCAAACACTTAGGTGGTCAGTTACAAACAGGGATTCCCCAGGAATCTCAATATGGCCTCTAAGGAGGGGCGAGACCATCCTCTGCCCTAAAAGGGTACGCGCTTTAATGAACCCCCTGAGGTAGGGCTGGGACTTCCCTGCAGAAGCGCCTTTGGGAAGCGGCAGCTTTACTACCTTGGAACCTGGGGAACTACATTACCCAGAAAGCTCTACATTGAATGACAGCGCAACAGAACCAGTAAGGGCTCAGAATAAAGGCGTTTCTGTGTGCGCACGTAACGTAGTGGCGGGATTCTCAGCGTTCTCTGGTAGCGACCATTTTGGTTAATGTTGGGTGTGTTTCTGCGGTTTGTGAGGTGAGAGGCGCTGGAGCTATGGGTCCGAACCGCGGTGTCTGAACCCAGAAGGTGAAGAGTCCTTCTTGCTGCACAGAGGCAGATCTTAGGCCCCGTAACGGCGCCCGCCGCTCCCGGCAGTGCTTTCCCCGCGTACTCGGGATGGCGGCGGCCGCGCTGAGGCTCCCGGCTCAGGTAATTGTGCCTTCCCTGCCCTCAGGTCACCTCATCCTAACCCGAATCCTGAAGCAGCGAGAGAGCGGCGACTGTTCACAGGTCTGCAGCCCGGACCCGGCGTCGGGACACTGAGGCGTTCGCGGGAGAGGTCCTTGTTTCTGACACCTGTGGGATGCGGTGGGGAGAGCGACAGGCACAGGGACCGGCGCGGGCTATGGCCTGGAGGACAGACCCGGGAGGATGGAACCTGGGGTCCACAGGCGCCTGTAGGGAACAACGTGTGAGGCGAAGCTTCTCCTGGAAGAGCAGGCTGGGGGCTGTGTATTCGCTGTGAAGACGCTAGAAGCCATGGAGAGTTTCGAAGAAAGGAGGGATGCGATCCAAGTCCAGGCTTTTAAGGTTTCCCAAAGGCCAAAGGAAGAACATAGTAGAGGAGATGAGGACCTTAGGGTTCTGGGAGGTTGACTCCTTTGTTGATAGATCACATAGGTGGTAGAGATGACATTTTGCACTGAGACACGCAGGTCAACCAGTCTGAGGTCACCTGGCTCCAGCGATAAGAAAAGGTTCAAGGAGACCTGAGCTTATCAGATCCCCTTTGTAACGTCTGCTTTCCCCTCAGACACTCCTGGCTACAAAAGCACGTAAAGAACCCACTGAGGGGGTCGGGCAAGGTGGCTCCCACCTGTAATCCCAGCACTTTGGGAGGCCGAGGCGGGCGGATCACCTGAGGTCGGGAGTTCGAGACCAGCCTGACCAACATGGAGAAACCCCGTCTCTAACAAAAATACAAAATTAGCCAGGCGTGGTGATGCCGCATGACTGTAATCCCAGCTACTCAGAGGCTAAGGCAGGAGAATTGCTTGAACTCGGGAGGCAGAGGTTGCGGTGAGCCATTGCACTCCGGCCTGGGCAACAAGAGCGAAACTCTGGCTCAAAAAAAGGAACCCACAGAGGGAATTAGAGGGTGTTCCATTCCCTCACTGGCCTTATTCCCCATTCACATGTTCTCTAGCTTGTGATGTCCTGGGACTCTTACTTGCCATTTTTTCAGTCCTTTGATCTGAGAACACTGGAGAAACCCTAAACCCAGAATCCTAAGTCCATGACACAGGATGTATGGAGGTATTCCCATTTCTGTCAACCCATGTAAACATACTTTGAAGGTTAACTACAGAGTTGGTACCAGGTCATGAAATGCTTAGAGGTAAAAATTCGGTGGGGAGGCAAGAGGGCGGCGAGGAGGTGATGTTACCACAGTCCCATTTGTCTGCAGGCATCATCTGGCTGCAAAGAAGAGAACACACTGTGTTTGAGGGAGGAGGAAGGAGGATCAGAGTTTAAACTCCTGCCATAATGCAGGTGAGGGTTACTGGACCATATTAATGAGTAAGGAGCTGTGGCTGGATTCAAGATTCACAGTTTGTAAAATGGCAACTAGATTTTCCTTTTTTTTTTGAGCGGGAGTCTCGCTCTATCGCCCAGGCTGGAGTGCAGTGGCACGATCTTGGCTCATTGCAAGCTCTGCCTCCCGGGTTCACGCCATTCTCCTGCCTCAACCTCCCGAGTAGCTGGGACTACAGGCGCCCGTCACCATGCTCAGCTAATTTTTTGGATTTTTTAGTAGAGACGGTTTCACTGTGTTAGCCAGGATAGTCTCAATCTCCTGACCTCGTGATCCATCGGCCTCGGCCTCCCAAAGTGCTGGGATTACAGGCATGAGCCACCAAGCCCGGCCATGCCCGGCTAATTTTTAATATTTTTAGTAGAGATGGGGTTTCACCGTGTTAGCCAGATGGTCTTGATCTCCTGACCTCGTGATCTACCCGTCTCGGCCTCCCAAAGTGCTGGGATTACAGGCGTGAGCCACCAAGCCCGGTCGGTAACTAGATTTTCTAATAGACTGTGAGGGCATGAAAGGGGAATCAGGTATGACCACCAGGTTTTTGGTCTTAGCATCTGCAGTGATGGAAGCTGCATCAACTGAGATGAGCACATAGTAGGTATAATATTCATTGGGGATGTGAAGAATGTTGTTTTGACCATGTTAAGAGTCTGAGATAGTTTAGCCTCCATTATGACATTGACACACTTCAAATTTTCATGGTAAATCTTTTGTGGGGGCCAGGAAGGGGTGGTTGCAGGCTGAGGGCTGAATTTCTTGCTTGGGTCCCTGGCTGACATTGCCACAGGAGAAGGAGGCAAGGGCTCATGAAGATAGGGTATGTCAGACAACATGGTTTGTCAGGGGGCATAGGCTTTCCAAGGGTAGAATAGATAAGAGATGTAAGCAGAAGCATAGAAATAATTGAAGGAAGATGACACTTGGGCCAAGGCTGGTACTTATTCACCACTCTGTGGACTCACCAAGATTTTGAGAAAACTTTGTTGGTGCTTGGGGGTTTTCATTCGGCCTGGTGGATACATGCTCAGGGTAAATTTGGTTATCTGTGACAGACATTGGGCCTGGGGTGGACAGCTGATGGGCTGGGATTTTATTTATTTTTTTCTTTTGTTTTCCACTTTTCTTAGACCATTCTCCATAACAAGGGAGTGGGATTTAAATGACTCTAGGTGGACAGAGGAAAGTCGTCATTGTAGAGGGGTCACCAAGTGCAACACAGAAGTGGAATAGGGCCATGGATATCTAAAGCCCCACCTGGTTCTGTGGGGATGTGGAGCCATGCAAGAAGGCCTTCATAGAATGACTTGGGACTGCATTGCTATTGGGAGCCATGAGAATTCTGTGGTAATATTGGATCCTGTTTGAATTTGCCAAGCATACTCTGAATTCTGTCAGCCACATTGTGGCATAAGGCCGAAAATGAAAGGCCAATGTGATGTGCAACGTTGGTGTGTGGTGATACTGTATGACCTCAAATGGCCTGAGCACAAATCCCCTTCCCACTCTGTTCTATTGGATAATGTATCCTGGCCTAACAACCCTTTTCATTAAGGGATCAGGCACAGTTTCTGGTTATTATACTTTGTACTGGGTTTCAATTCCATTTCTACTCAGAATTATTTAAGCAAGTCAGTGGCACCCTCCTGAGAAATCAGGGGCTATCACACCCTCTTCATCCTACAAAGTGTGCATAACACTGTCCCTGGTTTCCATTTGTTGTCCACAGTGCAACCCCCATGTGGCCCTCTCTGCCAGGCTGTGAGTTATTTGATTTTGAAATTGCTGTGGATGGCATATGTACAGTCTCAGGTGTCAATTGTTTCCCCAACACTATAACCCTAAGGGGAGAATCCCACTCAGAGCAGTAGAAGGAAAAGAAGGGGATTAAAATACTTTGTTGGCCAGGCTTGAAGGCTCATGCTGTAATCCCAGCACTTTGGGAGGCTGAGGTGGGAGGATTGCTTGAGGCCAGGAGTTTGAGATCAGCCTGGGCAACTTAGCAACACCCCATCTCTTAAAAGAAAGTGGTTGATGTTGCACATACGTAAGATCCCATCTCCACAGAAGGCTGAGGCCTGGGGCTAAGGGGTTTGAACT
The DNA here is from genome assembly GCF_000001405.40 of Homo sapiens. Taxonomy (NCBI): domain Eukaryota; kingdom Metazoa; phylum Chordata; class Mammalia; order Primates; family Hominidae; genus Homo; species Homo sapiens. Next base: position 57,931,676 of record NC_000019.10, on the reverse strand, counting down.
TTCCATGAGCCATGATCACACTACTCCCCTCCAGCTTAGGCGACCAAAGGAGAACCTGACTAAAAGAAACCAAAACTGTAATTTGTGTTAAGGCTCAAAAGAAGCTGATGGTTGGGGGATGTCATGTTGGGCTGGCCGTGACATGTGCCTGTGCTATCTAAAGAATGATGTGTAAGGCCGGGCGTGGTGGCTTATGCCTATAATCCCAGCACTATGGGAGGCCGAGGTGGGTGGATCACCTGAGATCAGGAGTTTGAGACCAGCCTAGCCAACATGGTGAAACCCCATTTCTACTAAAAATACAAAAATTAGCCAGGTGTGGTGGTGGGTGCCTGTAATCCCAGTTACTTGGGAGGCTGAGGCAGGAAAATTGCTTGAACCTGGGAGGTGGAGGTTGCAGTGAGCTGAGATCCCGCCACCGCACTCTTGTCTGGGCAACAAGAGCGAAACTCCATCTCAGAAAAAAAAGAAGGATGTGTATTTAGAGAGGGAGTACGTCTAATGGACCCAGGCAACTGCACTGGGCTTTATGTGAGCTCGGATATACCACAGGCATTAGCTGTCAGGAGGGGGTGGACCCTTTTATGTTAAGAGTACAGCATAGCCGGGCACGGTGGCTCACGCCTATAATCCCAACACTTTGGGAGGCTGAGGCGGGTGGATCACGAGGTCAGGAGTTCAAGACCAGCCTGGCCAAGATGGTGAAACCCTGTCTCTACTAAAAATACAAAAATGAGCCAGAAGTGGTGGTGGGTGCCTGTAATCCCAGCTACTCGGGCGGCTGAGGCAGAGAATTGCTTGAACCCAGGAGGCAGAGGTTGCAGTGAGCTGAGGTCATGCCACTGCACTCCAGCCTGGGTGACAGAGCGAGACTCTGTCTCAGAAAAACAAAAAAACAAGCACAGCATAGATCCCTATTTTTCCCCTACTTCTTAATTGCTGATGGCTATACTGAGTGACCAGTGGGCCCACGAAGAGACAAAGGCACCAGTGGACTAGTTTCTCCTCTGTGCTGAGGATCTTGGGAGGAGGATGGGCAAGGGGGTGGGGGTGTGGGAGAGGTGGATTGTGGTACCTCAGCATAGGAGCTGTTTGTGGTTTCATCTGTCACCATCATAGCAGGGCACTGTGGCATTTGAAGATGTGGCTGTGAACTTTTCCCAGGAGGAGTGGAGTCTCCTTAGTGAGGTTCAGAGATGCCTTTACCATGACGTGATGCTGGAGAACTGGGTACTTATATCCTCCCTGGGTAAGTTCCTCACACCCTACCCTATTTCCTGAATAGATCTCTGCCCTTCCCCTTTTCTCCCATTGGCAAGACTGTCTTTTATCATGTCAGGACCATGGGCACAGCTTCCTTCTCCACTTCTCTGGGTAGGTTTTGTGGTTGGTAGGTCTGAGGTTTGTGTACTGCCTTTTCTCCTTGAGCAGTCCCAATACGTGCTTTGCTGCAGACTCTCAGGGAAGGAGTTAGAGTCAGGTGTCTCGTAGTCAATCTAATGCATTTCACCTTGCATGTCCCTGTGTTGCTGTTTGACTTTGTCCAGATCTGAGACTCCTGTGTGTCCAGGTTCTACTTCCTTCCTTTAGCTGACATTACTTGATGCCTGCCTGTGGCAGGAATTGCCATCACTCCCGTTGTCACTGCCTACATAGACCAAAGGCAAGACCCTCCTTAGAAATTCTGTTTTTAGGCCGGGTGCGGTGGCTCACGCCTGTAATCCCAGCACTTTGGGAGGCCGAGGCGGGTGGATCACGAGGTCAGGAGATGGAGACCATCCTGGCTAACAAGGTGAAACCCTGTCTCCACTAAAAAATACAAAAAAATTAGCTGGGCGTGGTGGCGGGCGCCTGTAGTCCCAGCTACTAGGGAGGCTGAGGCAGGAGAATGGTGTGAACCTGGGAGGCGGAGCTTGCAGTGAGCTGAGATCGCACCACTGCACTCCAGCCTGAGCAACAGAGCAAGACTCCGTCTCAAAAAAAAAAAAAAGAAATTCTGTTTTTAGTAATTAGTTTCCTTTCCTGTGTGTTGTCATGTTTTGAACCACTGTTGCTGAAAACTACCAGCACATATTGGCAGGAGGAAGAGGATAGGGAGTCCAGTGATGTGGCCTTTGTGACCAGCCAGCATTTCAATTTAATCAGGTGGAAATGGCCTTCCTGGCTCATCACTGTTTGCTGCCACAGAGGCTAGTTGCCCCAGTTCTGCCCTATCTTTGCCTTAGTACTTACATCATCCAGGTTCCATGTACTTCATCATTGTGATGGTGGGATGGAGAGTCCTCAGTGCTGCAGAAGAGGCAGTTGAATCCAGGCTCAGCCTGATGTTCTCAGAGGGAGCCTGTCACTGAGGAGTGGCACCTGGTGGGAGGGCATGAGTTCGAGATTTTCTTCAAATCGTATCAGAAACCTATTCTATTTGACTAGTATTTTTGTGGCCAGTAGGCACTGTTTCTGTCTTTTCCTTTCCATTCTTGAGAGCATCAGATTTGTCAGTTGTACACCTTGTCACTTGTACTCTGATGTCCATCCCCCAACGAATCTTCCAGTCTCTGGACTCCACATCTCACCCATTTATTTTCTCATGTTTACTTCTAGAGTGCTGTCCGATACTGGCATACACATTGTGTATTAGCAAGTGTGTACAAATTGTGTTTTGTTTTTGGTTTTTGTTTTTGTTTTTGAGATGGAGTCTCTCTTTGTCGCCCAGGCTGGAGTACAGTGGCGTGATCTCAGCTCACTGCAAGCTCCACCTCCTGGGTTCACGCCATTCTCCTGCCTCAGCCTCCCGAGTAGCTGAGACTACAGGCGCCCGCCACCACGCCCGGCTAATTTTTTTGTATTTTTAGTAGAGACGGGGTTTCACTGTGTTAGCCAGGATGGTCTCGATCTCCTGACCTCGTGATCCACCCACCTTGGCCTCCCAAAGTGCTGGGATTACAGGTGTGAGCCACCGCACCCGGCCAAGTGTGTGCAAATTGTTAAACTGTTCTGACCAAGAGCTGTTGTCTTGTAAATCATTTTCTTAGGCCTGGACATAGCCTTCTATATAGCATTAACATGTCATCAGATAATTTCCCGCAGACAAGTGGTTTGCAAAGGAAAGAGTTATACAGCAGGTGCATTGGCTTACACCTGTAATCCCAGCACTTTGGGAGGCCGATGTGGGTGGATTTCTTGAACCTGGGAGTTTGAGACCAGCCTGGGCAACAAGGCGAAACCCCACCTCTACAAAAAGTAGCTGGGCGTATTGGCCTGTGCCTGTGGTCCCAGCTACTGTGGAGGCTGAGGTGGGAGGATCACCTGAGCCCAGGAGACAGAGATTATGCCACTGCACTCTGTGCTGGATGACAGAGTGAGATCCTGTCTCTCAAGAAGAAAAAAAAAATTGTAGACCTTGGCTCAATTCTCTGTGTTGCATGTATGCTAATGCCCTTCATATCATGAGGCCGACATTCTGTGACCTTTATAGCCCAGTAATGATAGCCTCATCTTCCACGTGAAGCCAACTTTCTGTTCCTGCAAATATTTCCATGGAGTAATTCCTTGGTTTGTCAGACACGCTTGTGGGTGGGCTGTGCCTTCCCACCAGAGTTAACTTGAATTCATCAGCATTTTCTTGCTTTCAGGTTGTTGGTGTGGATCAGAAGATGAGGAGGCACCTTCTAAGAAGAGCATTTCTATACAAAGAGTGTCTCAGGTCAGCACTCCTGGGGCAGGTGTGTCTCCCAAGAAGGCCCACTCTTGTGAAATGTGTGGCGCGATCTTGGGAGACATTTTGCACTTGGCAGATCATCAGGGGACACATCACAAGCAGAAACTGCACAGGTGTGAGGCATGGGGGAATAAATTGTATGATAGTTCAAACCGTCCGCACCAGAATCAGTACCTTGGAGAGAAACCCTATAGAAGCAGTGTTGAGGAAGCATTGTTTGTGAAGAGGTGTAAGTTCCATGTGTCAGAGGAGTCATCTATCTTCATTCAGAGTGGAAAGGACTTTTTGCCCAGCTCAGGATTACTGCTGCAGGAGGCCACTCACACTGGGGAGAAGTCAAACAGCAAACCTGAGTGTGAGTCTCCCTTTCAGTGGGGAGATACTCATTACAGCTGTGGAGAATGCATGAAACATTCTAGCACCAAACACGTATTTGTTCAACAGCAGAGACTTCCCTCTAGAGAGGAATGTTATTGCTGGGAATGTGGGAAATCCTTTAGCAAATATGATAGCGTCAGTAATCATCAGAGAGTTCACACTGGGAAAAGACCTTATGAATGTGGAGAATGTGGGAAATCTTTTAGTCATAAGGGCAGCCTTGTTCAGCATCAGCGAGTTCACACTGGGAAAAGACCTTATGAATGTGGAGAATGTGGGAAATCTTTTAGTCATAAGGGCAGCCTTGTTCAGCATCAGCGAGTTCATACTGGAGAAAGACCTTATGAGTGTGGAGAATGTGGGAAATCTTTTAGTCAAAATGGTACTCTCATTAAACATCAACGAGTTCACACTGGAGAAAGACCTTATGAGTGTGAAGAATGTGGGAAATGTTTTACTCAGAAGGGCAATCTCATTCAACATCAACGAGGTCACACTAGTGAAAGACCTTATGAGTGTGAAGAATGTGGAAAATGTTTTAGTCAAAAGGGCACCCTAACTGAACATCATCGAGTTCACACTAGAGAACGACCTTATGAGTGTGGAGAATGTGGGAAATCTTTTAGTCGAAAGGGACACCTTAGGAACCATCAGCGAGGTCACACTGGAGAAAGACCTTACGAGTGTGGAGAATGTGGGAAATCTTTTAGTCGAAAGGGCAACCTCATTCAGCATCAGCGAAGCCACACTGGAGAAAGGCCTTATGAGTGTAGAGAGTGTAGGAAATTATTTAGGGGCAAGTCCCACCTCATTGAACACCAGAGAGTTCACACTGGAGAAAGGCCATATGAATGTAATGAATGTGGGAAATCATTTCAAGACAGCTCTGGGTTTCGTGTTCATCAGAGAGTTCACACTGGAGAAAAACCGTTTGAGTGTAGTGAATGTGGGAAGTCATTTCCTCAAAGCTGTTCCCTCCTTCGACATCGGAGAGTTCATACTGGAGAAAGGCCTTATGAATGTGGAGAATGTGGAAAGTCATTTCATCAGAGCTCTTCCCTCCTTCGACATCAGAAAACTCACACTGCAGAAAGACCTTATGAGTGCAGAGAATGTGGGAAATTCTTCTCCAGTCTCCTTGAACACAGGAGAGTTCACACTGGAGAAAGGCCTTATGAATGCAGGGAATGTGGAAAAACATTTACTCGAAGGTCTGCGCATTTTAAACATCAGAGACTTCATACTCGAGGAAAGCCTTACGAGTGCAGCGAATGTGGGAAATCCTTTGCTGAAACCTTCAGTCTTACTGAACACAGGAGAGTACACACTGGAGAAAGGCCTTATGAGTGCAGTGAATGTGGAAAATCATTTCATCGAAGCTCTTCTCTCCTTCGACATCAGAGAGTTCACACAGAAAGAAGTCCTTACAAGTGAAAAGAAATTTGGGAAATTCTTTAGCTAAACCTCTGTGCATCTTCTTGATCAGAGGGTTCTTACTGGATCAGGACCTTATGAGTGTGACAAACGTGGGATATTCTTTATGCAGAAGTCTTGTTTTATTACATACAGAAGAGCTCCCACTGCAGAAGGGCCTCTTGAGTGCGATGAATGTGAGAAAGCCTTCTGCCTTCTGTCATTGGATAACAGATTGTTCTCATAAGGAAAACACTGTACACGTACAGGAAATATTATTTCTTGTAAAACATAACACTGGAGGAGATGCCTTATGACGGAGCCATCTGCCTAAATTGACATACCTTCAGCATCTGCATAAACTCAATTATGTTGGAGCTGTGTGGCATTTTTCACCCTGCCGGGTTCCCTTGCCAGACATGATGTCGGTTATCTGGCAAAAGCCATTTTATGTCGGCCACGAGGCAGGTGTTCACTGTGCATCATTCATTCACCCCATGATGTTCTGGAAGTAAACCTTGGTTGTCTTTCGTTGGCCAGAGGAATTGGTGAGTAGTCTCAGCTGTCATTCCTTTCTCATTTCTTTCGGATGAGCGAGACCATGGATCTGTCTCAGTACTGGTCCAGAGGGGTCTTCTGTCAGCTTGAAAAGATGGACTACCTTTTTCAGGGACCTTATGGGTCTCATGTGATATTTTTTTTTTTTTTTTGAGACAGAGTCTCGCTCTGTCGCCCAGGCTGGAGTACAGTGGCGTGATCTCAGCTCACTGCAAGCTCCGCCTCCCGGGTTCACGCCATTCTCCTGCCTCAGCCTCCCGAGTAGCTGGGACTACAGGTGCCCACCACCATGCCCAGCTAATTTTTTTGTATTTTTAGTAGAAATGGGGTTTCTCCGTGTTAGCCAGGATGGTCTCGATCTCCTGACCTCATGATCTGCCCTCCTTGGCCTCCCAAAATGCTGGGATTACAGGCGTGAGCCACCGCACCCAGCGGGTCTCATGTGATTCTTTAGGCTCTTAAGTTCCAACCAAAGAACATTCTGCTTCCCATTGCTCTGATTTGTGCAATGAATAAGGCCTTATTGTTTAAGCTTCCTTCAGTCTTGAGAGTTGTATTTACTCTTTCGGGTGGTTTGGAAACAACTGGGTTCTGGTGTCATAAAGGGGCAGACAGCTTTTGTTGGGATCACTAGACTTTGTGTGCCTCAGAGGGGACAGTATGATGACAGAATATACTGTCTCTTCACTTGTGGCATAGTTTTCATGGCTGCCCAAGGCCTCCAAAGACTCCAGAACTTTGTGGTCCTTATTTGTTGACTAGATACTCCAATAATTTCTGGGTTTATAGATAAACCTGAGAAGGGAACAGTGTTTGTGACATCCTCTGATGCTTCTGAGATCGACACGAAAATTTCCTCTCTTTTACAAGGGATATTGCATTCTGCTCAGTACTGCTGAGGGAAATCTGTTCCCTAGGTCCTGGAATGCAGCCATGTGCTCTGATATCCAGAGTTTCGTAGTGTGGTGTCCCAGGTTATGAGATTATAACAGGAAGTCATAATTTATAGAATTTCTGCATTTATAGGCAGTGGAGGACACTGCAAGAACAGAGTTGGAATGCACGTCATCCACATTGATTCAGTTACTATGTATGTGGTGGACTGTCAGGTACAGAAATTCTCAGAACCTCCATAATTATGAATCTTGTGTAGCTGAGGCCATTGTCAAAGGAAATAATATAAAGGATTCGTGGATTCCTGTACCCTTTCTCGGCTGTTCACCTCAAGGCAATTCCTGCATTGGCAGGAGGAAGAGGATAGGGAGAAGGGAGATCTCTTAGTCCAGTGATGTGGTCTTTGTGACCAACCAGTGTTCCAATTTAATCAGGTGAAAATGGCCTTCCTGGCTTATCAGTATTTGCTGCCG